>NC_000001.11:114402319-114705350 GCF_000001405.40 Homo sapiens | reverse complement strand
GTTAAATGCTGTATTTGCTCCAACGGCTTACTATAGAATGTTACTTAATACAATATCATACTTATTACAATTTTTACTATAGGAGTGTAATAGGTAAAATTAATCTCTATTTTAGTGGGCCCATGTTTAGTCTTTCACCATCCTTTAAACTGCTGTGAATTTTTTTGTCATGACTTGAAAGCAAGGATAGAGAAACACTTTAGAGATATGTGGGGTTTTTTTACCATTCCAGAGCTTGTGAGCATAATCATATTTGCTTTATATTTATAGTCATGAACTCCTAAGTTGGCAGCTACAACCAAGAACCAAAAAATGGTGCGTTCTGCTTCTTGTAATTCATCTCTGCTAATAAATTATAAGAAGCAAGGAAAATTAGGGAAAATATTTTATTTGGATGGTTTCTATAAACAAGGGACTATAATTCTTGTACATTATTTTTCATCTTTGCTGTTTCTTTGAGCAGTCTAATGTGCCACACAATTATCTAAGGTATTTGTTTTCTATAAGAATTGTTTTAAAAGTATTCTTGTTACCAGAGTAGTTGTATTATATTTCAAAACGTAAGATGATTTTTAAAAGCCTGAGTACTGACCTAAGATGGAATTGTATGAACTCTGCTCTGGAGGGAGGGGAGGATGTCCGTGGAAGTTGTAAGACTTTTATTTTTTTGTGCCATCAAATATAGGTAAAAATAATTGTGCAATTCTGCTGTTTAAACAGGAACTATTGGCCTCCTTGGCCCTAAATGGAAGGGCCGATATTTTAAGTTGATTATTTTATTGTAAATTAATCCAACCTAGTTCTTTTTAATTTGGTTGAATGTTTTTTCTTGTTAAATGATGTTTAAAAAATAAAAACTGGAAGTTCTTGGCTTAGTCATAATTCTTATATTCACTGAAGTGCCTTTATAGAATGCTAATATTAATTTCAAACTTTTGGATGTGACATTTGGAAGTGTTGGAATATCTGAGTTCCTCATTTCATCATAACATCAAATATATCAAAGCCTGCTTTAAAGTATTACCTTGGGGATGATTCATAGCTATTTGTCAGATTTGCATACATTAAGATGCCATTGGAGCTCTTTTGTCTCGTTTTTGCATTACTGCACAATCTAGCCATCTTGGTATAGGTGGAGGAGCATTGATGCTAGGGGCTGGAGAACTTGAGGCCCGATATAATTTTACTACGCCGGCCCAGTTTCTTCAATTGCAAAATAGAAGAGTTGAATTAGGATATATCAGATTTCCCAACCTTAAGGAGACTTTAAAAAGAATAATATCAAACCTAGGCATTTTCAACTAACACTGGAATACTAATTTTGGAGACCTTGGTTTACTCTACCAAAGACATCAAAATTTTTTTTCACTTTTTTTTCTTGAAAAGGAGGCAGGGAAGGTAGGTCATTAACATGTGGCTGAAGTAAGCTTGGGAAAACCAATTTTAAATGACAATATTTTTTCTAGCTAGGACAACTAGAAAGAGTAAATATTTTAATTATAAAATGTATTTGAAAAAGAAATAGAATTAGGGAATTTGTATCTTTCAAACTATCACCTCATATAGAGACCTAGGTGATAGTTTGAGAGAGAAACATACAAAGTCCACAGTTCTATTTCTTTTTCATATACATTTTACAAAAATTTGTTCTAATGTTTGACCCTCTAATAACGGAAAAGAGGAAAGGATGTTTTCTGGTGAGAACTGCTGTTCTGTTCAGCAAAATAAAGCTACAGAAACAAATAATGAGAAGGTACCTAAAGAAGCTTGTTTATTTGGAATATGAGGGAACCACCTGTGCATCTCTGTGCTATTAAGGTTTCTGTTCTCATAAGCAATATTTAAGGTCACTGAAAGGCCAACATAGTTGCATGAGTTATTTGATACCCATAAATACATGAGAAGAGGCCAAGAGGCCTTGCTAGTGATCATTTCGCAAAACTGTCTGAGGATGTCCAGCTCCATGAGAGCACAGAGAGAATCACTGTCCAGTTTCCAAGTGGGAAGGGTATGCTTTGTAATGCTTTTAAAAGTAACTGGGCAGTGAAATGTGACCCTTTACCTTAATAAAAGACAGCTGGAACTTCAGGAACATACAAAATAGAAATATTCTTTCCAGTTGCAAAAGGAACATAAGAGGGTTCAGATTCATGAACCAAGAGTTGAGTTGACCATTCTTATTTGCAGTTGAATTCTACCATATGATTTACTTCACACTTGCACCGAAATAGTCTATTATAAACTACTGGTGTTGGGGGTGGGGCGGGAGTGGGAATGGGGAATGAAGGGGAGGAATGAACTTAGTTTCTTAACTAGTATAAATTCAGATTACCATCAACTTGTAGAAGCCATATGAAGTAAAAATGGGTAGCACCTGCAACACTGGGACTTAGCGTGCTATTAAATGTTTCTAAAGATAGAGGCACGTAGCTACATGTCTCATAGGGGAGGATGTGGTTGTAGCTAGCAGTTGCCTACTAGCAGGCTTCTTTATTTGCAGCAGCCTGAAATACCCAGGTTAGGAAAAGCAATCTTCCAGAATGGATGCTGTGGACATGGTACAATTGGCGCTATTGATACTTTCTGTAGGAGCTTGAAATGTGTGGATTGTAGTTAAGTCTGAAAGAAAACTTGCACTTGATTTTAAAACATTTTCTTATAAATCAATTCACATTTATAACTGAGACCCAACATTCCTGATAGGAATATTTTTGTAAATCAATGGTATGAAGTGTAAAGACATGTTGAAAGTTAGAAGAAGAGATCTTTTAAGTGTATGCTTGTTTTGGCTGTGAAGCTGAGGGGTTTGACATTTACTATTAAAGTTCAAAATAAAACTAGCATGGCATATGAAGTAGAATTACCAAGGCCTGTGTTTCTCTAAGAGAACCATATTTGGATCCCCTGTGAGGCATAGCCATAAGCCCTAACAAAATGTTTTTGTTACACTGGTTTGGTACATTTTCCTTAAGACTTTCCTACCTAATTTATTTATGTATCTAGCCCCTGTGCTGCTCTGGGCATACAGCAGTGAATCTGACAGATACTGGTTCCTTATGAATCTTTTATATTCTACTGAGTCTCCCCAGAAACCTCTAAAACAAAATTTCTTAATTGCAATTTTGTGATTATTTCAAAGGTGAAGGACGGTGTTTACTCTGATATAGCTCGTTTAACCTCAGTGTTCTGGCTGCTGACCTCTGGACACTGTCCATAGTCACCTTCCCTGATTTTCCTGCAAGTCCTCTTGGCTATCCAAGATGCAGCATATACTGACTCACAACTCACTGCTACTTGGGCCTCTCCTTTTCAAGTCAAGGCTATGTAGAAACAGAAACCAATATTTTTATATTGCTTCAAAAATGTCAAAGTGCTTTTGCATATCTTATTTTATCCTTCACATCCATATCAAGTAGGAATCATCTCCATTTTACTGATGAGAAAACTGAATCCCCTAAAAATGTATTGATTTTATCTAAAATTCAAACCCAGGTCTCCCGATTTCCAGAATCTGCTTTTTTTGATTCACTAGTAGGTTTTTTTGTTTGTTTTGTTTTGGTTTTTGTTTTTGTTTTGAGACAGGGTCTGGCTCTGTCACCCGGGCTGGAGTGCAGTGGCTCCATCTCAGCTCACTGCAAACCTCCACCTCCCAGGCTCAAGCAATCCTCCCACCTCAGCTTCCTGGTAGCTGGGACTACAGGTGCACCACCATGCCTAGCTGATTTTTTGTAGAGAAGGGGTTTTGCCATGTTGCCCCTGCTGGTCTCGAACTCCTGAGCTCAAGCAATCTGCTTGCCTCAGCCTCCCAAAGTGCTGGGATTACAGGCATGAGCCACCATGCCCAGCCACTAGTAGTTTTTAAACCATGCTGTTCAAAGTCCTTGGAGTGTAAAGAAGACTTTGCAGAGAGGCTGAACGGCTGTGGTTCTGCTCCTCCTCCCTTGTCCCCCAACTTCAAGGAAGGAGGAGGAGGTAGGGTGAAGAGCAGGTTGGGAAAAAGTGGGAGTTCCCAACAAGTTTCACACCAGATTAATTCCACGTTCATCTCTTTCATTTTAGGCTTTCATTCAAGATTTAGTTTGAGGCTGGGCATGGTGGCTCACACTTGGAATCTAGCACTTTGAGAGGCCAAGGTGGGAGGATCGCTTGAGGCCAGGAATTCAAGACCAGCCTGGGCAACATAGCAAGACCCTGTCTCTACAATGTTTTAAAACTTAGCTACCCCCACACCTGTTGTAGTCCTAGCTATTCAGGAAACTGAGGCAGGAGGGTCACTTGATCCCAGGAGTTTGAGGCTGCAGTAAGCTATGATAGCACCACTGCATTCCAGCTTGGCCCACAGAGTGAGACCCTGTCTCTAGTGGGGGGAAAAAATCTTTAGTTTAAAAAAAAGATTTCATACGTAAAACTATGAAAACCACTTGACTTCACCAATCTACTTCTACAACCATCTATCAAACTGGGAATCACTAGATCACATCCTCATGTCTAGTCCAGATCCCAATATTCTATAGACACAATCATGTTCATTGCACTCTACATAATAGTGAGATGGTGTATAATACAGTGCTTAAGAGCCCCCACTCTGGAGCCAGAATACCTTGCCTTGAATGCCACTTCTACCACTTATTAGTTGTATGACCTTGAGCAAGTCAACCTCTCCACACCTGAAGTTTTTCAACTGTAACATGGAAGAAATAATAGTTCTTCAAAAGACTATTGTGAAAATTAAATAATATATATATAGTATGAATATATATATAGTATAAATAATATATAGTATAAACAACATCAACAAGAAACAATAACTTAGAACACTATCTAACACTGTTTTTATTGCAGGGACCCCATAGTATGCCTCCCTCCCTCTCTCCTCTAACAGAACATAGTACACTGCTGAAGTACAGCTTGTTTTGTTTAAAGCAAATTGCTGAATTTCATTTCCATTCCAGAGACAGGAAATAAAGTCAGTTTGTCTCACGGAAAAGGATGTGTCTCAAAAATTTGACTTCTTTATTTTTAGGCGTGTGTGGGAAATTATTACTGACAGGAAAATTAGACTGAATGCAGTAAAGTAGCATAAAATTCCTCATCATTCCACAGGTTTGGTTATGCTCCAAACCAAAACGCATTCCTTAAGTATAAAGGAATTGTTACACACCTCTAAGAGGATGACAAAACCTATAGTTGCTGCTGGCAACTATGTTCCAGTTCTATTCCTAAACTGGAAGTTGTAATGAACTCAGAACTGCTCCCACTGAAGCAATGTAACAAAAAAAAATGGAGCTGGCAGTTTACCGATGGTCACCCTCAGCCCCACAGAACTCTTGGGTATGCTGTCTTCTCAACCACAACTTACTGTGGGCATTGAGGCATTGAAGGATGTGGGGTGATGAACAGGTTGGAAAGAGGTGGGAGCCCCAGCAAGTTTCACAGCAAGGAGAGAGACCTGCTATAGCAGAATGGAGGTAAAGGCTTTCTGGACAACAAGGAGCCAGGCACAGTAATCTGTGTACAGTTAAGTCCTGTACAGCGTCATCTGCTTCCCGCAGAGCCTCAGGTATCTCCAACTCAATGAACTACAAGAAATCTCCTATTTAAAAAGTACCTTTGTAAATTTGATATTTGGATCTTAGAATGATTTCCACTAAAATAATGTTGTAAACAATGGTTAAGTCCCTAGGTTAGCTCCAACTGATGTGGTCCATGATATAGCTGAAATATTTGCACACCAATCATTTTAAAGGACATAAAAAACAGGTGGGGGGCTAGGGGAGGGATAACATTAGAACTACCTACTGTAGGTGACGGGTTGATGGGTGCAGCAAACCACCATAGCACATGTATACCTATGTAACAAAACTGCACGTTCTGCACATGTACCCCAGAACTTAAAGTACAATTTTAAAAAAAGACATAGAAAACAATATTTTTGCTAAAACTAAAACAAAAATAGAATTCAGTGAGGCTAGTTTATCTTATATGCTGGTGCCTGAAGAAAAGCATGCTTAATTAGAGAAAAAGAATGAGTAGATAGACTTTTCCCATTAGAGGGAATTTCTGGGCATTTTCCTTGAAGGCTGCGGATGATGATACAATTGAGATTTTTATTATTGTTTTCCTTTAAATTTAGAGTTTGTTTCCTGATGATAGAAATAATACTTGTTCATGGCAGAAAATGTACATAAGCCAAAAGAATGGGGTAAAAATCACCATCATCACACTACCCAGAAAGAGTAAGAGTGTAAACTACACAAGCTGCTTTCAATGCCTAGAGTGATATGTAAATTAATACTTTTCTTTTTTTACAAAGACAAGATTATACTATATATACATTGTTGTAATATTATTTTCACTAATAACATTTTGTGAATGTTTTTCATGTTAATATGTATTCATCTACATCATTATTTTATTGTGTGGCATTTTATTTTATGGTTATACCATGCTTTATTCAATCTTTTATTGTAGACGTGTGGGTTTTTCCTACCTTTTGACTATTATAAATGTTTAGCTACAATAAACATTCTTGAACTACATTTTTGATTACTTACATAAAAACTTTCTTAAGAAAGTCATAAAAATAAAGGCACGGTGGCTCATGCCTATAATCCTAGCACTTCGGGAAGCCGAGGTGGGCAGATCACTTGAGGTCAGGAGTTCGAGACAAGCCTGGCCAACATGGTGAAACCCTGTCTCTACTAAAAATACAAAAATTAGCCAGGCGTGGTGGCGTGCACCTGTAATTCCAGCTACTCAGGAGGCTGAGGCAGGAAAATCGCTTGAACCCAGGAGACAGAGGTTGCAGTGAGCCAAGATCACCCCACTGCACTCCAGACTGGGTGACAGAGCAGGACTCCATCTCAAAAAAAAAGAGTCACTGAATGTTTCCGAACTGAGAATATAATGATCAAGTGGTTTTTCAGAAGATTTAACCTGGTGGTATTATGCAATATGGATTGGAGGCAGGGGAAATAATTAGGAATCTATTACAATTATCCAACTTTGAGGTAACTCATGACTTATCAGGTAGAATTACATTGGCTTCTAATAATAAAAAAAACTGACTAATCAGTGACTAAAACAAATTTACTTTTCCCTTTTTTTTTTTTTTTTTTTTTGAGATGGAGTCTTGCTTTGTCACCAGGCTGGAGTGCAGTGGTGTGATCTCAGCTCATTGCAACCTCCACCTCCCGAGTTCAAGTGATTCTCCTGCCTCAGCCTCCCGAGTAGCTGGGACTACAAGCATGCACCACCACACCCAGCTAATTTTTGTATTTTTAGTAGAGACGGGGTTTCACCATGTTGGCCAGGATGATCTCGATCTCTTGACCTCGTGATCTGCCTGCCTCGGCCTCCCAAAGTGCTGGGATTACAGGCATGAGCCACTGCGCCCAACCATTTTTCTTATGTATCAAGAAGTCTTGCTGGGTATGGTGATGCATGTTTGTACTCCCAGCTACTCAGGAGGCTTGGGTAGGAGGATCACTTGAGTCCAGGAGTTCTGGGCTATAGCAATCTATGCTGATCAAGTGTCCACACTAATTTCAACATCAACAGGGTGACCCTCCAGGAGCGGGGGACCACCAAGTTGCCTAAGGAGTGAACTAGCCCAGGTCTGAAACAGAGCAGGTCAAAACTCCTGTGCTGATTTTAGTAGTAGGATCACTCCTGTCAATAACCACTACACCCTGGCCTGAGCAACATAGTGAGACCCTGTCTCTTAAAAAAATTCCTTAATTAAACAAGAATTCTAAATATGGGAAGTCCTGGACTAATATGGTGGCTTTAGGATGCCATCAGGGACCCTAATTATTTGTTTCTGTTCAGATAGTCTTCATGTGGCTCTTGTCCTGCTCACCATTTGTGTTAAAACAATGGTTGGTTTGGAGGCCCCTATCCACATATTTCCTTTTTCAGGCAGGAAGAAGAGGAAGGGCAAAAGGCAAAACATATGCCAGCTGAGCTGGTCCCTTTTAAAAGAACTTTTGGAGACATCCCACCCAGCAATTCTGCTTACATCACTTTGGCCAGGCTGTGTCAAATGGCCGCTTCTAGCCACAAAGGATTCTAGCAAATGCTGTTTTTTGGCTGAGCACATTAATGCTCAAACCAAAGAAGTTTTTGTTTGTAAGAAAGGTAGGGAAAATGATCTTTGGGTAGGCAACTAGGGTATTTACACAATTGGAATGAGAAAATTGGAGTGTAACTTATATAAAGATAGGAATTACTGAAGGAGAAGCAGGTTCATGGAGGAAGATGCTTGGTTTGGATGTATCAATTTGTGGATACTGTTGGGAAATCCAGGTAAAAATGTAACAAAAAGGAGTTGGAAAGAAATGAACAAATATTTTGGTTCAGTAACACCTTTGTAATGTGTTGCAATATTGTTGATTGAGAGGTTGGCCATAAGGCTAAGCACTAAAATATTGTTAAGTTTTGCCAACAAAAAGGCTTGTCCCAATTTTCAAAAAGAAATAGTTAATAGTAAAAAGATCATTTGGTCTATGCCCATAATTCTGTTGCTAATCTGAAGTGCCAAGCTCATCTTCAATATAAGCTGTTATAATTTAAAATTTCTGCTGAGTCTAGCAGCGTACTTTCTTTACCTAGCAGCAACTATCAAATATTTAGTCATAACTGGCCGGGCGCAGTGGCTCACGCCTGTAATCCCAGCACTTTGGGAGGCCAAGGCAGGTGGATCATGAGGTCAGGAGATCAAGACCATCCTGGCTAACACAGTGAAACCACATCTCTACTAAAAATACAAAAAATATTAGCCGGGCATGGTGGCAGGCGCCTGTAGTCCCAGCTACTCGGGAGGCTCAGGCAAGAGAATGGCGTGAACCCGGGAGGCAGAGCTTGCAGTGAGCCGAGATCGCGCCACTGCACTCCAGCCCGGGCAACAGAGCGAGACTCTGTCTCGAAAAAAATATATGTATATACACATATATATACATATATACATATATATACACACACATATATACAGTCATAACTAAGACTGTGTGTTATTATGGAAAGAGCGTGAGATTTGGGTCCAGAGAGCCTTGGCTTTGCCATTTATGATGAACAGAATGACTTTGAGCAAGATACCTGTCAGAGCCCCAGTTTTCTTATTTGGGAAACAGGGATAAGGTATTACTTGCCTTACAGGATTGTAATTAGTATCAAATAGATAATGTTTGCCAAATGTTTTACATACAATAAAATGTTATACAAAACAAAGCTATTGTTCTTATTATAACAATAGGTAGAGAAGTGGTAACTGGATACTCTGGAGGACAGTTGAGTTTCTGTAAAAGACTTGAAGTAAATTTAACACTTAATTCATTAAACTGTCAACTGAAGTTCTGCTAAGTCAGACACATTACTAATAAAAACATGCATTCCTGAGCGTGTGTGCGTGTGCGTGTGTGTCTGTTGAGAGCTTGATGAATGTACCAGCATATTCACCAACCACAGAAAGCTGTTTGCGTGATGTGAAACCCTGAGGATCATAGCTTCAGAAACCGGAAAGACTTCACTGTATTTCACTAGGGTGGGATATCACCATCAGTGGTCCTACACTTGCCAAAGATCCAGTCTGTAAGAAGATTTAGAGAGTATTGAAATGCAATTTTTGGCCCACCACAGATATCTTCTAATCCCAAAGTAAAGACTGAAAGCTTCACCTGTTTTTCACTATCAAATGCCTCAAGCTATAAATAGGTCCAAAGCTCATCTCTCTCCACTTAGCAGAGAAGAATCAAATTTCCGGGGGCAAAGCAAAATAATAAAATGAATGTCAGGATATTTTATAGTGTCAGTCAGTCACCCCACAGTCTCCTCTCTCTTCTTTTCTACTGTGCTATCCTAGAATCAAGGATTTCAGCAACAATGCCTCTGTTCAAACTCCCAGGTAGGTGTACAAAGTGTTTGGAGAGCTCAGTTGTTGTTGTTTTTTTTTTTTTTTGACAAGCAACTGTTCCTTTAGCTACCATATCAGCTTTGATCATTCATTTAGGGTTCGTGATAGCTTTAACATACATTTCAGGAAAACACAAAATATTTTCAAGGGTTTTTTGTTTGTTTTTAGTTTTGGGATGTGGGTAAGTTTCTAAAACTGTTATCATGTATATTGCATCTTTGATGATCCCAGTAGAAAACTCTGTGAAATATTTAATATCTATTCTGCTAGTCTAAACAAAACCTGTGCTGCCATAGCTCTGAGACGGCTTCTACATAATGACTCTAGCTATGGTATTGGCTGAAAATCATGAACATGACAAAAATAACCCATGTGTGTATTCTGATGGTTCACGAGAATAGCTTTCTGTTGTCCAGGTTTGTACGCAGAGTAATTTTTAAAATAATAATGTTATAATTTTTAAATGATAAAAGCAATACATGTTTCATGTGAAATAGAAATTGTGCTGAAAAAATAAAAGTAATAAACATTCGTTTTGAAAGTTGGGAAATTCAGTAAAAGTAATAATTTTATTTTTTACTTATTTATTTATTTTTTGAGACAGGGTGTCACTCTGTTGCCCAGGCTGGAGTGCAGTGGCACGATCACGATTCACTGCAGCCCCAATCTTCTGGGATCTGGTGATCCTCCCACCTCAGCCTCCCGAGTAGCTGGGACTACAGGCACTTGCCACCACGCCCAGCTAGTTTTTGTATTTTCTGTAGAGACAGGGTTTCGCTATGTTGCCCAGGCTCATCTTAAACTCCTGAGCTCAAGCAATCTGCCTGCCTCAGCCTCCCAAAGTGCTGGGATTACAAGTGTTAGCCACTGCACCCAGCCAAAAGTAATAATTTTAAAAATCTGCACATCCATTATCCAAAGATATTCACTCTTAACATTTTAGTGTTTTTTTTTCTTTTCAATCTATTTTCTGTGTAAAATTAAAGAGTTTTTTTTAAAAAGGCACTGTTATTATATTGCACATGTAATTTTATATCCTGCTTTTGGCAGGATAATGTTTTGGCTTAACTTTACAACTTATCCTTTTACCATGGTATCCCAAACCTTTCCTAAAAACCATTTTAAAAGACTGCATATTCTATTTTCTTAATTAATCCCTTAGGTTCTTTATGGTTTGGGGGTTTTTTTTTGTTTGTTCGTTTTTGTTTTTGTTTTTGTTTTTTTAGAGACAGAGTCTCGCTCTGTCACCCAGGCTGGAGTGCAGTGGTGCGATCTTGGCTCACTGCAAGCTCCACCTCCCGGGTTCATGCCATTCTGCCTCAGTCTCCCGAGTAGTTGGGACTACAGGCGCCTGCCACCACGCCCGGCTAATTTTTATATTTTTAGTAGAGACGGTGTTTCACATATAACACAGTGAATATCTGTATTAGCCAGGATGGTCTCGATCTCCTGACCTCATGATCTGCCAGCCTCGGCCTCCCATAGTACCAGGATTATAGGCGTGAGCCACTGCACCCGGCCTCTTTATGGTTTTTTTAAGTATAAGTATGTTCTGATAACAATATTGACACCTAAAGCTTTTTCCATGTTTAAGGATGATTTCCGTAGGATAGCTTCTCAGAAATGGTTGTTTGGTAGGTGTTACTAAATTGTTTACCAAATGAGCTGTTTTAAGTTTACTACTACCAACATCATATGAGCATTCCCATCTTTCTTCATCAGATATTTTTAAAAATCATATTTTATAGAGAGTGCCTTTTAAAAAGTATACTTATAAATGTTAAGAGACATATTAGAAAAGAAAAGAAAATGAAGAGCTGTATAATGACCATATTCCCAAGCTTTCTGATGGCAGAAAACTGTAGACAAGCTGGAAGGCTGAGCTGAAATAACAGCAATCTACATGTGTCTACCCCAAAGCAGTGATTAATAGCCACCATGATTACAGAAAGTTGTTCACATATTTTATCTTGTTTTATTTTACTTCATACAGCTGAAGAGAAACGTGAGTATTGCATTACTTTTGCTGCCATTTGTCAGAGTATCAATTTAAAAAAATGATACTATTCCTTAATTCAGAAACATGGCTATTTTTCAGCAGTGTTTATTAAATAATAGCCTTGAAAGTCAACAAAGATTCATAATGACCATAGATATCCCATAGCATAGCAAATAAGCTCATGGCTTTTCTGGATTCTAGTGTGTGTATAAACATATATATATATATAATTATATATAATTTTTTAAAAGAAAACCTCATGCAGTGCTTTTACTTATTTATTTATTTATTTATTTATTTATTTATTTATTTATTTATTTATTTTGAGATGGATGGTCACCCAGGATGGAGTGCAGAGGTGTGAGCTCTGCTCATCGCAACCTTTGCCTCCCGGATTCAACTAATTATCTTGCCTCAGCCTCCCGAGTAGCTGAGATGACAGGTGCACACCACCACACCTGGTTAATTTTTAGTAGAGACAGGGTTTCACCATGTTGGCCAGGCTGGTCTCGAACTCCTGACCTCAAGTGATCTGCCCGCTTCAGCCTCACAAAGTGCTGGGATTACAGGTGTGGGCCACCACACCCAGCCTGTTTAATATTTTGAAATAAATGACATAGATTAGCCAAAGGGGCCTATTGAATCTTGCCTTAGTAAAGCAACTCCAGCGCAAAAAAAAAAAAAAAAATTGTTGTTCATTTTTGTGACCAGATAAAATAAAAACCTATTTTATTTATTTGTTTGTTTATTTATTTATTTTTTGAGATGGAGTCTTGCTGTGTTGCCCAGGCTGGAGTGCAGTGGTGCGATAGCTCACTGCAACCTCTGCCTCCTGGGTTCAAGTGATTCTCCTGCCTCAGCCTCCTGAGTAGCTGAGTTTACAGGTGCCCACCACCCATCTGACTAATTTTTGTATTTTTAGTAGAGACGAGGTTTCACCATTGGCCAGGTTGGTCTCGAACTCCTGACCTCAAGTGATCCACCCACCTCAGCCTCCCAAAGTGCTATGATTACAGGCGTGAGCCACCGTGCCCAGCCTTAAAAACCTATTTGAGATAAAACTATAACTTTGGTTGTATATTCCCCTCAATCTCAAATTAGACTTGTCCTTTTGCTGACTGATAGTAGGTCTGCCTCTGAATTCCTTTGGGAGATGAAATGTGGCAGACGAAGGCCTACAACCTTGTCTTTCCTACACATTAATAAAGCACTGCTGAGAAACAAGCATGTTTTTCTGGACCTGTTAAGAAGAAAGCATGATATTCATCTTCTCAAGAGTCTTGCACTTCCTGTGTTAATAATAGTAATCTCCAACTTCTGGACAGTACTGCATAGTTTTAAAGTATTTTTTGTTAAATCTTCATAACAATTCTCTGAAGTTGACGTTATTATTATTAACATTCCCCTTTATGATGATGAACACTGTGGCTCCCAGTTATTATGTGGTTTGCCCAAGGCCATCCAGCTGTTAATACACACATTTTCTTTTTTTAATTTTAATTTTTATTTTTATTTTTGAGACGGAGTCTTGCTCTGTCGCCCAGGCTGGAGTGCAGTAGCATAATCTCGGCTCATTGCAAGCTCCACCTCCCGAGTTCAAGCAATTCTCCTGCCTCAGCCTCTGGAGTAGCTGGGATTACAGGCACGTGCCACCACACCCAGCTAATTTGGTATTTTTAGTAGAGACGTGGTTTCACCATGTTGGCCAGGCTGGTCTCAAACTTCTGACCTCAGGTGATCCGCCCACCTCAGCCTCCCAAAGTTCTGGGATTAGAGGCATGAGAAATCGCACCCAGCCTATCTACTTATCTTTTGAAATATAAGTTTCACTCTTTCCTTTCTATAATCACCACCATTCCCTGAAATTTGTTTTGTTTGTTTGTTTGTACTCTGTCGCCCATGCTGGAGTGCAATGGTGCAAACGTGGCTTACTGCAGCCTCAACCTTCTGGGCTCAAACGATCCTCCCACCTCAGTCTCCTGAGTAGCTGGGACTACATGCGTATGCCACCATGCTTGGCTAATTTTTGAAAAAAAAAAAAATTTTGTGGAGGTGAGGTTCTCACTATGTTGCCCAGGCTCCAAAGTCTTGAACTCCTGGCCTCAAGCAATCCTCCCACCTCAGCCTCTCAAAGTGCTGGGATTACAGGTGTGAGTCACCATGCCAGGCCCACTCCCCGAGGTATTTTTGAAAGGCAGAACTCTTGAATTAAGAGTCAAATTTCAGCTGTGGTTACATGAAGTCAAAACAAGTGGTTGCTTCAGTGGAAGGAAATATCAACCATATAATTTCTGGTCATCATGTAAGCTGCTTCTTAAGAGTAGAGTTTCTAATTTTCAACTGTCTACAGTGGCTTAGAGAGATACAATCTTAGTAAAAACAATACTGTTTTAAAATAGGAAACAAATAGAAATGTGCAGTCCCAGACAATGAATGCTTGTTCTGGAAGAGCCAGATACCAAGCAAGTAGGATTTGGTTTCTGGGCATCCATTTCCATACTGTCCTTCCTGAGGCCTCCAGCATTATTGCTGCAGACCCAGCATGACTGACCAGTTTCATCATCATCCTCATTCTCATCTTTATAACCAACTGTCCTGTTTCCATTTGCCCTTCATGGTACATGCAGCCTCTTCCAACTTCTGCTTGCCACTCTCCCTTGAGATGCATGTGCTTGCTCGTGATGCTTAGGAAGTAGTGACATTATTTCTGGGGATCAGTTGGCAGTAGGGTGTGGAGGCATTATCAGGCCATCGAATGCATTTACTTGGTGTTCCATTTGTTCCTTCATGGATCATGATGTTTGCCAAAGAACTACTTATAGCATCCAAAGATGCTTTTCGGTTTCAGTTGTTTGAGTTTAACAAGGCAAATAGATGCATGAAGTTTGGCCAACATAGTGGGCTTCTCTGTTAACTTTGCTGTAACAAACCAGGTTTTAAAAACTGGCTGACCTGACTGTTATTGTTGGGGAAGTTATGAATCAATTCCTGTCATCTCCAATGTACATTTCATCATGTACTAAGTCATATCATGTATTATCTCATTCATAGTCCAAAGCTAACCCCACACACCAAATGTCTGTTTGACCAATGCTACACATTACATCATTCAATTTAATCTGGTGCTTTATTTGTCTTAAGGCATTTCCACATACATTATCTCACTTAGTGTCACAACAGCCTTGCCAGCGAGGTTGGGTAGGTATTAGTATTCCCACTTTACAGATTAAGAAATGGAAATAGAGGAAGATGTAGGAGGTGTTAAGTGCAGAGCAGGGAGCTTGAACACATGACATCTACTTAATTTAGAATAGAAAATATGGACTTTTGCAGGTCTGTATAGACATTAATAGCTGGGGGCATCTTTCTCTCTACATACAGTTTGCTCTGTCATCCTGTGGGGAATGTTTCTGTCTTCTACTGTTGCTCCAAATAGCTAGCTATTTGCCATTGTCATTATTGCTACCAGCTCTTTTCTGGAAATACCAGGAAAAGTATTAGAGGTAATAATTATTCAGACAGAAAACACTGAGGATCTGGAGAACACAGTGGAACTTAACAGAAAGGCAGATACTTGATGGCCATCACCATCCTATATGATGACACTGGTTTTCTTTTCTTTTTTGAGATAGAGTTTTGCTCTGTCACCCAGGCTGGAGGGCAGTGGTGCAGTCTCAACTCACTGCAACCTCTGCCTCCCGGGTTCAAATGATTCTCTTGCCTCAGCCTCCTGAGTAGCTGGGATTACAGGCATGCACTACCATGCACAACTAATTTTCATATTTTTAGTAGAGACAGGGTTTCGCCATGTTGGCCAGGCTGGTCTCGAACTCCTGCCATCAAGGGATCCACTCTCCTCACCCTCCCAAAGCGCTGGGATCACAGGGATGAGCCAGTGTGCCCAGAGACACTGGTTTTCTTATATCCTGAGGGTCTTGGGGTTATTCATTGCCAAACTAAGAAGCATCATTTCCCCCCATTTTAAGAATGGGAAAATTAGGGTATGTACAAGTAAAATTGGCCTTCCAAGGTTCATTCATTATTGAGGCCTATGTCCACAAGAAATGGGACTTCCAGCACTTGGTAGTAAATGTTAGTGGTCCCCTCCCTGCATACAGCAGCATATCACCAAGTTGTCTGGATTTGAAAAAACAAGGTTTGATGTGTGAGAGAAACACAGTATCTGTCTTAAGTAGAAGAAAGGCCCTACAGTACACATTTATTTCTCAGAACTACTTAGATCACCGGAATCACTGGTTCTCCTTAGCAAGAAAAACTCCAAGGACCAATAACCCTATCCACATATTTAACACCATCAGAAAAACTCCACCAACCTAATGGGAAGAACTGTGCTGCATGGTTCAAACTATGAAATCAAACTTAGCCTTGCCAGAAACAGGTGATCTTACTGAGGTGCTAGTCCTACAACAGCCCGGTCTCATCTTTAGGACCATCTTTAGGACTGTTCTGAAATGTGCTATGAGAATCTGACCCATGTTTCTGAGAGCATATTTTCAAGGTACCCACACAGAAACCCACTAAAAGGAGAGCAGGCACTGAGCTCTGTGTTGGACCCTGGTTGGAAAGCAGGAGAGCCATGCACGCAGCACAGTCCTTGTCCCATGCCTTACACATAGCAGAAACTCTCAGCTGACTTTTGAAAAGGGGCTTGAACACTAATATGTGAAAACCTCTTTTAGAAATTGATGATGCAATGCGCAACTTTGCTGAAAAAGTGTTTGCCTCTGAAGTCAAAGATGAAGGAGGTCGTCAGGAGATTTCCCCCTTTGATGTGGATGAGATCTGTCCGATTTCTCATCATGAGATGCAAGCACACATATTCCATCTGGAGACTCTGTCCACCTCCACAGAAGCCAGGAGGTAAGTGGTGTAAGGGGAGTGCTTAGTATATTGGCACCTAAGGAGGGGTATCTGCCAGGGAAGATATGGTTCAATTTATCCAAATGATGGTTCAACTCAGAGGAAGAACTCTGCCAGAGTTAGCAATTCCTAAGACTGGGCACAGTGGCTCACAAATGTAATCCCAGCACTCTGGGAGGCCGAGGTGGGTGGATCACTTGAGGACAGGAATTTGAGACCAGCCTGGTCAACACGGTGAAACCCTGTCTCTACTAAAAATACAAAAATTAGCCAGGCACTGTGGTGCATGCCTGTAGTCCCAGCTACCTGGGAGGTTGAGGCAGGAGAATCGCTTGAACCTGGGAGGTGGAGGTTGCAGTAAGCCAAGATCACCCCACTGCACTCCAGCCTGCGTGACAGAGCGAGAGTCTGTCTCAAAAAAAAAAATTCCTTTTCCCCCCAACACTGTATATGCTAGAGTGAGTAGAGTGAGGGGCCAATGATGAAAAAAGAAGAAAGCAGTGGGCCTCCTATCTCGTCCATATCTCCCTTGATTGAAGCCTCCCTACCCATCTAAGCAAGAGGACTTCGAGATACCATAGAATTATTTCAGACCAAAGTGGGCAAATGGCTGCTGTGAACATATTCAATTTACACACAATGGTAATATAAACTGGGACTCAAGAGCCTTCATCTTCAGACTCTGTCCCTAGCCAACCTTAGTGTTATGCTCCCTGACATGAATCCTGCCCTCCAGTTAGTCTGACCACCTCCTGGCCTTAGGAATACTGCTCTCCAATTCTGCCCTCATGACCTGCCCATCCCATGTCTATGATGCATACTTGCTGCCTCCCCCGAGCAGTCTTTGAAAATCCCTCTCCACCAAGTCTATTTTCCTTTATTTGAACCACTCTAGGATTCACTACCAGCCACACTTTAGTCCCCAAACCTCAAACCTATACTAACTACTTTGCTGGAACCCCCTCCTTAGGTCCTCCCCCCATCCCACCAGCTTCATGGGGAAAAGACTATTCTGCTGTCTTTCTCTTGATTTTACATCTTTAAGGAAAGAACAGCAATCCATCTCCTTTGGTGTCCCCCATAGGACTTAACACAGGACTTGGGTCAAAGCAATAAACTTGGGTCAAACTCAACAAATACTTGTTGATTTGAGAAAATAATATTAAATACCTTATAAGTTCCAGGTACTGTGCTAGGCATTTTATATACATTAAATCTCATAGAAATCCTATAAGGTAGTCATTTTTGCACCATTTGTTTTAGATGGGTAGATGGGAGCTCCTTTATCCATGTTTAAGGAACATGAATAAAATGATACAGGTAGTAACTGACATAGCCTGTGTTTTCTGTAGTTCCTAGACTGCCTATTCTGCTGGGAGTGGACTGCCTGGGAAGAAGGGTGTCATGGTGAAGGTCTTCTAGTAGGATTGCTAAGGCCATTCCAAGGTAGACCAGGGAGAGGGGCACAAGGTCATGTGTCTTCAGTGATTTCTCCTCCCACTATGCTTGGATCCTGTTTCTGATACCCAACCACATTTTAATTTTTACTTTTTGTCCTCAGAATAAAATTGTATAGAGAAACATCTATCTATCACAATGAAACGCCTGATGAAGACAAAATTAACTCTTACTTTTAAATTTCGAACCCAGAAAAAAGCGTTTCCAAGGACGGAAGACTGTTAATTTGTCCATTCCACTAAGTGAAACATCTTCCACCAAACTGTCCCACATTGATGAATACATTTCCTCATCTCCAACCTACCAGACCGTGCCTGATTTTCAGAGAGTGCAGATTACTGGTGACTATGCCTCTGGGGTGAGTTGGTCCTTGCCACTCAGACTTAGCAACCAGGAAGCCATTCAGCTTGACAGTTCTAGCTCCTTGCCTTCTTCTCTTTCCTGTTGAGGGAGGTATTAGCTCACCTGTCCTTTGTTACACTTCATTATTGCATTTCAATACTAATATGGTGGTATGTCTTATGTTTCTGTTGTTTTTATCATCCCACATAATTTATCCTCTATCTCATTTGCTTGCACATGGAGAATATGGAGTAGAATGCAGTGTGTATGTTACAGAATACAATGGACAGATTTTGGCAAAAAGGACCAAAGAGAGCAGTAGAGTGGTCAAGTCTCACTGATGTTGTCATAAATCAGAAAAGGGAGCCTCTGGGGAGGCACGGAGTCTCTGGGGAAAAGAAGGACCCAAGCAGACCTAGGATAGTGAGAAGGGTTGCAGATAGCATAAACCAACCAAAGAAAACAGATCCAGAGAAAGAGAGAGGGAAGAGAAAAAAGAAGGAACCAGAGAAAAGAAGGAAGATGAGAGAGAGGTTAGAAAATCCTAACGAGGCTATTGTTTTTTTGACGACCTGAACTCTCCAATTTCATTACAGATGGTTACACAGTAGATCATTACTTGGAACAGACTCTAGGATGCCACAGGGATAGTAAAGTCATGTCACAAACAACTTGACCTGCTTGTCTCATCCAGAACAGTTGGTCAATTAATAAATCTCTGCCACATGGACTTGCAGAATCAGCATCATATTGGTGAAACTGCTGTGCAGCCGTCCGTCGATGCTCCAAATATAGTTTTAATGACCAGTGCTGGGTCCCCTTCTCATGTAACTGACCCACTTAGGGTCAGTCCTAAGATACTTAAAAGTGACAAGGCAATTAAATGCACCTCATTCTTGTTTATTCATTTTCTGTATAACATGGGTGCTCTCTAAATGGCAGGGGGTTTAGACACTAAATAACTAAAAGGAAATGCCTAATAGAGATGAGTACAGGGGAAACACAGTTTGGAGAACTCCAGAATTCAAAATAACATAAACATTTGGAGATAAACTTCATACCTGCATGCTTGATAGAAATGAAAACAAGAATAAAAACAAAGAAGTTAGGAGGACGAACAAAATGTACACAAGTCAAGGAGTACTTCTCCTCCTGTGAAAGCTGGAGGGCACCTGAAACCTTGACCTGGAGACTGGGAAAAACGAAGTATGTTTCTCTACCAGTTGGCTGAATGTGGCTGGGCTGCTGAGCAACACTCTACGCTCTACCTGGTTGTAGTCTGTACCCAAATTAGTCTTCACCCTAGTAATTTAAACAGAGAGGCAAAGAGGAAATCAGGGCTCAGTTCTCAAGATTATTAATTCCTGGTAAACACTCGATTCAGTTTAATCAGTCTTATTGAGCATCTATTCTGTGCTAGGCATTGTGTGCTGAGAACATGAAGGTGAATAAGACCCAGCTCTCATTCTTGAGGACCTGATAGACTAGTGGCCTATTAGGTGGCAATGAGCTACGCATGCCATTGGAAGCAGGGAAGCAGACCCCCAGACCTAGCATCTGTGCCAGACGCTTTTGGCCAAGGACAGCAGGTCTTTAAAATAGTTAAACTAATTCAGGATCAATATCTGGACCTTAAACTACTGGGGACAAGCATATGGTAGTCCCACAGGAAAAGTCTTTGGGTTCTGATAATGAACATTCAGTGATTTCAAGTTATAACTACTTGGGCATGCCTGGCCCAACCAGGAGTTGGGAATGGGGGCAGGGGAAATTTCCAGCAGCTCTAATAAAGCTTTCCTCTAGAATCTCTCAAGTTTTACCCAGAAATAAAATTCTCTTTAAAATCATCTAAACGACTAACTTCTCACAGAATGATGTTGTGATCCATCGTAGCTGAAGAAAGCCGTGCATGGGTTTGAGAGATTTGTGACCCCTTATTCATCCCAAAATATTTCCCTCACTGACCGAGTGGTTTGAATTCTCACAATTTGAGTCACATGGTCTTTCAGTTGAGGTATTGTCTTGTACTTAAAATGTTCACACGTACTTAGAAGGAAGAAAGTATATACCATGTTGGAATGGATTCTTTTAATCCTATTTGCTAGATAATCCCTGCTATGTAACAAAAACCAGAAACAAACAAATACAGGACTACAAGGGAAAGACTAGTAGGACAGGTAAGTTTGGTAGAAATAAAGAAGCTAGAAAAGCTTCAGGACCTGCTCTGGGAGGGAGATCCAGGTCCCAAGTCAATTAAGAAGCAGCCAGGTGAGTGGTGAGTCTCAGAATGGGCTGCGATACACAGGAGAGCTGGGAGGTGCCAAGGATAAGCTTTACTCACTTCTCAGTTTTTCGTGGGATTGACTCTGATATGCTGACTTTTTTTTTTTTGGCAGGTTACAGTTGAAGATTTTGAAATTGTTTGCAAAGGTCTGTATCGGGCACTATGCATACGTGAGAAATACATGCAGAAGTCGTTTCAGAGGTTCCCTAAAACCCCTTCCAAATACTTGCGGAACATTGATGGTGAGGCTTGGGTAGCAAATGAGAGCTTCTATCCAGGTAACAATTCTCTTACATAATGTATGAAACATATTTTATTTAAACTACTAAATATTAAATTTAAAATATGCCTCTAGATTATAAGTAATCCAGTCTAAAAATATCATAGTCATAATCATCTTTGGCCCCATTTCCTCACGTGTCCAATCACTTGATTCAGTCTGCACAACATCTCTCTGAACTTTTTCTCTTCACCATTCCCTAAACCCTCATTCAGGCTTATCCTTCTCCTTGCCCAGATTATTGCAAGAGCTTCGTAACTACTCTGCAAAATTTCAGTCTCCCTCTCTTTTGGTTCATCTTTACTTTGGTGCTAATTTTTAAAACACAGATCTGAGCACATCCTTCTCCTGACAAGAACCTTTAGCTGCTCCTTGCTACCTACAAAGCAAAGTCCAGTCTTTAGCCTGGCATTTGAGGCCCACACCCTCTGGCCCCCTAACTACATTTTGTTTGTTTTCTGAGACAGGCTCTCATTCTGTTGCCCAGGCTGGAGTGCAGCGGCACCCTCTCGGCTCACTGCAACATCTGCCTCCTGGGTTCAAGCGATTCTCCTGCCTCAGCCTCCCGGGTAGCTGGGATTGCTGGTGTGTGTCACCATGCCTGTCTAATTTTTGTATTTTTTTGTAGAGATGGGGTTTTCCCGTGTTGGCCAGGCTGGTCTTGAACTCCTGGCCTCAAGCGATCTGCCTGCCTCAACTTCCCAAAGTTCTGGGGTTACAGGCATGAGGCACCACACCCGGCCTGTTTATTTTTGAACTTGCACACTCAACCTATTTCTGAACTTACTTTCTCTGCTCCATTTTTATACTGTTGGTTCTGGTTGGAAATATTTCTCGTTCCCTACATAGTTCAACACCTTCCTGCTCCTGGATTGCTGCTCTGCTTCCCTGTGCTCAGGCTGTCCTTCCCCTCACTTATTCACCACATGCCCAAGTCTCCAGAGCCAACCCAATCTTTCAAGAGGCAGCCCAAATACTATCATTTCTTGCCTTCTGGATAGATGTAAACTACATGTTCTGACTTTCCATAGCACTTTATTTACTTATCTCAGTTTTTACCTTCTGCCTTGTAGAAAGTTAAGTACGTATTTTTCAACAATCAGATTTTAATAATTTTACAGATTTCTATTATATAACTGGAACATAATTGACTTAATTCCTATTTTTAGGCAATTAAATTTCTGACTTTTTAAAACTTGTTTCTAAAAAAGGTACAATAAGCATCTTTATATACACATCTTCCTGTAATTGTCTTACAATTTTAGGATTACACTCCTAGAACTAAAATTTCTGGGGAGGCAAATATTTAAGATTTTTGAGGCCAGGCGCGGTGGCTCACGCCTATAATCCCAGCACTTTGGGAGGCCAAGGCGGGCGGATCACGAGGTCAGGAGATCGAGACCATCTTGGCTAACACGGTGAAACCCCGTCTCTACTAAAAATACAAAAAATTAGCCAGGCGTGGTGGCGGGCGCCTGTAGTCCCAGCTACTCCGGAGGCTGAGGCAGGAGAATGGCGTGAACCCGGGAGGCGGAGCTTGCAGTGAGCTGAGATCGCGCCACTGCACTCCAGCCTGGGCGACAGAGGGAGACTCCGTCTCAAAAAAAAAAAAAAAGATTTTTGAAGTTCCAAATTGTAATATTATTAAAGATCTCCAGTTCTACAACTCCCTGTCTGTAATTCCTTTTAATATTAAAATCATATTAAACATGTCTCCAGTTTGGTAACACATAACAGTGGTTTTCCCATCCTCTATAATATAGACATTTAGTTTGTCTTGTCTTTATTTCTCCTAAGTTACGCTTCAATAATAATTATATCATTAATAGTGAGTTATTAATCCTTAAGTATAAGGATTTCAAAATTAATATTTGATAGTAGTAACAAATATTGTAGTAACACGCTGTTTCACTTCTCTTATGTTCCTTATCTCCCAATTTTGAATAGGAAATGTGCAGACTGTTTTTTTTCCCTATGCTATTTTTCTCACTTTGGCTGCTGTGGGCATCACTTGTAAACAGGAGGCTTTCTGATGCCTTCCTCGGGCACAGCAGTGAAGAGGCATAAATGACCATACTTGTTGAAAGTCAAAAGGATGAATTCTTAAAGGCTCTGACGGTGCGAAATGTGTTCATGGCTTCCTTAGGCTGAAATCGCTAGCAGTGGAAAGAAGGGAACACATCCACTTAATCTCTTCTCAGTTCCTTTAGCAGAAATTGTATGTGCTTTAAAAGGTGGGAAAAATAATTCTCATAAGAATTATCACTCTTACAATAATAATTTATTTTATATCTCTTTTTTACATTAAAACCACTTTAGGTGGAGCACAGAGGATTCTTAGGGGAGTGAAACTATTCTGTATGATACTATAAGGGTGGATACATGTCATTATACATTTGCCAAAACCCATAGGCTTTGAGTGAACCCTAATGTGCACTATGGACTTTGGGTGATTACAAGGTGTTAATGTATATTCATCTATTATAACAAATGGACCCTCTGATGCAGGATGTCTAGAGTGGAGACTGGCTGTGCCTGTGTGGGTAACGGGCTGTGGGGAAATTGCATTTTCTTTTTCTTTTTCTCTTTTTTTTTTTTTTTTTGAGATGGAGTCTCACTCTGTCACCCAGGCTGGAGTGCAGTGGCACAAACTCACTCACTGCAACCTCCATCTCCTAGGTTCAAGAGACTCTCCTACCTCAGCCTCCTGAGTAGCTGGGACTACAGGCGCACACCACCACACTCAACTAATTTTCGTATTTTTAGTGGAGATGAGGTTTCACCATGTTAGTCAGGCTGATTTTGAACTTCTGACCTCAAATGACCCACCCACCTTGGCCTCCCAAAATGCTGGGATTACAGGCGTGAGTCACTGTGCCCAGCCTGGAAACGGCATTTTCTACTCAATTATTTTACTGGGAACCCAAGACTGATCTTTAAAAGCTTATTTCAAAAAACACTCTAAATTACGCCTAATAAAAAGGATTGGCTTAAATAAGGTAAAGATCTAAACTCTATTTTTTTAACTGTAGTTTGACTTTTATTCTTATGTTATTATCTAAGAGCTAATAATATGCTCTAAACAGAAAGCCTTTGATGACAAACTTCAGTAAATAATGAAGATTGTTTGTAAGTAGTATATCGATTACTTTATGTAAATAGTTCTTCCAAAGAACTTGAAAAATCATTCTTACACTAGACAACATATTATTTTATTTTTCTTTTTTTTGAGACAGGGTCTCCCTCTGTCGCCTAGGCTGGAGTGCAGTGGTGCTATCTCAGCTCACTGCAACGTATGCCTCCCGGATTCAAATGATTCTCTCGCCTCAGCCTCCTGAGTAGCTGAGGTAACAGGCACACGCCGCCACAGCCTGGCTAATTTGTGTATTTGTAGTAGAGACGGGGTTTCACCATATTGGTCAGGCTGGTCTCAAACTCCTGACCTCAGGTGATCTGCCTGCCTTGGCCTCCCAAAGTGCTGGGATTACAGGCACGAGCCACTGCGCCTGGCCAATATATTATTTTTATAGCTATTTTATACTATTATGTCACCTTTAAAAAATAATGCAAAAATAAAGGTTAGCTTAATTCCAGATAATTACAACTTAAGTACCGGATTCCAAGCTAATGAGATGTTGTAGTATTTCACATTTTGGTTATTTTTATGTGGTCGTTCATCCTATGTGCTAATATATTACTCTGTGTTTGATTGAAAAAGTCTTTACTCCTCCTGTGAAGAAGGGAGAGGACCCCTTCCGAACAGACAACCTTCCTGAAAACCTGGGCTATCACCTCAAAATGAAGGACGGTGTAGTTTACGTCTATCCTAATGAAGCAGCAGTCAGCAAAGATGAGCCTAAGCCACTTCCTTACCCAAATCTGGACACCTTCTTAGACGATATGAATTTTTTACTTGCTTTAATTGCTCAAGGACCTGTGTAAGTGTTTAGTGAGACCTAAACAACAACAACTAGTACTACAAGACCTAAACAACAACTAGTACTACTTCTACTGATAGTGAGACTAAGTATTTACTAAATGCTTACTATGTTCAAACACTGTATTAAGCCCTTCATGCACATTGTTCCTTTTATTGCTTACACTTTTCACTGTGAGGTGGTTATTTTCATAATTCCAGTTTTATGAGCTGAGACTTTGATGACTTAAGTAACTTGCCTAAAGTGACACAGCTGGCTGAGCCAGGATTCACACTCGAATCTGCTGACCCCAAACTTTGAATAACACTCTCTCCATTGAGTTTTAAGATACCTTTCCAAGTTCTCCCTCATTCTTATGTCCAACATTATTGAAAAGATTAAGCCTTTGGAGCCCACTACTTCTCAGTGGGATTAACTGCAGAGTAAACTAAAAGGTTTGTTCCAACAATTATTTCCTATGAATGATAAAGGTCCTGATAGTTTTGAAATTGTGACTGTTTTTCTTGAATGCCTGAAACTTTTTGGAATTATGTGATTTTATTTTTCACAGTAAGACCTATACCCACCGGCGCCTGAAGTTCCTCTCCTCCAAGTTCCAGGTCCATCAGATGCTTAACGAGATGGACGAGTTAAAGGAGCTGAAAAACAACCCCCACCGAGATTTTTATAACTGCAGGAAGGTAAACATTTTAGTTGCTCAGGGGTAATTCCTGGGCAAAAACAATTCAATTATTTATTGAGAAGCACAAGAAAAGAGTGTGTTTCTGATTAATCTAAGATTTCTACAGGTTCAGTGGATTTTAGTAAAAACAGATAATAGATTATGTCCAATGGGTTAGGGTTAAGTGCCATTTCTATCGTTTTCCCCATAGAAAGGTTTGCCACATTTTTGGCACAAAAAATTATAGTTATCCTCAACAACGAAAATAGCAACAACAACAAAACATCAAAAATGACCATTCTAGAATTTGAAAGATCTTCCTTCTAGTCCTTTTTCTTTGAATTCCTGACTGTAAGACCTTGGAGGAAGGGATGACATATTTTCATTTCAGTGTCTTCATTTGTCAAATTGGGAACTACACCTGCACAATCCAGTTCACGTGAGGATTGTGAATATCAAATGAGCTAGCCTAGAGATTGTGAAATCCAATAAACTAGACACACTTCCAAGATGTATTCTGACCATTAAAATGATTACAAGGAAGTGGGAATAGGAAATATATGAGCAGAGATTCAGGCCCAAATCCTGGCTCAGCTGCCTATACAACTTTGGACTAATTACTTAATCTGCTGAAATTTCAGTGTATAAAATTTAGTTATAAGAATATCTACCTCATAAAAGCCATCACTGTGTCATGGCTTCATAATTTCAATCCTTTCTCCTTAGGGGCTGAAAGTTATGGTAGTTACTTCACTTCCAGCTGTGTTTTAGGAGTGAAGAATGGTCCAGAAGAATGTGTGGATCAGACGTAGGAAATAAATTGGATGTACAGATATACAGAAGAAGCAAGCATTCTTATTGCCTCTAGCCTAACCTTTCACATCCTTGCATGGGCACGCCACAGTTGTAATGGATTTTTTATTGCTGGACCACCTCCACCAACTGTCAGCTCACATCCTCATTATTCACTTTGTCCCAACGCAGTGGGATTTGCAGCACCATATCCTCTAAACAGAGTAGCATAACTAAGGCTGATTGATGTTTTTTTCTTTCTTTGAATATACATACAGGTGGACACCCATATCCATGCAGCCGCTTGCATGAACCAGAAACATCTGCTGCGTTTTATTAAGAAATCTTACCAAATTGATGCTGACAGAGTGGTCTATAGCACCAAAGAGAAGAATCTGACCCTAAAGGAACTTTTTGCTAAATTAAAAATGCATCCTTATGACCTGACTGTTGATTCTCTGGATGTTCATGCTGTAGGTTGAAACGGCAATGTCAGTTTCACTCTAATACTCAGAACCCCACATGTCTTTCTCCTACAAGCCCTCCCTTCTCAGAGGTCTCTTAACCATCTTGGCTTACCACGCTGCCTGAAAGCACCACAGACAATTTTGAAGTTTGCTCATTGTCACCTGTCCCAAATTCCATTCTTGGAGCCCAATGCCCTCCCCCACTACCAGACCCCAGTTCTGCTTGACTATTTCCTAGCTCTCTCTGTCCAGACAGCTCTGGTAATAATACATCTCTGCTCTTTTTTCCTGATTCAGGGACGCCAGACCTTCCAGCGTTTTGATAAGTTCAATGACAAATATAATCCTGTAGGAGCAAGTGAGCTACGGGACCTCTACTTGAAGACAGACAATTACATTAATGGGGAATATTTTGCCACTATCATCAAGGTGAGGCGGAACCAATCACATCTATGGTATCTGGCATGGTTCTTGAGGAAAGGGAAGAAGGAAGGAAGGAAGGAAGGAAGGAAGGAAGGAAGGAAGGAAGGAAGGAAGGAGGGAGAGAGGGAAAGAAGGAAGGAAGGGAGGGAGGGAGGGAGCGATCCCTGGGGCCAAACACTACACAAATGAATATAAGGATTTCCTCTGACACATCCACTCTAATGATTTTTGAAGACCTCTATTGCTAAGGTAGAGAAATTAAGGGTGTGGTTTTGAGATTGATTAAGGACCTAGCCTTTTCAGATTCTGAAAGGAAGAGTTAGAAAGGGAATCTCCTCTCCCTAGAACCCCAGAGGAACTTGTGGGAATCCCTGGCTTGGACTTCTCTCTTGGCTTTGCAGGAGGTAGGTGCGGACCTGGTGGAGGCCAAGTACCAGCATGCTGAGCCCCGCCTGTCCATCTATGGCCGCAGTCCTGATGAGTGGAGCAAACTCTCCTCCTGGTTCGTCTGCAATCGCATCCACTGCCCCAACATGACATGGATGATCCAGGTTCCCAGGATCTAGTATGTACCTGCCCATCAGAAACTCTAGAGCCTGCCCTTGTCTCATCTGCTTCAAGTCCCCTGTATGAACAAGGAACGTGTTGCCCATCTAGAAATAAATCAGCTTTGTTAAAACAGCATTCACTATCGGGTCCTGCATGCTTGGTTTTGTCCACTCTGGGTACAGCACTCTTAACCACAGACAGGAGTTAAGAAGATCATTTCGGATCAGTCCTCTAGCTTTATGAAGATCATAAATAACTCACTGAGAATGATTAAAACTAAGATAGAATAAGAACTATGTACAGTTTGGTATACATTTTCTTTCACCTGGTCTTCTCTGTGTCAAGTCCATTCCTTCCCATGCTCATCTCTACTGGGATGTGGCTTTCTTGTATCAGAACCTTTACTACTGTCTGTCAATTGTCCCACCTACAAGTGCTCAAGTTCTCCACAATCAATGAGTATTTATCAATGGTATTGCTGAGGACATCATCTCCCTTTCATACCACCTGCTATCATTCATCGCCTTCAGGGATGGCTTCTCTTTCAGTTTGTTCAGTATCATTGATCTTTTATCTAACTTGGGTGTTTATATGTTTTCTGGCTACCTGTCTTTGTGTTCTGTGTGACCTACTGCAATGCAAGAGTTTCATCCTGTCTCTTTAACCAAAAAAAGTAATTTTTTGACTGGGATAATACTTCCTAATAGGCAGAGAGGCAGTAGGTTGGTTAGGAGTATAGATTCTGGACCCAGAGTGGTGATACTTGAATCCTGGCAATACTTAAATCAAGGTAACACAACCATTTAGCTGTGTTACCTTGGGTTAAGTTATATCACCCCATTGTGCCTTAGTTTCATCATCTCTAAAACAAGGTTAAAAACAATACCTAACTTATTGAGTTGTTATGAGGATTACATTAGCTAATATTTCTGGTCACTTAGAAGAGTGCTTGGAATATATTAAATGCTATATCAGAGTTTGTTAAATTGCAGATCAGAGGTATTCTTGGTAATCATTTCCTGTTCACTGTCTTGTAGTTACACACATATATTGAAGCTTTTATGACGTAATTGCATATTCCTCTATGAGGACTTAGCTGTGAAGGTTTAGTTTTCTTATGACAAAGGTTTGTAAAAAAGATGGGGACATAGGGTCCACCAAAAAATTTTTATTTCCTATGTGCTGCCCAAACTGAATCCCTCTCTATAGGGGACCAAAAAGAATGTATGAGGAGCATGGACCTAGGATAGATATACCACGTCTTTTCCTGTGCATGACATTCGATTCTCTGGTTCCCTCATACTGGGGCTATCAGTCCTAAAAATCTTTTTTTCTCCTAAATTCTCTTCATTCTTGCCTCTAGTGATGTGTTCCGTTCCAAGAATTTCCTTCCACATTTTGGAAAAATGCTGGAGAATATTTTCATGCCAGTGTTTGAGGCCACCATCAACCCCCAGGCTGACCCAGAACTCAGTGTCTTCCTCAAGCATGTAAGCATGACCCTTCAGGCCTTCATACTGCTGCTCATGAACCAGCCTTCCTACCTGGTCATGACTAATTCTTGGTGCTTATCTCTTTATGTTTGGTCTGTGCCTTTGGACCTGAAAGTTTGTGTGAGGACTGGGACCCTGAAGTTGGACTGAACCCATTGCATGGCTCACTTTTCCTAACAGATCACTGGCTTTGACAGTGTGGATGATGAGTCCAAACACAGTGGCCACATGTTCTCCTCCAAGAGTCCCAAGCCCCAGGAGTGGACATTGGAAAAGAATCCATCTTACACTTACTATGCCTACTACATGTATGCAAACATCATGGTGCTCAACAGCCTGAGAAAGTAAGTAGGAGACAGCTGGAGCTAGGAGGGTCTATTTGACACAGCTCTTTCCACATATATTGGCAATTAAGGTGGTCAGGGGCCTCATGCATTACTGTGATGGTTCCAATTGGCCCAAATCAGAAATTTCTTTCTCTTAACTTTTTTCTTCAGTTTATTTATTTTGGGGCAGAAATCGGTATTTCGATGCTTTCAATAACTTTCACAGTTCCTTTTTTTTTGGGAAGTTTAGGAATTTATACTAATCATTGTGCAATTAATGATAAAACTTCATATATTTTGCCCTTCTTGATATATTTGGGTAAGGAATAAGTAGAGGAATATTATACTGGAGTTTTCTGGAAACATTTCTCCCTTAAAATTTGAATAGAATAGAATAAATGATGAGATGTTGATATTGGTAAATTTCCTATTGAGACTGAACGTATTTCCATCCAGGCAATCAACACTTTATTTGCTTCCTTACCCCCATATCCTCTGCTGCCTCTTTTTGGAAACTTTGTATTTAGCAAGAATTAAGATTATGATTTGGGACTGTTTTGCTGAATCCTTTGGATGGCTTACTTCCTTCCAGAGTGTTCACTTTTCTACTGAATTTTCTTGTGAATCACTCCATACCCAGAACCTGCGATTCCAATAGCAGTTCTATTTCCCCAGGGAACGAGGCATGAATACGTTTCTGTTCCGACCTCACTGTGGAGAAGCTGGAGCCCTCACCCATCTCATGACAGCATTCATGATAGCAGATGATATCTCTCATGGCCTAAATTTAAAAAAGGTGAGTTGGAAGCTCTCTTCTTAACTTTTACATTGGAGCTAGAGGAATCTTTTTTCCCTTAACCAACCATACTGTCACAAGTCATTATCGACACTGCAATCATAATCAAGTAGAGCATAAAAGATTTTTTAGTTTAGTGCAGTTCATTCTACAGAAAGAAGTAAAGGGACTTGCTCAAGATTACCTTGCTAGTTGCTGTCAGATAAAAGTTAACGCAGATCTCCTGACTTCTAGCTTAGAATCCTGACAAGGGATAATTCAGAGATGGCCTGGCTTTCCTTAAGCTAGTTTTTGCCAGATTTCTTGTTATAGCATGCTTCAAGATGTTTTTTTGTGAGAGTCAGAACTTTCTTGTAGAGAGAGAGAGAAAAAATAATGTTTCAAGGCAAAGTCTTTTGCCTGAGACAGACCATCTAACGTAGGCCATTATAGATCAAATAAACAATCTGGTTTGACTCAATGTTTCTGAAAATTAATGTATCCTAAGTACATTTATTCTAAATAGCATTTACATTGAAAAACTCCTAAATTCTCCTTACTAAGAGACTTGAAGAACAAGTGATAATTTTGTTGAAAGCTGAAGCTTAAGGCAGACCATGAGATTGTAGTGTTTCTAGTTTGTATTCCTTTTTCAACATCTTTAAATATTTTTTTACTTTTCTTTTTCAGAGTCCCGTGCTACAGTACTTGTTTTTCTTAGCCCAAATTCCCATCGCCATGTCACCACTAAGTAACAATAGCCTATTTCTAGAGTATGCCAAAAATCCTTTTTTGGATTTCCTTCAGAAAGGGCTAATGATCTCACTGTCTACAGATGACCCAATGCAATTCCACTTTACCAAGGTATAGTATGGACTTGGGCAATACAAGCATATTTTGCTGGACTGTTGTTTCCCGTCCAGAATTTGAAAGTCAAATAAAGGTATTTCATTATTTTTTCAGGCAGGATGCATATTATTTATTAATTCACTCCTCTTTTTTCCTCATTTAATATAACTGCAGGAGCCCCTAATGGAAGAATATGCTATTGCTGCACAAGTCTTCAAGCTGAGCACCTGTGATATGTGCGAAGTGGCAAGGAACAGTGTCTTGCAGTGTGGAATTTCTCATGAGGTAGACCTGTCTTCAAATGGCTTCCCTTCTGAGTATAGGGTCTGCTAACTTGAATACCGAAAAAGTAGTTGGGAAACACATGTAGAAAAATTGTTCCACGAATCATATGCAGTTACTATGGACAGGGACTAGAAGGGATTATTCTATCTCTTTGCCTGTGCCTTTTGGGCCAGGGAAGTAAAATACACTTGATTTCTCAGCAGACTGTGAACACTGAGGCACTAGATGGGTGCTTTTAATGGTCTATTATTATTATTCTTTTGTCAGTGGCTAACATAAGGAAGGAATTTTTGTAAAGAATGCAATTATTGTCTATACCAGGGTGAAAAGAGACAACAATCATTCTGCCATCCTTTTCTCTTATAGGAGAAAGTAAAGTTTCTGGGCGACAATTACCTTGAGGAAGGCCCTGCTGGAAATGATATCCGGAGGACAAATGTAGCCCAAATCCGCATGGCCTATCGCTATGAAACCTGGTGTTATGAACTCAATTTAATTGCTGAGGGTCTTAAATCAACAGAATAAAAAAAAGTAAACCAAATAATAATATGAGTGAGAATTTCATTGTAGAGTTTGAATAATAATAGTTACCTGTTATTGAGTCCCTACTATAAACCAAGGAAAGTATTAGATGTTCCACTGAAATTATTTCATTTAATCCTTCTCACAACCTTTATAAAGTAGATATTATTATCTCCATTTTGGGGGAAATTAGTACACTAAAGCTAATAAGGTTAATAACCTGCACAAGGATATACCTGGTGAAGGGTAGCAGTGGGAACGTGGGTTTCTCTGACTGCAGTCTCTATGACTTTCAGGCAAAATATCTATTAAAGCTGGGCAAAAATACAAGCAAATGACTTTTTGGGAGATAGGCTTCTGGTTTATAGCATGAAATTTGCTTAAGGCACTTAGAACCACTAAAAAGTTCTTTGACAAGGTATAAGTGAATAGTGGCTTTTTTAGACAAAACCAGAGGGCGTACCTCAATATAGAAAATCAGTATTTATGAGTTATTATATTGAGGGAGAATTTATCTTACAAAAGGATTCTTAGCTTTAAGGATGTAATTGACAATAAGATTATAGTGAGCTAAACTGGTACATTTTAAATGATTTTGCTTACCAAAGTAAAATGTACATATAACTTTTAAGAAGCATGCCTATTACTTAAGGTCAGGTGAAATTCCAAATGGGCAGATGATACTTCCACACATACAACTGTGTTGGCATCTAGTGGCTGGGCTGACATTTCATTCAACTTATTCAATAAACAATTATTGATCAAATAGCTAAATTATCAGGTACTATTCTAAACACCAAAGGTATACAGAATAAGATTTCATTCCTATCCTCTAGTTGTCCTCAGCATGAAGTTATAGTGTGGCTACAAGTAAAAAATAGAATTTTGTGAAATGTCTTCAAAAGTAATGAACTTTTTTCTTTTTTTTGAGACAGGGTCTTGCTCTGTCACCCAGGCTGGAGTGCAGTGCAGTGGTGTAATCACAGTTCACCGCGGCCTCGGCCTCCCAGGCTCAGGTGATCCTCTTACCTCAGACTTCCGAGTAGCCAGGACTACAGGCACATGCCACCACACCCAGCTACTTTTTTGAACCTTTTGTAGAGACGCGGTTTCACCATGTCACCCCAGCTGGTCTCAAACTCCTATGCTCAAGCGATCCATGTGCCTTGGCCTCCCAAAGTACTGGGATTACAGGCGTGAGCCACTGTGCCCAGCCTGAACTTTCAAATGGAAAAAAAATTGAAAGCAAATTTCTGCACGTTTCTATATTCTACACATGCAGCCATAAGCATAGGTGTAACCCTGATGGCATGTTTGTACTAGCTCTGGTGTAAGAATCTCTTCCTGATTTCTGAAGTTGAAGTTTTGTTTGTTGAGTATTTGTGAACCCTTTAAAGAACCAGATTTTATTTTACCTTGGCCTCCTCATCATCAAAATAGTACAAATTGCTACATTAAACACTGTATTCTCAGACTTCAAAGGGCATTAACTACCATTATGTATATCTCCATCTTACCCATGAGAGGGCAGTAGAATACATACATGTGAATTCATTTATTAATCTATAAATTTGGTTTCATACGTGATACTTGGAATTCAACCTGCCTTATTTTGCCAAATAATCTTCCTGAATGCAGGGGTCAAAAAATACATTTCTGGGCTGGGTGCAGTGGCTCATGTCTGTAATCCCAGCACTTTGGGAGGCTGAGGCAGGAGGACTGCTTGAGCTCGGGAGTTGGAGACCAGCCTGGGCAACATAGCGAGACCCTGTCTCTACAAAAAAATAAAAATAAAAATATTAGCCGGGGGTGGTGGTGCATGCTTATAATACTAGCTGCTTGGGAGGCCGAGGTGGGACGATTCTTTGAGCCTAGGAAGTTGAGACTTCAAGTGAGCTATGATTGGGCCACCGCACTCCAGTGTGAGTGACACAAAGAGACCCTGTCTCAATAAATAAATAGATAGACACATTATATAAGAATTTTTTTTTTTTTGGTGGGGGAAGCCCATAATGATCAGTGTGCAAAATTTACTACAAACAATATCCACATTTATTTCCTCATTGGGACATGATTTTTTTTAAGTATGTCATTACTTTTTTTTCCCCCATCATAGAATGTAATTTCTGTTTTACTGTCTACAGGTGATAGTTTCACAACGGTTTGGGATATGCTACCTTTATTGTTTGGGTTAAGTTTGCTTGTGACAGTCATCCGTGATACGTAACTAAACACCTCTCTTTCTGGTAGTCTTCTATTTTGGTACCTCTGTGTGAACAAATGTAGGAAGAGTTTGGTCACCAGACCCAAGAGGCTCTGGCTGGGTGGGGTGGGGTGGGGTGGGGCGGGGCGAGGCGGGGTGGGGTGGTTAGCGAGTGCCTGGGAAACAGGCTCAACTGATCCTTGTCCCGCAGCCTCGGTGAAACTGGGTTACAGCTTGCAGTAGGCACAACACCACGCACATACCTAAGCAAGAGCGTGTTGCAGGCGGAGCGCTTAGGCATGTGTGTCTCAACAGGGCGTGGGGGCTGACCTCACGCACTGGGAGTATCAAGGCACCCCCGTTCTGAGATTCCAAGCCTGAGGTGCCGCGAGAGTTATTTGCTTCTCTTGACGTTTCAAGTTGGCACCGTAGTGCAATTGTTTGCTCACTGAGGTCAGCCTAGGAAACAGTGCTTGGATTCCCTGATTAAGCCAGGCTTTATCTTGTTGAGTAGTTGTGAAGAGTAAACCTTCACATGAAGCATAGGGCCGTCTCCGTGGGGCCGATGCGACGGCAGGCGAAGGCGATGGAGCTCTGGCTCGAGGGCTTGGCCGGACGACGGTGACACTGGTCGCCCGCCTGCTGGAACTGCAGTGACCGAGGTCCTGGCAAGGTTCTGGCCATACAGCGGACTTGAGGCGTGGTGGTTCCCCTCACCGCCGGCCGGGGCGGTGTCGGAGGCGGGCATAGCGTGAGGGGTGGGAATAGGAGCCAATAAGAACTGAGCCTTGCCAGGGAGGGCGGGGCTAGGGGGTGGGGCTGCAGCCGGGACGGGGCCTTCGGCAGGGCCTGCGGGGGCGGGACGGAGCGGACCCGAGTGATACCCGGGAGACTAGCTTGGCCACAGGAGACAACGTTGAGGTACAGACAGGTAAGAGTCGGGGTGATTCGGCGCGGGGTTTTAAGCCGCAGGGGCTTCGGACTCTCGGGGCTGTCGGCATCACCCTTCTGGGCGTCGGGTGCGGGGCTGTGGCGCCGCGGCGTAGTCCTCGGACGGTGCGAGCCGAGCTGGCGGAGGTGGTGTCTCCGCGCCCCGCTGTCTCGGCACCTCCTCCGTCCGGAGGAGCAACCGGTTGTTGGGCCCAGCTTTGGGACGTCCTCTCGTGGCCGCACGGGTTGTGGCGGAGCCTGGCTGAAGACCTCCTCGCTACCTCAGGGGCTTGGGGACCCCTAGGCTGGGCGCCGCTCTCTGCTGGGGAAGAGGGAGGGAGCGCCCGGCAGCCTGGGGAAACGCGGGCTTTCTCCAAAATTAGCCAGTGAGCTTGAACTTCGACATGCTGGGACGATGCACTTCCAAACAATATTTTGCTTTTTTTGGTGTTTTGATTCTTAACAGCATCTAATACGCACAATACCGAAAGTTGTCAAGTAGAATTTTAATTTAAAAGTCTGACAGTGGAACACCTAAGAGCTTTTGAGTAACTAGAGCTGTATAGCAGCTGATGATTAGATTATGAGTCAAAAGGCTCAAGTCTAGGGCCAGAACCCGCGGAACCAGATGTGATACCTCGGCCAAATTAACTTCCTGGGCCTCTCTTTCCGTAACTGTGAAACTGGCAAGTTCATGCCTATGGGTATTCTCAGGGTCAAATCAGATGAGTGACAGTATTCTACAAATGTCAGATATTTGAACGTGCGTGTGGAGCGTGTATATTCTGTGAAGCAACTACTACTTGCCTGGTACATAGTAGGCACTTTACAAACGTTTACCCTAAAGCTAGTGATTCTTCTGCAGTGTTTTAGATAAAGTGATAGATCCTTGCTTACTGTGTAAATAAGTTGTTTAAACTTTTCCCACAAAGTGACCCCCATTGTTTGAGTGTGTCCTATTTTTAAATGATTGATGAAATTTTCTAGAATAGCACAGTGGTGTTATCTATACACTGTTGCTGAATCATTTACCGCGAAGTCTGTAGCAATCAAATAATCTACTTCTTTGTCTTAGCTAAATAGTTGTAGTTTAAGATACCTGCTAAAGTAAGCTGGGAATATTGTTCCAAATCAAGACTTTAATTTGTTTTTGTGAATTGACGGGCTGCTTATAGGAAGATTTAAATCTTCCAAAATATTGTTAATATATAGCCATATTTTTTCATACAGCCTTTATTATAGACGTTTTTGTTCTTTACTATGGATATGTGTGCGAGGGATTTTAGCGGGGAGATGGGAAATAAAAAAGAAAATGGCAGTTTTGTAACCTGTAGGCTTTTGCTGGGGATACTTGTAGGCCTGTTCTGAGTTTGCCAGGCAGAAACCAGGAAATGTAGTAATTATGTGTCTTGGTCTTTCATTAGTTGGGGTGTGTGTGTGTGTGTGTGTGTGTGTGTGTGTGTTGAATGTGGCAGTACGTTTTTTAAATGCAGCAATAAAGGAAGAATATTTATTTTTCTTAATGACAATAAGCAGTTTTCTAAAGCTGGAAATTATATTACTTTTAAATGGTCTGTAGTGAGTCTTAAGTTATAGGCAAGAATTTTAGACCACTGGATACCAAGATCAAATTAAATGAAGTAGTAGAGGGAAAGTTACTAGTGAATGTAATTTTTGTGTGTGTTGCTTTAGAAGTTTTACTTAAACATGTTTCAGCAATTCAGTGGAGGATGGGTCTTTTGAAGCTACTTTAAAACATGAGTTTTAAACGTACTCCATGTATAAATTTTTCTGTGATTTACAATTTCTTGATCTTGGAGGTCTGAAACCTTACATTCACATTGTTTTTTGAGGGCCTACTACACAATAGGCACAAGATTATATTTATGTAAGAGCAGTATGTAATTCCTGTCATCTAGGAGATTCCATTCTACCAAGTGGGCTAAAATAAGTACTGAAAAAACAAAAGCTGTTTTTAAAGCGGATGGTAACAATAACAACATCAGCTATCATTCATTGGTACCTAGTCTGTGCCAGGCAGTATTCTAAATTCTTTACATGTATTAGCTTACTTAATCCTCACAACAGCACCATGAGGGATGTTATTATGATTATCTCATTAAGAGGCATAGAGAGGTTGAGTAACTTGCCCATGATTAGACAACCTAGATAGCAAAAGTAGGATTCAAATCAGTCATTCTCCAAGGACCTGATTGTAACCTTTGCGCTATACTGAGTTTCAAATTCTGTGAGTGAGATACAAATGACATCTAATAGGTATTTTAAAAAGAGGTCTATAAAAAACTATTTCAAAAAGAAGGAAAGAAAGAGGAAAAAATAAACTGGTATTGCAATACCAGTTTTATTGCAATTAAAACGATGTAATTATAGTTTATCTGTGGGAACCCTTTTTTTGTTATTGTTGCCAGTGAATGACATGGGGATGATTCTAAGCTCTCAGTCCCTCAGTAACAACAGTTATGGCATTATCTTAACAATATGAGGTGCTTATTTTTCATTAAAAAGCACCTCATAACTTCTTTCATTAAGAAGTTAAAAATATCTGTTCTCAGACTGTAAATTAAGTATTAGATTCAAGAAGAGAAAATGCTTCCCTGTCTTTAAGAAGCTTATAACCCAACATGTAAATAAGGCTCTACAATTTCAGCATGATAAGAGCTGTAAAGAAGTATAGATTTAGGTACGTTTGAAGAGTTGCAAGAAAAAGAAAGAAGTATAGATAGAATTTAACCACTGATGAGGAAAAATCATTCTGCGTGTGGTAGGGAGGACGATTAGAGAGAAGATATTAAATTTGGCTTTGAAGGATGAATAGGAGTTTGCTGAAATTGGGTCAGGAAACAGGAGATATGAATGAAAACCAGGGATAAGTGTGCAAGTATATGGTATGTTTGAGGAATGTGTTGTAGTCCATTGTACTGAAGGCCAGGGTGTGTAGAAATGGGTGGTTTGGCTAAAGGAGATGGTGCCTGGAAATAAGATGAAAAAATAAAATTGCAAAGCTTCCTTGCTGATTGCATTAGGATCACTAAAATTGCTAGGTAATGTGGTATTTCACTTCCCTTCATTTGGAACAATGAAATGAGTAATTAGTTCAGTTTGGCAGAATGTTTCACTAAAAAATATGGTGTTAAAGGTACTTTTAATACTTTGAAGTACAAGATATAAGATAACATTACAGACTTAGGTAAGTAAAAAGTTAAGATTTAGGGCCAGGCGTGGTGGCTCATGCCTGTAATCCCAGCACTCTGGGAGGCCAAGGCAGGTGGATCAAGAGGTCAGGAGATCGGGAGCATCCTGGTCAACATGGCGAAACCCCATCTCTACTAAAATACAAAAATTATACGGGTGTGGTGGCGTGTGCCTGTAATCCCAGCTACTTGGGAGGCTGAGGCAGGAGAATCATTTGAACCAGGGAGTCAGAGGTTGCGGTGAGCTGAGGTCGTGCACCTGCACTCCAGCCTGGCAACAGAGTGAGACTGTCTTTAAAAAAAAAAGTTATGATTCAGAAAAAGAGGGAAAAAAGTCTTCTGATGCTAGGTCTTGAAGAGCCAGAGTATCGTGCTAAGGACTTTGGACTTGATTCTAAAGACAATGGAGAGCCAGTGAAGGATTTTAGATATAGGTGTTTAGGAAAGATAAGCTGAAAATGGTTTGGAGGCTGAATTGGATGAAGAGAGACAAAAGGTAGGGAGATAAGTTAGGAGGCTGTTGCTATTGAAATAGTCCAGATAAGGGAGGATAGGGGCCTGGAGTAGGAAAATAGTAATAGGGATGGAGAGGAGAGGATAGATAGTGAAGGTGTAGAATTTGACAGGGCTTTAAAATCAATTGGCTCAAAAGAGGAACAGAAAAGTAAATGACTTAGTTTTTTAGCTTGGAAAACTGTTTGGATGAAGGGTCTTGTTTTATTTTTTAATATTGGAGGAAGATAATTGTTTCCATTTTGAATTCATGTTGAGTTTGAATTGTCTTTGGAGCATTCAAGTGGAGATGTCGAGAGAGGATCTAGAGTCCAGAAGCCAGGCTAAAATTGGTGATTCAGATTTCAGAGGTAGCCAGTAAGTGTTAATTGAAGCCGTAAGAGCAGATGAAATTGCTCAAGGGAGTATGTAGAATTAGAAGAGAAGAGGGCCAAGAATAAATGATTTGCTTTATGTAAGTAGAAGGAATTATTTATCTATGCTAATTTTGTCCAACAAATTATTATTATAAAGCAATGAAATGGATTTTAATTGAAAGTTGAACAACTTTTACATCCAAATGAGTCCTGTTCTTTTAAAATTTCATTTGGAAGTCACTCATTTATTCCAGAAGTACAGATGCTCCTCAATTTTCGATAGGGTTATGTCTGAATAAACCCATCATAAGTTGAAAATATTGTTAGTCAACATGTGATAAACTTACGAAGGGTTTATCCGAATGTAACCCCATCATAAGTTAAGGAGGGTACTGAGCACATACTGCTTTGGCACCATCATAAAGTTGAAAAATTGTTAATTTAAACCATCATTAAGTCAGGGACTGTCTGTATTGCCCAAAGTATTATTGGAGCTTCTCTTTGTAAAAAGCTTTATAGCAAATTCACAGCTACACAAGAACGTAGATCTTCTGGCTTTATTATGGAATTGTTTTTCTGTCTCTTTATTTGCATGGCACATATAACTTATTTACTTTTTTTTTTTTTTTTTCAAGAGACAGGGTCTTGCTCTGCTACCCTGGCTGGAATACAGTGATGCAATCATAGCTCACTGCAGCCTGGACCTCTTGGGCTCAAGGGATCCTCCTGCTTCAGTCTCCTGAGAAACTAGGACTACAGGCATGCACCACCACCCCCTGCTAATTTTTATTTTTTATTTTATTTTTCTTGAGACAGAGTCTCTCTCTGTTGCCCAGGCTGGAGTGCAGTAGTGTGATCTCAGCTCACTGCAACCTCTGCCTCCCAGGTCCAAGTGATTCTCCTGTCTCAGCCTCCCAAGTAGCTGGGACTACAGGCGCACACCACCATGCCTGGGTAATTTTTTGTATTTTTGGTAGAGATGGGGTTTCACCATATTGATCAGGCTGGTCTCGAACTCCTGACCTCAGGTGATCCACCCGCCTTGGCCTCCCAAAGTGCTGGGATTACAGGTGTGAGCCACCACACCCGGCCTGACCCCCTGCTAATTAAAAAACAATTTTTTTTGCCCAGGCACAGTGGCTCACACCTGTAATCCTAGCACTTTGGGAGGCCAAGGCGGTGGGTCACTTCAGTCAGGAGTTTGAGACCCACCTGGCCAACATGGTGAAACCCCATCTCTACTAAAAACACAGAAATTAGCTGGATGTGGTGGCGCGTGTCTGTAGTCCCAGCTCCTTGGGAGACTGAGGCAGGAGAATCACTTGAACCCAGGAGGTGGAGGTTGCAGTGAGCTGAGATTGTGCCATTGTACTCCAGCCTGAGAGACAAGAGCGAAACTCTCCATCTCAAAAAAATTTAAATAAATAAATAAATACATAAATTTTTTTCTTTTGTAGAGATGGGGTTTCACTGTGTTGCCCATTCTGATCTTAAACTTCTGGGCCTAAGCACTCCTTCTGCCTCAGCCTATCCAAGTGTTAGGATTACAGGCATGAGCCACTGTGCCCAGCTTCCGTTCACAATCAATCAAAGCTTCGAAAGCATATTCCTATCCCATCACTGGATCTTTAGTTCTTGGAAGTCATAGACAAAGCTTAAAAAACAACAAAAGACTGTGTCCCCATGCCTATAATCAGCACGTTGGGAGGCCAAGATGGGAAGATCACTTGAGCCCAGGAGTTCTAGACCAGCCTGAGCAACATAAGGAGACCTCGTCTCTACAAAAAATTTTAAAAAATTAGCTGGCATGGTGGCACATGCCTGTGGTCCCAGCCGCTTGGGAGGCTGAGGTGGGAGAATTGCTAGAACCCGGGAGGCAGAGATTGCAGTTAGCCAAGATCGTGCCATTGCACTCCAGCTTGGGTGACAAGACAAAAAAAAAAAAAAAAAAGAATAGCAGTATGGTCTTCTAAGGCAGGGGTTAGCAAATATTCTGTAAAGGGCTAGATAGCAAATATTAATATTTTGTACTTTGTGTGCCATACGGTCTCTGTCATAACTACCCAATTCTGCCAAAAAGCAGCCATAGACAACGCTTCAATGAATAAGCATGGACTGTGTTCCAATAAAACTTTATTTATGGACACTGAAATTTGAATTTCATATAATTTTCACATCACAAAATGTTATACTTATTTGATCTTTCCACCCAACCATTAAAAAATGTAAAAACCACTCTTAACTCAGAGGCCTTGCAAAAACAGGCAGTGGGCCAAATTTGGCCCACAGGTAGGCCATAGTCTGCCAACCTTAACGGATCTTTGAAATATTTGAATTCGTAAGCTTGGTTTAGAAAAAAAAAATCATGGTTCTTCGAAATCATACCTCCTGTTTTTAAATTCTAGTACATTTCTTAAAATAATTAAAACATTTTCATTCATCCCCCATTTCTCATTTAAATGGAAAATACTCCCTTTACTGGTTTGGAACTTTAGATACAGAGAAATAGATTAACTTGTACAGAGTCAGAATAAAAAAGTATGTTTGAAAAATGTTTTTTGATATTCAGTGTTCTTTACTGAATCAATAAAACATTGATCTTTTCGCTTCAGTGAAAGTGGGGACATTGAAACCTGGGTGAAATAAAAGATAAATTTGAAGGGGTATTCTGCACTGGTTCCCAGAGGGTTGGACAGGATGGAATTTTATTCTCTTTTTCTTCTGCCCTGAATGAATAAGTTTTATCCTAAAGAAAAGAAAACATGATAATGTCTTCACTTTATAAGCAGTATAGCAAATTATAAGACTGAAGGATTAAGTAGATGATGATAAGAGAAAAAAATTTAAAGGACTGACTTTTTCACATCTATCTATTCCAGGTATTTACCCATTTTTTTCCTTCCTCCCTTTCCTTTTCCCTCTTCCTTCTTCCTTTTCCTTTTCTTTTCTTGGTCTTTCTCTGTCACCCAGGCTGGAGTGCAGTGGCACAATCATAGTTCACTGCAGCCTCCAACCCCTGGGCTCACACGATCCCTCCACCTCAGCCTCCCAGTTAGCTCGCATTACAGGTGCACGCCACCAAGACTGGCTAATTTTTTAAAAAACTTTTTGTAGAGATGGGGTCTCAATACGTTGTCTAGGTTGGGCTTGAACTCCCGACCTCGGGATCCTCCCATCTCAGCCTCCCAAAGCGCTGGGGGTACGAAGCCATTATGCCTGGCCCCTATTTTTGAGGAATAAATTCAAGATTTTTTTTTTTTTCTTATGAATCTTAGACTTCTGGTTAGTGGCGTGAAAACAGAGTTTTTAGCATTTAGTTCTGGCAATATTAATCCATTTATATTATTTGAAGGTTGTGCTGTACTTTTTAAAGTTAAATGTCTAACTTTCGTAGTTTTCATAGCAGTGATAAATATTTACAACAAAGGATATGGAGAGAAATTATTATTTTTTTTCCTTCAAGTTTGAATTCATAGAAATGACATATTTGCGGATTTTTTGTTTGGATGTTAAAATTCAGGGACAGATTGGTGGGGGAGAGAGAGAGTTATTTTTGCTGCTACTTAAAAGGGATTTGCATTTTTCTCTGTCTTTTTTTCTGTTGGAGTAAAAAACAAAATCTCCCAGCTGTGTGGGATGTGTTTGAATTGGTTACTTAGCAGTGTAAAGCATAATTTTGTATTTAAATATTTATCTGTACTCTTTGATATTCTGATTAAATAAGGATCTATTAAGGCTATAATAATAGAGCCTTCTGTGAGGAAATGACATAGGCTGCTCCACAACAGTATTTACTGAAAATTTCCTTTTCCCTGGGCCCTATTTAAACTATAAGGGGTAATTGGAACAAAAGGGGAAAATTATGTGAATTAGAGTGATGGTCAATTTAATCATGAGTGTAATGTGATAGCTATCAATGTATAGTTTTATTGACATAAATCAGGGTTGAGCAAAGAGTGGGAGAATTTTGTCTGCTGTTGTTAAAAATGGTGAGTCGTTGAACCAAATTTTATTTTTGAACTTTGCATTCGTCAAGTGTGATATTTTCAAGAGTCTGGTGATAATTGTATTTTTAAATCAAATTGGATCAATTTGCCTTTCAAATTTGTTGTTTCATTATTAGAAGAAAAAAACGAAGTAAAAAATACAGAGGTATGTGCAATGACTGGATCTGGAAGAACAAAAATATTGAGGGAAATGGTCACCTGAGAAAAACTATTAAGACTTTCAATGAAGATTATTTAAAATATGGCTTTGTCAAATGGGCAAAATCTGAGTAAAATGACAGACCCATGTCTTCATATAATGTTGCAAATGAAAATTAAAAACCTTTAAAGTTAAAAAGATTCTTGGAAACATAGCATACTGGACTTTTAAATAAGCCCTTTCAAATATTTTCAAAGAAAGAAAAAGAGATAAAGTTATCTCAGTTTCCTATTTATTCAAGAATCATTCCTGAGAAAGATTATTGTCTCATTTAGTTGTGTATCAGTGGCATAAGGGAAAAATGGCTACATATCTCTTGAAAAAAGTATTCATCTATAATTCATGGAAGTTGTGCTCATGATTTTTGATGCTAAATCAGCTGGAAATTAAAAATTATACTTCTTAGTGATGACATAGCTCTATTCTTTACCATTATTGGACATTTCAGCAGTGCTTGCAAGATGGGTAGAGTCTGGTGCAGATTTTGCAATCCAAATCGATGGGGTCGCTGATATTGTAAGTTGTACTGTGCTTTTAGGTAGTGAAGATAATAAGGAGGATTTTCTTTTCTTTTTTTTTTTTTTTTTTTTGAGACGGAGTCTCGCTCTGTCGCCCAGGTGCACAGTGGCACAATACCGGCTCACTGCAACCTCCGCCTCCCGGGTTCAAGCGATTCTCCTGCCTCAACCTCCTGAGTAACTGGGATTACAGGTGCGAGCCACCATGCCCGGCTGATTTTTGTATTTTTAGTAGAGACAGGGTTTCACCATGTTGGTCAGGCTGGTCTCAAACTCCTGACCTTGTGATCTGCCTGCCTCGGCCTCCCAAAGTGCAGGGATTACAGGCATGAGACACCACGCCCGGCAGGATTTTCTTGTTGTTTAAATTTAACCACAGCTGTATGGGTATATTTACAGAATTTTAAAAAATAAATTGTTGATCCTCAGAAATTAAACTGGGAAAAAACTATTAAATAATTATGAGCAATTGAATAGCAAATGTGGTTAGAAAATATAAAGCAGTTATTTTAAGCATTGTTTGAAGCTGCTACTAACAGTGTTCCCTCCCCCTGTCCAGCCTCCCGTGCAAGTCTCACAGTGTGTTTTAATGAGTATCTCCTCAAAGCACCTTCCAACACTCAAGGGGAGGGAGGGAATTAGAGACAGGCAAACTTACAGCCAGTAGTCAAAACAATACAGCTGAAAGTATAGACATCCTCCTGCTTTCTTCTGAATGTCCAGGGCAGCAGGAAAGCTTGGAGCTTTCCCTCCAGCAAAAACAATAGGCTGGGTGTGGGTGAACATACTGTCCAGCAAGTCACTGCTGGGCTCCGTTTCTGTCCTGTTTGTTCTAAGGGCTAAGAATGGTGTTTGAAACTGCTGTTTTATATATTGCAAAGCTTTGGTATGCACAGAAAACTTTCTGAATCTCATGAATATATTGAAAGTTGTTAATTATATTAAAGGAAGCTTGCTGAGTAACCAACATTTTAAAATATTCAGAGTTAACTGTACCTATTTACTATATCACATTGGAGTTTGATAGTTGAGATAAGGAGCTAAGCAGATTTTATGAATCCAGAATTTTTCTAGCTGAGAGGCAATCTCAGTCAGGCATGGTGGCTCATGCCTTTAATCCCAGCACTTGGAAGGCTGAGGCTGGAGTATCACTTGAGCCCATGAGTTTGAGACCAGCCTAGGCAACATGGCGAAACCCAGTCTTTACTAAAAATAAAAAAATTAGCCAGGCGTGGTGATGTGTTCCTGTGGTCTTAGCTATCCGGGAGATTGAGGTAGAAGGATCGCGTAAGCCCAAAGAGTGAGGCTACAGTGAGTTGCAATTATGCCAGTGCACTGCATCCTGGGCAAGAGGATAAGACCTTGGGAAGGAAGGAAGGGAGGGAGGGAGGGAGGGAAGGAAGGAAGGAAGACGGAGGGAGGGAAGGAAGAAAGGAAAGGAAAAAGGAAAGGAAAGGAAAGGAATCTCTTGGGCAGATATTTTTCAATATTTTAGAATAACAAAATTTGCAAAGTTGCTGCTTTTGGCAGTCTAGTGAACTACCTTTGAAGCTATATGCTGAAGGGTTCCAAAAGACATTGTTATGACAAATGACACTTGGTACTATTGTCTATATCTGGCTACTGTATCTTTCAAGCATCACTACTGCACTTTTTTTGTTTTGTTTTGTTTTGTTTGAGACAGAGTCTAGCTCTGTAGCTCAGGCTGGAGTGCAGTGGTGGGATCTCCGCTCACTGCAACCTCTGCCTCCTGGGTTCAAGTGATTCTCCTGCCTCAGCTTCCAAAGTAGCTGGGACTACAGGTGCCGGCCACCATGCCTGGCTAATTTTTTGTATTTTTAGTAGAGACAGGGTTTCGCCGTGTTGACCAGGCTGGTCTCGAACTCCTGACCGCAAGTGATCCACCCGCCTCTACCTCCCAAAGTGCTGGGGTTATAGGCGTGAGTCACCGCGCCTGGCCACTACTGCATCTTGAACATGGCATTATCAGTGAAGAAAGTTTGAACAAAATAAAATATAGAGAGATTGTTAGTTCTTATTACTATTACCAGACTTTCAGTTGTTATTTTCCTGAAGAGAAACCTGAAACATTAAAGAAAAATATTTGGCCAAGAGATTCATTTGTGCCCTATCACATCAATACACTTGATCTTAGCCAGAAGACTGAGAAGCGATGCATCACATCAATAACTGAGTTTAATGTGCACTCCAAAAAGAGAATGAATTCTTGCAGCTTAGTTCTTCTTTTAGTTTGAAGAATGATTAAGTGACATTGCTTATCATCATTTAAAAAATTTTAAAAACAGAGACAGGGTCTCACTATGTTGCTCAGGCTGGTCTTGAACTTCTGGGCTCAAGCAATCCTCCTCTGCCTAAGTTATCATTTTGTATTAAGACTAAAGAACTGTTGCAAAGTAGTACTGCCATTCTTTTGACCCTCTTGTGAGTCGTAGCACCTTTCTTCCATCAGACTTTCTCCTCCCTCTTCCATGTATTTATTATATCTTTCATTATTTTTTGCTGCAGTTTTAAAAAATATCGATTTTCCCCAACTTTAAAATGTTTCATTTGAAGTTGCATCTTCTTTTTGTTTTTATTATCCCTCTTACTGAGTTTCAAATAAATGTTGTCTTCATACTTTGTCCATTTCCTCACTAATTTTCTTTTTAATTTTTGCTGTTATCTGCCTTCACCATCCTTTAGAAACCATTTATTTAATGCCCTCTTACCAAATGCAAGGATCGTTTCTCAGTTTTTATTCTCCTTACTTGTATGACACTGGTTTGCATCTTTCTTTTCTTTTTAGAATTTTTTCCTCTCATGATGTTATCCTGGTTTTGTTACCTCTCACCAGTCTTTCTCCCACTCTTTATCTGATGCTTTTTCTTCTTATCTATGGTCCCTAATCATGATGAATATTCTCAAAGGTTTTTTTCATAACTCTGAAAACTCTCTGCTTAGGGAACCTGTGTATTCTTGCACCTTTTCTCCTCACACTTCCTATTTTAAACCTTCTTCCTTCTCCTTAAACCTTTGGCTTTTCTGTCTCTCACTTTACTCTCAGCAGATAACTGTGGCTGTTAAAATAGAAAATAGAAGCCATCAGATGGAAAGTTCATCAGTGTATAGCCCCTAAACCTGGAAATTTACCTGCACTCTTATCTTTCTTTTATCATTTACCTTCAGTTCCAGTGGAAGACCTGTCCCTCTTCCTGGCAGATGCTGATAATCTTTCCGGTCCCATTGGAGGCCCATGCTCTCTCTCCTTCTTTAGGTCTTTGCTTTATACCCTTGTTTCTTTTCTTCTCTCCTCTTTAGCGACTCCTTCCCACTGGTGTTTGAACAAGATTAAACTTGTATAAGAAACAAGTTTAGAAAGATTTCCTGGACTTCACGTTCCTGTCCAGCTCCACTCTATTGTCTATTCGTCTATTTGGATAAACTCCTTGAATGGATTGTCTACAGTTGATATTTGCATTCTTTTTTCTCATCCAATTCTCAATTCACTTATTTTCCTTCAGCCTCCATGCCACTGAACCTGCTCTTGTCCAAGTCCTAATGACCAACAGACACTGCAGTTTTTATCTTACTTGACCTTTTGACAATGTATCTGTCAATTGTTGACCACTCTTTCCTTCTTGATAGAGTCTCTTCCTTTGGCTTCCATGATTCCACACATTGATAGTACTTCTACCATCTTTTGTCTACTTTCGTGACTTAAACTGCCATCTGTGATACATGAGGACTTACCTAAAATGTCTGAGAACTGACTTACGCTTGATTACCAATGTTTTGGAGTTTATAAAGCTCAATTCTAACAGAACATGATGATGTATAAAAATAATCTTAAAAAATAAAATATGATGGTACAGTAATAAAGTAAAAATAAATATGGTACGATAAGAAACAAACAAACAAACAAAAGAAAAAAATGAGTTTGAAAAGTTGACATGGAAACCACAGTGAGATGCTACTACATACCAGAATGGCTAAAATTAAAAAGACTAACAATTCCAGTATGACTGAGGAGTGACTGCAACCTCATATATTGCTGGTGAGAGTGTAAATTAGTACAGCCTCTTTGGAAAACTCTGGCAGTGTCCACTTAAGTTAAACATATGCCTACTTGGCCAGGTGCGGTGGCTCAGGCCTGTAATCCCAGCACTTTGGGAGGCCAAGGTGGGCAGATCACCTGAGGTCAGGAGTTCGAGACCAGCCTGGCCAACATGGGGAAACCCCATCCCTACTAAAATACAAAAGTTAGCCAGGTGTGGTGGCATGCACCTGTAGTCCCAGCTACTCAGGAGGCTGAGGCAGGAGAATTGCTTGAACCCAGGAGGTGGAGGTTGCAGTGAGCCAAGACTGCACCACTGCGTTCCAGCCCCAGAACATATGCCTATTCTATAACCCAGCAATTCTACTCCTAGATAATACCCAAAAGAAGTGTGATTGTGTCTATCAAAGATACATATAAGAATGTTTAGGCCGGGTGCGGCGGCTCATGCCTGTAATCCCAGCACTTTGGGAGGCCGAGGCAGGCAGATCACAAGGTCAGGAGATCGAGACCATCCTGGCCAACACGGTGAAACTACGTCTCTACTAAAAATACAAAAAATGAGCTGGGCGTGGTGGTGCATGCCTGTAGTCCCAGCTACTTGAGAGGCTGAGGCAGGAGAATCGCTTGATCCCAGGAGGCAGAGGTTACAGTGAGCCGAGATCGCACCACTGCACTCCAGCCTGGCAACTGAGCAAGACTCTGTCTCAAAAAAAAAAAAAAGAAAGAAAGAAAAAGAATGTTTATAACAGGCTGAACATAGTGGCTCTCTTCTGTAATCCCAGCACTTTGGGAGCCTGAAGCAGGAGGATCGCTTGAGGCCAGGAGTTTAAGACCAGCTTGGACAACATAGTAAGACCCCATTTCTACAAAAAAAGTTTTTAAACAATTAGCCAGGCATGGTGGCACACACCTGTGGTCCCAGATACTTGGGAAGCTGAGGTGGGAGGATCACTTTAAGCCCAGGTGGTTGAGTTGGCAGTGAGCCGTGATTGTACCATTGCACTCCAGCCTGGATGACAGAGCAAGACCCCCATCTCCGAAAAAAAAGAAAAAAATTGTTTAGAACAGCTTTCTTCGTAATAACCAAAACCTGGAAACAGTCCACATATCAGTCAACAGGAGAATGGATAAATAAATACTGGCATTACCATTAAATGAAATAGTATACAGAAACGAAGAAAAACCGACTGCTATATGCAACAATATGACTGACATACATATTATATATATATATATATTTATACATATATATATAAAAGTTCTTTGAGCTGTACATGTAAGATTAGTGGACTTTATGTGCTTTATGTATGTTACATTTTAAAACATTTACAGGCTTTGGGCTGGGCACAGTGGCTCATGCCTATAATCCCAGCACTTTGGGAGGCCGAGGTGGGTGGATCACCTGAGGTCAGGAGTTCAAGACCAGCCTAGCCAACATGGCAAAACCCCGTCTTTCCTGAAAATACAAAGATTAGCTGGGCATGGTGGTGGGCGCCTGTAATCCCAGCTACTCGGGAGGCTGAGGCAGAAGAATCACTTGAACCCGGGAGATGGAAGTTGCAGTGAGCCGAGATCACACCACTGCACTCCAGCCTGGGCAACAGAGCGAGACTCCATCTCAAACAACAACAAAAAAATTTTTTATAGGTTTTTGAAAACACTTGGTGCATCATAGGTGCTTCATAAATAATTTGTTGCTGATGTTCCATTTGCCAGGAATGCGCTCTTAGTTTTGTTCATTTTGTAGATGACTTCTCATCTATCAATAATCTCATTTAGTAATAAACTGCCTTTAATCATATATAAATGTCCTGTGAGTGTGCTTATATTTTATTTTGATGCATATAATTTTCTAATGGGACACAGAGTGTGTAGTGAAAGGTATATAGACAGCTTTCAAATTATGCTCTGCCATTTAACCATTTGATTCTGTACCTCTGTTTTCTGTGTGCAAATGAGGATAATAATACCTGCTTGTGGCAGAGATTTTTTGCCTAATCTAATATCCATTCTTCTAAGTAATAGAACTCAGTAGTTTACCTGAGGCACATTGCAGGATAAAATGATTAAAGATTATATTTCCCAGCCTGGCTTGCAGTTTGTACATGTGACTTAAGTCCTGGTCAATAAGCCATAGCAAAAGTGTTATATGGGACTTCCAGGAAGGCTGCTTAAATAGAGCGTTTTTCCTTTTTGCTTCCTGGAATGTGGATGTAATAGCTGGAGCTCCGTGTGTGAACTATGAAGTGATCTTGAAGACAGAATCCATATGTTGAGGGTGGCATAGCAGAAATATAGGCACCTGGGGACCTGATGACATCTTAGACTGCCTACTTTGTCTTTTTTTTTTTTTTTTTTAGGTGGCAGAGAAACAAACATCGGTATTGCTTAAACCACTTGCTATTTCCAGTTCCGGCTGTATGTACCAAAACTTAATCTTATATAGTACCCCAAAGAGGTGCTATGAAAATTAATTGTGATAGTGTGATTGAAGTGATTGGCACATAGTATTTAACAAAATATTTAATGAAGTGTAATCACTGTTCTTGCTGTTTTAATTCTCACAATACTCTGTATGAAGTGGGTGTTCAATAAGTATTTGATGAATCTTTAAAAAGTAAGTTATCTCCTTTTGAAACAAATGCTATAAAAGTGATTTATGCTTATTTTTATTTATTTATTTTTTTGAGACGGCTGTCTCCCAGGCTGTCGCCCAGGCTGGAGTGCAGTGGCGTGATCTTGGCTCACTGCAAGCTCTGCCTCCCGGGTTCATGCCATTCCCCTGCCTCAGCCTCCTGAGTAGCTGGGACTACAGGTGCCCACCACCACGCCCGGCTAATTATTTGTATTTTTAGTAGAGACAGGGTTTCACCATGTTAGCCAGGATGGTCTTGATCTCCTGACTTCGTGATCCACCCACCTCAGCCTCCCAAAGGGCTGAGATTACAGGCATGAGCCACCGTGTCTGGCCTGTTTATTTTTTATAATTAGAAAATACAGATAAACCAAAAGAAAATTCAACCATAGTTACATCACCCAGAGATAATCATTGTTAGCTTTTTGGTGCGTATCCATATTAACTATAAATTCTATTTATTCTTACAGATTAAAGTTAATTTATATTACACAACCTTTTATAACATTCATTTACTTAATAGATCTTGATCATGTTACAACTTCATCGTATTTCAGAGTATGGCTTTACCATGGTACATTTAATCATCACCTATTGGAAATTTATTCTCAGTTATATAATATTCTAAATCTCCTCTTGTACATATATCTTTGTCAATTTGTCTACTTAATTCATTAGGATAAATTATTGGAAGTGATATCTCTGCATCATCATATGTGTTCATTTTTAAAAAACATTTACTAGGGTTTTACTTAATATAGAAAAATACAACAAATACCACTTAAAAGGTCCATTATTCCACCATTCAGATCCTGTTATAACATTTAAAAACAACAAAAAACACAAAACGTTTAATCATTATAAAAAGTTATAAAATAAAAAGTAAATAACTTGTTTCCCTACCCCAAGTTCTCTCACTGGTACCATTGTTGACAATTTCTTGCATAACCACCGTAATTTAATAAATGGGGACCAAAAAATTCAATCTTATAAAAATCTTGAGTCTTGTTATAAGGATAATGAAAAAACATTTTAAAAATATGGTTTGATATTAATAGTATAAAAAGTACTAATAGGAGGCTGGGCGCAGTGGCTCACACCTGTAATCCCAGCACTTGGGGAGGCTGAGGCAGGCGGATTGCTTGAGTTAAGGAGTTCAAGACCAGCCTGGGTAACATGATGAAACCCGATCTCTACTAAAAACATACCAGAATTAGCCGTGTGGTGGTGCACACCTGTAATCCCAGTAACTCGGGTGGCTGAGGCAAGAGAATCGATTGAACCCAGGAGGCAGAGGCTGCAGTGAGCCAAGATTGCACCACTGCACTCCAGCCTGGTCGACAAAGTGAGACTCTGTCTCAAAAAAAAAAGTACCAATGTGAAGTTAAAAAAAACTTTATTGGTACAACTGATCATATACAGTCAGCTTTCTGTATCCATGGATTTTGCACCTGTGGATACAACCAATCACGGATCGAAAAGATTCAGAAAAAACTGGATGGTTGCATCTGTACTGAACACGTATGGACTTTTTTTTGCTTGTCACTGTTCCCTAAGCAATACAGTATAATAGTAATTTACATAGCATTTACGTTGCATTAGGTATTATAAGTAATCTCGAGATTATTTAAAGCATGTGGGAGATAGAGCCAGGCATGGGGCCTGTAGTCCCAGCTACTTGGGAGGCTGAGGTGGGACAATCACTTGAGCCCGGGAGTTCAAGGCTGTAGTGCACCATGATTGTGTCTGTGAATAGCCACTACACTTCAGGTTGGGCAATGAGGAGACTCTGCCTCTTTAAAAAAAAAAAAAAAAAAAAAAAAAAGTAAATGTAAGGCTATAAGTTGTAAGTAGGTTTTATGATGCAAATTCGACACCATTTTATATAAGAGACTTCAGCCTTTATGGGTTTTGGTATCCGAAGGAGGTCCTGGAACCAATCCCCACACATACCAAGGGATTACTATACTGAATTGAAAAAGTTCAAATGGTCAGAAAATGATTGCTTCCTAACTACCCATCTCCTACAATTTGAGGAAGAGAACTATAGCCTGCCCACCCCCCATTTGAGAAAAGGGGGCTGGACAGAGAATAAGAGTCAATTGTGTAACTTTCAAATTCACATTATTGCAGTGCATGTGTGAGGGGAGGGCTTGTATATAGATGTATGTATAGCAGGTATATAGATATATGTATATCCTTTTTAAAAAGTGTATTGAAAATTGTTTTTCCACTTGCTTTTCCCCACTTTTATTTTGGACATCTTTGCATATCTGCATACAGATCTCTACCTCATCCTTTTTAATAGTTGCATAGCATTCAGTCAGGGTGCTGTGTTTGATTGGGTAGTTTGTGCATTACACACAGGCATCCAGCCAAGGAGCTGAAATCAAGCCCAAGGTCCACTTGCCAATACTCTGTGCCAGTCGGCTCCCTCCTAGGATGCTTTCCTCACCTTGTCCTGACTCTTACAACCCCGCACCAGGCCATCTATCAGCCTGGATACCCTCCTCATTCTGCTGAAGCTCTAACATCCCATGCTGGGCTACCCCTCTGTGGGACTGCACTCCTTACCTTGTTTAGGCTCTGATACTTCCACAGTAGGCAGCCCTCCTACACAGATGCTCTCCTTACCTTGCTCCTTAGCATGAGGCAAGTGTGCCTGCCTTACTTACTCTGCTTTGCCTAATTAGGGCCAAATTGTTCAGGAAGAAGAGTTGGAAATAACTTTTCCTTTTTCTTTCTTTTTTGAGTCAAAATCTCACTCTGTCACCCAGGCTAGAGTGCAGTGGCGTGATCTCAGCTCTGCAGGATCCGCCTCCCAACTTCAAGTCATTCTCCTGCCTCAGCCTCCCAAGTAGCTGGGATTATAGGCACATGCCACCATGCCCAGCTAATTTTTGTATTTTTAGTAGAGATGGGGTTTCACCATGTTGGCCAGGCTGGTCTCGAACTCCTGACCTCAGGTGATCTGCCCACCTCAGCCTCCCAAAGTGCTGGGATTACAGGCACTTTTTACTTTTATTTTTTATTTTTAGGGACAGTCTTGCTCCATTGCCCAGGCTGGAGTGCAGTGGTGCAATCATGGCTCACTGTAGCCTCCAGCTCCTGGGCTCAAGTGATCCACCTGCCTTAGCCTCCTGAGTATCTGGGACTACAGGCACATGTTTCATACTTGGCGTGTGTGTGTGTGTGTGTGTGTGTGTGTGTATGTGTAGGGAAGGTCTCACTGTGTTGCCCAGGCTGGTCTCAAACTCTTAGCCTCAAGTGATCCTCCTGCCTTGGCCTCCCAAAGTGCTGGGTTTACAGGTGTAAGCCACCATGCCTAGCCCTTACTATGTTTTGTTGTTGGTTTTGTTTTGTTTTGTTTTGAGATGGAGTCTCGAGTCTCACTGTGTCGCCCAGGCTGGAGTGCAGCAGCACGATCTCGGCTCACTGCAACCTCCACCTCCTGAGTTCAAGTGATTCTCCTGCCTCAGCCTCCCAAGTAGCTGGGACTACAGGCGCTTGCCACCACACCCAGCTAATGCCCTTACTGTGTTTTAAATGGCACTGTGAAGGATACGAGATGTATTTAATGTCCATGTTACTGCAGTTTTACTTTTGTTGCTCTTTTATTGTCAAATGAGATAAAATATGCAAAGGATATATAATTTTGTAATGTCATTTGAAAATTTGAGAAATACATCTTCTGGATTTTAAGCTTTAGAATGAAATAGAAAGTTACATTGTACAATTGTTATGAATGTGTGTTTCTTAAGAAAGCCTGTTATGTCTGTAGTCTGAAATTCTTTTTTTTTTTTTTTTTTTTTTGAGACGGAGTCTCGCTCTGTCGCCCAGGCTGGAGTGCAGTGGCGCAATCTCAGCTCACTGCAAGCTCCACCTCCTGGGTTTGCGCCATTCTCCTGCCTCAGCCTCCTGAGTAGCTGGGACTACAGGCGCCCGCCACTATGCCTGGCTAAATTTTTTTTTTTTTTTGTATTTTTAGTAGAGACAGCATTTCACTGCATTAGCCAGGATGGTCTCGATCTCCTGACCTCGTGATCCATCCGCCTCGGCCTCCCAAAGTGCTGGGATTACAGGCGTGAGCCACCGCACCCAGCCATAGTCTGAAATTCTTGAAAATTGCTGAAATTCTTGAAAATTGCATCTTTTTTTTTTTTAAGACAGAATTTCGCTCTTATTGCCCAGGTTGGCGTGCAATGGCATGATCTCAGCCCACTGCAACCTCCGCCTCCTGGGTTCAAGCGATTCTCCTGCCTCAGCCTCCTGAGTAACTGGGATTACAGGCGTGCAACACCACGCCTGGCTAATTTTTTATATTTTTAGTAGAAACAGGGTTTCACCACGTTAGCCAGGCTGGTCTTGAACTCCTCACCTCAGGTGATCCACCCACCTCGGCCTCCCAAAGTGCTGGGATTACAGGCATGAGCCACCGAGTCTGGCCAAAATTGCATCATTTTATATAACTCTGAATGAAAAAAAGCAGGATACAATTATGTATACACTGTAATTGCATCTGTATAAAAATGTGCTTAAAAAACAGAAGATACACCAAAATGTCCCAGTGACCATGTTGGAGGTAGTAGACTTACGGGTATTTTTCTCCTGTTTCCTCTATTTTCAAAATTTCTGAAAAGTAGTAGTATTACTTTGTGACTTTTAAAACTTTTTTTTATTGCTTCTTTTTAGCTTTTGGAAAATTTCTTCAACCTTTGAATACTTTAGTAATGATTTTGCTGCCTTTATTTTTCAGTGTCTTGCTAAGAATTTACCAAGTCTGAATTTGTGGTTTAAAAACTAGGTTTTATTGTCCAGGCGTATTGGCTCAAAATTTATAATACCAACACTTTGGAAAGCTGAGGCAGGAGGATTGAGCCCAAGAGTTCAAGACCAGCCCTGGCAACACAGCGAGACCCTGTCTCTATTTAAAAAAAAATTAAAAATTAGCCAGATGTGGTGGGATGCTCTGTATTCCCAGCTACTTGGGAGGCAGAGGCAGGAGAATTGCTTGAGCCCAGGGAGTCAAGGCTGCAGTAAACTATGATCACACCGTGCCTCTGGGCAACAGAGTGAGACCGATCTCAAAAACAAAACAAAACAAAAACACTAGGAAAACACTAGGTTACATTAAAGTTGTTTTGAAGCAATTTGTGTAGCTGAAAAGTTCTAGTTTGGGACAGTTATTTTTTACTTTGAAGGGGATTTTTAAAAGGATAATTAAGTGAAAAGTGCCGGGTGCAATGGCTCACACCTGTAATCCCAGCATTTTGGGAGGCCAAGGCGGGCTGATTACTTGAGGTCAGGAGTTTGAGATCAGCCTGGTCAACATGCTGAAACCCTGTCTCTACTAAAAATACAAAAATTAGTCAGGCATGGTGGCAGGCGCCTGTAATCCCAGCTACTCGGGAGGCTGAGGCAGGAGAATCATTTGAACCTGGGAGGTGGATGTTGCAGTGAGCCAAGATCACGTCACTGCACTCTAGCCTGGGCGACAAGAGTGAGACTCTGTCTCAAAAAAAAAAAAGGATAATTATGTGAAAAGAGACATTTTATTTAATTATATGGACAGTTAATAACATTGCATTAATATAATTAAATTCTAAAAGCTTAATGTTATTAAAGTTAGTTTTACGTGCCATTTTCCACACTGTGGCATTTTGTAGAACTTCTGCTGAAATTTCTCATTTGACTGTTGTGCCTGAGTGGTCTTTAAAATTTAGCTACATGTCAGCTCTTTTTATCCACCAGGTGGGAGTCAGATACCAGTCCCTGTGTCTCTGTACTTCCCTAAGTCTGGGGATATGCCTCAAGCACTTTGAGTGGTTGTCTTGAGGTTTCAGTCCCTGTCTTGAGGTAGGCAAGAGGTATATCCCTCTTTCCCTGTAGGAGGCAGGGAAACACACCACCTAGTTTCCTTAAAGAAGTCCTCTCTGTTGTCCCTTGTAATCCTCACAATTTAATAAATTGTAATTCTTCTCTTATACAGCCTTAAGGGTAGTGAACTAATGTCAGCAGAGCCAATTTTTGGCAACCTCACTTTCTAAGCCTTGCACTTTTCTTAGAATATGGGGGTATTCGACTCCTATTGTTTTGGTTTTGGCCTTTGAGGCCCTGCTGAAACTCGGAGAACACAGGAAAAGTTGCATTTGACATCCTGTTGCATTAGTTTATATTATTGTTATGTCTACCAACTAACAAGTAGTATAATATACAGTGGTTTAGTGCACAAACTTTGGAGTAAAGTAGAACTAGGTTTGTGTTAGTTTGGGTAATTAACCAGTTCAGCTTCAGCTTCCCCATTCACAAAATAATAAAACTTTCTACTATTGCAGGTAATAGTAACTATCTGTTAGGGTTGTTGTAAGAATTAAATGAAGGCCAGGCGCGGTGACTCACGCCTGTAATCCCAGCACTTTGGGAGGCCAAGGCGGGTGGATCACCTGAGGTCAGGAGTTTGAGACCAGCCTGGCCAACATGGTGAAACCATGCCTCTACTAAAAATACAAAAATTAGCTGCGCATGGTGGAGGGCACCTGTAATCTCAGCTACTCGGGAGGCTGAGGCAGGAGAATTGCTGGAACCTGGGAAGCAGAGTTTGCAGTGAGCCAAGATGGCGCCATTGCATTCTAGCCCTGGTGACAACAGTGAGACTGTCTCAAAAAAAAAAAGAGTTAAAAGTAGTAATGAAAGTAGATACATAGCATGGTGCCTGGCAAATGTAAACACTTAATAAGTAATAATTATTTAAAATATATGCTATACAGGTCAGGCGTAGTGGCTCACATCTGTAATCTCAGCACTTTGGGAGGCTGAGGCAGGCGAATCACTTGAGGTTAGGGGTCACAGACCAGCCTGGCCAACATGGCAAAACCCCGTCTCTACTAAAAATACAAAAATTAGCCAGACTTGGCAGTGCATTCCTTTCACAAACATTACCTAATGGTATAAAGAAGTGATTTAGAAGCCAACTAAATGGCTTGAGAAACCAGGAGAATATTAGAGACTATTGTCACCAGGTTGTACAATAGTGGATTATTGAACCCGAGAGGCAGAGGTTGCAGGGAGTCGAGATCACGCACCCAGCCTCGGTGACAGAGCAAGACTCTGTCTAAAAAAAAAAAAAATCACATTGTACTCCATAAACATACACAATTGGAATTGATCAGTTAAAAATAAAAATTAAAAAAGAAATAATTCTTCCTTCTTCTGAGTAAACAAAGGAAAGGGTTGTTTACATTATATATTCATACAACTTTTGGCCACCTGGTTATTTTAGCAGACCCCTGAATATTCTCTCTCTCTCTCTCTCTCTTTTTTTTTTTAAGATAGAATCTCACTCTTTTGCCCAGGCTGGAGTTCAGTGGTGCAATCTTGGCCCACTGCAACCTGTGTGCCTCCAGGGTTGAAGCAGTTCTCCTGCGTCAGCCCCCTGAGTAGCTGGGATTACAGGCATGCACCACCACGTCCAGCTTATTTTTGTATTTTTAGTAGAGACAGGGTTTCGCCATGTTGGCCAGGCTGGTCTCAAACTCCCGACCTCAGGTGATCCTCCCACCTCAGCCTCCCAAAGTGCTGGGATTACAGGCATGAGCTACCGTGCCTGCCCTAAATATTCTCTGTTTACCTAGGTGAAATGGTGAACATTAAAGCTAATGCATGTGTAAGTCAGAATACCTTATTATGGACTCATGATCTACCAGAGGTACACAAGATGGTACATTAGGATGTGAAAAAAGCATTAGAAATGCTACTTGTATTCATTTTCATCTAAAAATAAATTAAGCTTTTCTAAATATTTAATATACAGTTTGACACTGGTGCTTTCTCTGGATCAGACTTTATATAAGGAATGATCCCCAAGGGAAGAGTAGACATTCCCTCAAACAAAACGGAGTTGGCGGTGACATCCTCACTTGTTTGTGCACTTTTAGCTGTTGCAACATAGAGCAGTTCATATGTGTCCAAGTAGGTGGATTTACAGATTATATCTTAAATAATAGAATCATTATAATCCTTTGAAAATGAGAAGTGTCACAGTCATGAAAATATATCGCACACTAGTTTTTTGATTACGTTATGGAAAAGTATTTTTTAAAGTTGCAAAACTTAAAATGTCACACCATTTTCCTTTTCCAAAGAAAAGTGTTCTAAAATTGTTGATTTTCTGTAATGACAAGTGGTTGTCAGCAAAAAATTATCTTAAACATGTTCAGTGTGTCCCTACGAGGTAAACATGATGTTTTAACAATGAATAACAGGCCGGGCGCAGTGGCTCACACCTGTAATCCCAGCACTTTGGGAGGCTGAGGCAGGCGGATCACAAGGTCAGGAGATCGAGACCATCCTGGCTAACATGGTGAAACCCCGTCTCTACTAAAAATACAAAAAAATTAGCCGGGTGTGGTGGCGGGCGCCTGTAGTCCCAGCTATTCAGGAGGCTGAGGCAGGAGAATGGCGTGAACCCGGGAGGCAGAGCTTGCAGTGAGCCAAAACGGCGCCACTGCACTCCAGCCTGGGCGACAGAGCGAGACTCTGTCTCAAAAAAAAAAAAGAATGAGAAATTGTTTTTCTAAAGAAACATGATTTGCAGACAAAATTTGATATTTCATAATATATCAATTATTACTTAATGTTGCCCAAAACAAAGAATGTGTTATCTGTAAAGCTCTCCTATCTACACACTTAGATTTTGAATCAGTTTGTTAAAAATTTTTAAATGTTCAGTTAGTTTGAAAGTACAGATGATAAACATTAGAGAAGATGAAAATTTACTAGTCAAATTTCAACAAAAATCCTTGCTTAATTTAAGGTGAATAGAATTGACAAATAAGTATTCTGATTCAGTCAGTGAAGCTCTTCTTTCATTGTTTTCCATGTATTTGTGGTGAGTTATCTTTTTCTATTACTGTGGCCTTTTGTATTAGTTTGCTAGGTCTACCATAACCAAATACCGCAGATTGAGTGGTTCAAACGCCAGAGATTGATATTCTCACAAGTCTGGAGGCTGTAGAAATCTAACATCAAGGTGCCAACAGGGTAAGTTTCTTGTGAGGCCTGTTTCCTTGGCTCGTAGATAGCAGTCTTCTCCCTGTGTCTTCACATGGTCTCCCCTCTGTCTGTCTGTGTCTAGGTTTCCTCTTTTTTTCGAAGTACACCAGTCATTGGATTAAGGCCCACCCTACTGACCTCATTTTAACTTAATTACCTCTCAAGAGACCTGATCTCCAAATCCAGTCATATTCTGAGGTGCTGGGGGTTAGGACTTCAACATATGAATTTTCAGGGGACACGGTTCGATCTATAACACCCTTAGAACCAAGTATTGAAATAAACTGAGTTTTGGACTAAATCTTTGAATCACTGTATCAAAAAAAACCACGTTTAATCACATTGCTCTTACTCAAAATATTTGTAGTTAAACTTCAGTGAGAATGAAATGGTTACTATACCCTCCTTTTACATATTTAATTTTTACTAATTTAAACTAGTAAAATGATTTTTTAAATCTCATGCCTTTAAATTTTTAGTTTCAGTATGCTTTATAATGTTCATGATATTATTATAGTTTTATGTTTACAATTTATAAATAAATACATATAAATCAATTATTTTCTTCATTGGAGACCCCTGACTTAGATATTGCCCCTTCTCAAAATGTCTTTCTATCCTGAAGGTAGTATGTTATGTGCTATTAAATTATGCTTTTCAAATTGTAACAACGTATATGACCTTAGAAAGCCATCGAAACTTGCTAAACCTCAGTTTCCTCATCTAGAAAATGAAGATATCTTCCTCTAAGGATTGTTATGAGGATAGAATGAGATTATGCATGTAGTGCTTGGCAAATAGTAAATATACAAAAAACATTCTTATTGTGGTGTGAATTATTTAAATAAGTTATTTTGGTGTTACTCGTATTCTTAAACTATTCTAAGAAGCTTCCCCATTCTACAAATGGGGCAGCTTCAAATCATTGGAGGCACTTAAAGTAATAGGCACTGCAGATTTTTCGTAAGCCTTTTCCTTTTAAGCATTCTTATATTTAGGATTTTGTCATTCATTCAACAAATACTTACTGAGGGATTACTGTATGGTGCATACTCTTCTGGGTGCTGGGGATACAGTAGTAAAAAAGCTTATATTCCAGTGAGGGAGAGAAGTAAACAAATAAATAACACAATTTCAGATAAATGATAAGTTCTATGGAGAAAATATAGCAGAGTGAAGACATAGAAAATCATGTTGGAAAAGGAGCTTTATTTTAGATAGAATGAACACAGAAGGTGAAAATTGACTAGAAATAGAAAATGAGAGAGGAAGAAGTGATGGTGGCCTGGTTTGGTGTGTTAGCAGTAAAGATGATAAGTGGTGGGAATTTGATTTGTTTTAAAGGTGGAGTTAACAGGAATTACCATTGGATTAGTTATGGGGATAACACCTAGGGTCATGTAGCTGTGGCAAATAAACCCTCCAGTAGTACCCGTTACAATCAGTAAACAGCAAAGAAAAGGAATTGTAGTCATTTGGAAGGTTTTATGAATAGTGCGGATAACCAACCATGTAACACAATCATGAAATTAGCATTATTCTAAGTCTTTGGCTTATGCCTCAAAATTCTGAATATAATCTGCATATGTCAGCTATCATTTTTCATTCTTTCATTTTAAAAAACCTGAAAAAATTTCCATGACAAATATCTCAACAGACTTGATGGAACTGTTAAAGAATTAAATTTATTTTTTAAAGATTCTTACATATTTCTTGATTTACTAATAGGCACAGTAATGGCTTGAGAAATTTATATTATGTGTTATAAGCAATATTAGGAGTTTATTTAAAGTTTCTTTGTTATTTTGGGAACCATTTTTAGTTACTTATAAGGCTGTTTCCTCTGATAGGAGTGAGATAAAAGGCTGGTATCCTGTATGTGCTTGCTTTGAAGATTTGTTATTCAAGGAACAGTCAACAAGATGATAGAGGTTTGAAAAGTAGAAGCCTGTTTGACACTTTTTTTCCCTATTAGTCTGGTCCTTTATTATTTGTTTTAAAATATTTTTAGCCACATTTAATGAAGAATCTTATGCAAGATATATTCCTGTGGGCTTTATTAAAAATGTATTGAGGCTTTCGATTAAATAATGTGTTAATGTAATAGAAATTTGAAAAACCAAATAATGCGAACAGTGCAAGTTCCCACCCAACTTCCTGAGCAGAATTTATGTTGTTCATTTTTTTCCCTGACACAAGCCTTAGCATCCTCTGCTGTAACAAGTTCAGGAGTGACATTCTGAGATTGAGGTTTACTTTAAGTCTTCTAAGACAGCATTGCAGAAGCATTTACTTGTCACTATTCATACTACCTCCCCTTCAGTCTTATCCCTGACTTTCCTCTTTTTCTAAGTGTCTCCAGCAAGAATGAGTGTTAAGAGTCTTGAGGTCATGGCAAAGACATACACAGGTATTTGCTATAAGGCAAATTCAGAATTGTAAAAGTATAACAATATGCAAATAGGTGTAATAGAAGCACACAAAAGGAGTGATTAACTCTGGGGAAAGGGCTAAGGAAGCTTTCACGGAAAAACTTTCAACTGATCTTGAAAGTACATGGTGTATTCAGAGAGAAATTTATAGTACCTGTCATTTATTGAGCAGTTACTGTATTCCAGTCACTGTCTTAAACATTTTATTTACTTTATCTGATATTTAATCCTCACAACCTTATAAAATAAATATCTGTATCTGTTGTGCCAAAGGATGCTAAGACATGTATTTGTTACTTAACCTCTTGGTGCCTCATTGCCTTATCTGTAAAATGAGATTAACAGTAGTATCTACCTCATGGGGTTGTTACAAGAATTAGGTGAGTTAATATGGTTAAAGTTAGTAGAGCTATGCCTGGCTCATATTAAGTGCTCAGTAAGTATTATCTGTAAACATTGTGATCATTCTACAGATAAGAAAACAAGCTTAGAAGGGTTAATTGGACTAATGATTTACAACCAAGAACCAAATCTATGTTAGTGTTTGAATTCTAACTCGAACATTCTAACTTTGGACTGCTAATAGTTCCAGATTATTTGGCATTATTGGAAAATATGTAGCTGGTGAGTAAGGCAAGTGGCAAGAGTCAGAGCTTGAATTAGAGGGTGAAAGACCTTATATGTCATATTAAGGAGTATAGACTTTATCTTATCTCTTGCACACCATGAAATATTTACCTGCTTAATTTTATTAGCTGGGCGCGGTGGCTCACACCTGTAATCCTAGCACTTTGGGAGGCCGAGGCGGACGGATCACTTGAGACCAGGAGTTTGAGACCAGCCGGCCCAACAGGGTGAAACCCGTCTCTACCAAAAATACAAAAATTAGCTGGGCGTGGTGGCATATGCCTGTAATCCCAGCTACTTGGGAGGCTAAGGTAGGAGAACCACTTGAACCGGGAGGCAGAGGTTGCAGTGTGCTGAGATTGTGCCACTTCACTCCAGCCAAGGTGACAGAGCAAGACTCCATCTCAAAAAAATATATATATATACATATATGTGTGTATATATATGATATATACCGGAAACTAGTTTAGTGGCAAAATTATGATCTTATTTTTGTATGCATCATAAAAACACAAGTTTTGTGTACCTACGACATTTTAAAATAGGTTTAAAACTGTGCAGTTGGCTTTTCCCAATTGTTTCATAAGTATTTGTTGACTATTGTATTTGTCCATTGTGCGTTGCTATAAAGGATTACCTGAGGCTGGGTAATTTATAAAGAAAAGAGGTTTATTTGGCTTATGGTTCTTCAGGCTGGACAAGAAGCATGACCCTAGCATCTTCTTCTGGTGAGGCCTCAGGAAGGTTACAATCATGGTGGAAAGTGAAGGGGGAGGAGACGTGTCACATGGCAAGAGAGGGAGCAAGAGAGTTGAGAGGAGGTGCCAGGATCTTTCAAATAACCAGCTGTTGTGTTAACTAATAGAGCAAGAACTCACTTGTTACCTTAGGGAGGGCAGTTAGCCATTCATGAGGGATCCATCCCTGTGACACAAACACCTCCCACTCAACCCCACTTCCAACATTGGAGATCAGATTTCAGCATGAGATTTGGAGGGGACAAATATCCAAACTGTATCAGCTATATATTTGTTTTGCCATTATGTTAGTATTGCCTCTAATTGCTGAGTTCAAAGCGATTTTTTTTCTTTTTCTTTTCTTTTTTTTTTTTTTTTTGAGAAAGGATCTCGCTATGTTGCCCAGGCTGGTCTCTTGGGCTCAAGCAATTCTCCCACCTTGACCTCCCAACAGGTACTGGGATTACAGGCATGAGCTACCATGCCCGGCCAAAGTGATTTATTCTGTTCACCTAGGAATGGCTTTCCTACCTTCAGAGAATCTTCTTATCTCTTTCCTGCTCTCTAAAAAACAGATTTTAGAAAGATTTTTTTTTAAGGAAGCCAAACATAACAGGAACATATTCTCTCTTCAGAATTTCTGTGCATTGTCAAGCTAATAATAGCAATCAGTAAGCAATAAATTGAGACAAATTGAGACTAGTACACAGGCACTCAAACTATTAAATAGCTTTAATTAAAAAATCAAAGGCTGTTTGTTATTAAAATATCTGCATGTGTTTTACTCTTTAACAGCAGTTATTTATTATGTTAAAATTGTGTTTTGTGTTAAATTGTGATAAAACTTAAAAAAAATTTATGTTTTTGTGTATTTTTCCAGAGACTGACTTTGTTCTGTGTTGATGTGTAAAAGCCTTCGGGTTTCCGAACAGTTTCAGTGCATGAAGTTGATCTAGCTGTAGACTATTTTCTTTAAAGATTCGTGTCCTTGCATCTTTTCTCTGAACTCCTGCTTAGCACTGAAGTGGACCTTAATGTCTCTAGAACAGACGCTTTCCACAAGTTTCTGACCATACCCCACCATGGTCACACACACATGCACACACCTCTGAAACAAACATTTCTGAAGCAATACTTACATGCAGTGTACTCTGATGTATTCTATTCTACACTATCTTATTTCATTGATTATTTCAAGACTTCCATTTAGGATGTAGAAGGACATAAAAATACCTTTGCTCTGATAGTAACAAGAACAGTCTAGACAAAATAAAAATCATATATTTCTCTCGGGCTAGTGACTAGCAGTGGATGCAAATAAACTTTCATGAACTGATTTTCAAAGTAAAAATAGCCTCTCATAAATGAGCAGAGGGCCACAGGAACTTTTACACCTGGGACAAGCACATGATCTGGATTTAAGTAGCTCTGACATAGATGGTAAGACTTTATGGAGCCAAGGGAAAATCAGACAAGCCTTAGTTAATGGTGTAAATCGTTGAAATTGAAATGTAGATTGGAATCTGGAAGAATCTCAAATGGAAAAACAAACCATTTAGCCCAGGAATTATCTGCTGTGTCCTCTTTCTCCCAGCTTTTGCTACAAAAGCAGCATTGAAGGAGGACAGGAGAGATACAAAGAAATTGTGTAGTCCCACATATTATGCAGTCCCACATATTATGCAGTAATGCCCTGCCAGAGTTGATTACAGAGGTGAACCAAAACTATGTGAAACTGCAGCCATGCTCTTTCCAGCTTAATATTGATAGAATTAAAAAGGCAGTGGTGGCCAGGTAGTTCATGCCTGTAATTTCAGCACTTCAGATTGCTTGAACCAGGAGGCCGAAGTTGCAGTGAGCCGAGATCAAGCCATTGCACTCCAGCCTGGGCAACAAGAGCAAAACTCCATCTCAAAAAAAAAAAAAATTAATATAATGGATGAAGAGATGGAATATTTCAAAATACAGTTGGAATATGAAGAAAAAAAGAACCAAATAGAAAATTAAGAGCTGATAAATATAATAACTGAAATAAAAATTCTTTTTTTTTTTTTTTCAAGATGGAGTCTCCCTCCTGCTGCCCATGCTAGAGTGCAATGGCACAATCTCAGCTCACTGCAACCTCCACCTCATGGGTTCAAGCAATTCTCCTGCCTCAGCCTCCCAAATAGCTGGGATTATTACAGGCACCCACCACCAGTCTAGCTAATTTTTTGTATTTTTAGTAGAGGTGGGGTTTCACCATGTTGGCCAGGCTGGTCTCAAACTCCTGACCTCGTGATCTACCGGCCTCAGCCTCCCGAAGTGCTGAGATTACAAGCATGAGCCACCGCGCCTGGCCAAATGGCTTCATCATATAGCAATTATATGTTAAATTTTGTAAGAAACTGCTTTCCAAAGGGGTTGCACCATGTTACGCTAGCAATACTTGAGAGTTGCAGGTGCTCCAATCTTTTGTATTGTCATTCTTTTAAATTTTAGCCATTCTAGTGGGTGTGTAATTTTAGAATCTTGTGTTTTAATTTGCATGTTCTTGGTGACTCAGGATGGTGTGCATCTTTTCATGTGCTTTATTGTGCTTATTGGCTACTCATAAATCTTTTGTAAAGTGTTCAAATCTTACTCATATTTTAGTTGTGTTGTTTGACTTTTTAGGTGTAATAATTTTTTATTCTGGATTTAAGTCCTCATCAGATATATGTATGGCAGATATTTTTTCCCAGTCTGTGGCTTGCCATTTATTTCTTTGTTTCTTGCCAATTAAGTCAAGTTGATTGATAGTGATATTCAAGTCTTTATATATTTACTGATTTTCTGTCTATATATTCTTTCTTTTCTTTCTTTTTTTTTCTTTTTTCTCTTTTTTTTTTTTTTTTTGAGACAAGGTCTGGCTCTGTTGCCCAGGCTGGAGTGCAGTAGTGTAATCATCGCTCACTACATCCTTGACTTCCCAGGCTCAAGCAATCCTCCCACCTCAGCCTCCCAAGTAGCTGGGATTACAGACGCACAACGCCATGCCCGCCTAATTTTTTAAAAAATTTTTTGTAGAGACGGAGTTTTACTATGTTGCCAGGGCTGGTCTCAGATTCCTGGGCTCAAATGATCCTCCCACCTGGGCCCCCCAAAGTGCTGGGATTACAGGTGTGAGCCACTGCACCCAGCTCCATTTAATTTTTAAGCCAATGTCTTAAGTGAGCAGAAGGTTTTAATTTTGATGAAGTCCAATGTATCCATTCTTTTTCTTTATGGTTAATGTGTTTTGTGTCCTAAGACATCTTTTTCTTCCTCAAGGTCGTGAAGATTTTTTTCTTCCAGAAAGTTTGTGGTTTTAGCTCTTAGTAGTTAGGTTTATGATCTATTTCAACTTAAATTTTGTAAATGTTATGGGTAAAGGTTGAGGTTCATTTTTTTTTACAGATAGATACCTATTTGTTCTGATGCCATTTATTGAAAAGATTATTCTTTCCCCAGCTTTGTGGAAATCAATTGACTATATATATGTGGGTTCATTTCTGGACTCTGTGCTCTTCTGCTGATCCTTTTGTCTGTCCTGTCAACTAATATACATTGTTGTGATTACTTAGTTTTATAAGTCTTAAAATCAGGTAGTCTATGCCCTCCAGCTTTATTCTTCGTTTTGAAAATTATTTAGGCTAATCTAGATTCTTTGCCTTTCCTTATAAACTTGAAAATCAACTTGTCAATTTCTACAGCAAAACCTGCTGTGATTTTGTTGAATCTACAGATTCAACAATCTGGAGATTGTGTTGAATCTGTAGATCAATTTTGAGATAATTTTTTATAGTAACAAAGTTGAATATTCCTAGCCAGGCCCAGTGGTTCACGCCTGTAATCCTAGCACTTTGGGAGGCCAAGGCAGGCGGATCACTTGAGGCCAGGAGTTCAAGACCAGCCTGGGCAACATGGCAAAACCACATTTTAGTCTCTTCTAAAGATATAAAAATTAGCCAGGTGTGGTGGCATACACCTGCAGTCTTGGGAGGCTGAAGCACAAGAATTGCTTGAACCCGAGAGGTTGAGGCAGCAGTGAGCCGAGATCCCACCACTGCACTCCAACCTGGGCGACAGAGCAAGACTCTGTCTCAACAAAAAAAAAAATCTTGAATATTCCAGTACATTAATGTGTAATATCTGTGTATGTAGTTATTCTTTATTTTTTACTCCACATTAGCTTGTGGTTTTCAGTCTACACATCTTGAATCCCTAAGTATTTCTTTTTCTTTTCTTTTCTTTTTTTTTTTTTTTTTTTGAGACAGAGTCTTGCTCTGTTGCCCAGTCTAGAGTTACAGTAGCACGATCTTGGCTCACTACAGCCTCCACCTCCTGGGTTCAAGCGATTCCTGTGCCTCAGCCTCCTGAGTAGCTGGGACTACAGCTACTCCTACCACTTTGGGAGGCTAAGACAGGCGGATCACTTGAGGCCAGGAGTTCAAGACCAGCCTGGGCAACATGGCAAAACCACATTTTAGTCTCTTTTAGCATGCACCACCACGCCTAGCTAAGGTTTTTTTTTGTATTTTTGTTTTGTTTTGTTTTAGTAAAGACAGGGTTTAACCATATTGCCCAGGCTGGTCTCGAACTCCTGACCTCAAGTGATCTGCCTGCCTTGACCTCCCAAAGTGCTGGGATTACAGTTGTGAGCCACCATACCTGGCCAATGTTTCATGTTTTTATGCTGTTGTACCTGTTATTTTGAATTTCATTTTCCAATCGTTTATTCTTAGTATATAGAGGCACAGTTAATTCTTCTATACTGACCATGTGTTCTGAGACCTTGCTAAATTCTCTTATGAATTCTCATATCTTGTAACATAGATTTCTTAGGAATTCCTACATTTACAATCATATTGTTTGCAGGAAAAAAAAAACAGCTTTACTTCTTTTACAATCTCTATGCCTTTTACTTAGTTTTTCTTGCCTTATTCATTATGTTTTTTTTGTTGCTGTTGTTTGAGACAGGGTTTCACTCTGTCACCCAGGCTGGAATGACGAGATCTGCTCACTGCAGCCTCGACCTCTCAGACTGAAGCAGTCCTCCCCCCATTCCCACCTTAATCTCCCAAGTAGCTGTGACTGCAGGCACGCACCACCATGCCTGGCTAATTTTGGTATTTTTTGTAGAGACTGGATTCACCACTTTGCCCACGATGGTCTTGAACTCCTGAGCTCAAGCCATCTGTCCTCCTTGGCCTCCCAAAGTGTTAGGATTACAGGCATGAGCCACTGCACCTGGCCTTTGTAAACTTCTTTTACAATGTTGAATAAAAGTGGTAAGAGGAGACATCCTTGCCTTTTTCCCATTCTTAAGGAAAAAGTATTTGGTCTTTACCACTTATTGTGATATCAGCAGTGGGTTTTTTTATTTATAGATACTTTATCAGATTGTGGAAATTCTCTTCTATTTCCGATTTGCTGAAAGTGTAAATTTTTTCAAATGCTTTTTCTTCATCTATTAAGATAAATACATAGTTTTCTTTATCCCATAAACATGGTGACTTTTAATGTTAAAGCAACCTTGCATTCTGGTATCCTTTCTGTATATTTATTTATGAGTTTGATTTGCTTATATATATATTATATATTTTTATATGTTTTATTTATTTATTTATTTTTGAGATGGAGTCTTGCTCTGTTGCCCAGGTTGGAGTGCAGAGGCGTGATCTTGGCTCAATGCAACCTCCACCACCTGGGTTCAAGCAATCCTCCTACCTCAGTCTTTCAAGAAACTGGGATTATAGGTGCACGCCACTATGCCTGGCTACTTTTTATATTTTTAGTAGAGACCGGTTTCACCATGTTCCCTAGGCTGGTCTCGAACTCCTAACCTCAAGTGATCTGCCCTCCTCAGCCTCCCAAATTGTTGGGATTACAGGTGTGAGTGATCGCGCCCAGTGGACTTACTAATATTTTAGAGGGACTTTTGCATTTATGTTCATGAGTTATATTATTCTGTATTTTTCTTTTCTAAGTTTTTTGCCCAGTTACCTGGTAAGGTAATGCTGGTCTCATAAAATGAGTTGAAATTGTTTCTACTTCCTCTGTTTTCTGAATGAGTTTGTATATGATTGGTATTATTTCTTTTTCTTCTCCTATTTTTTGTTAAGAGACGGTCTTGCTCTGTCACCCAGGCTGGAATGCAGTGGTGCAATCATAGCCCACTGCAGCCTGAGACTCTTTTTTTGTTCGCTTTGCCTAGAGATCTGTCAATTTACTAATGTTTTCAAAGAAGCAGTTTTTTGTTTCATTGATTTTTATCCTATGTTCATCTATTTCATTAATACTCATTTTTTATTTTCCTCCAGTTTCTTTGGGTTTATGCTTTTTTTCTTCTTAAGGGAGAACTTTAAATATTGATCTTTTTAAAGATATTATTAGGTGGAATGATGACACTCAAATTTCAGTATAGAATGTTGAAGACCACAATGTTGAAAAGGTTGGTACATTTTATGCAGGATTAGCAATGGGACAATTTAAACAAATGTTAAGGTAGAGCACCTAACCTAGAGAGAAATTTAAAATAGTAATTTGAAACTTTTATGAGGTAAAGTGTGTTCCAGTTTTTTTCTTTTTTTTCTTTTTTTTTTTTTTTTTTAGACGGAGTCTCACTCTATCACTCAGGCTGGAGTGCAGTGGCATGATCTCGGCTCACTGCAACCTCCGCCTCCCAGGTTCAAGCGATTCTCGTGCCTCAGCCTCCCCAGTAGCTGGGATTACAGGTGCATGACACCTCGCCTGGCTAATTTTTGTATTTTTAATAGAGGCAGGGTTTTGCCATGTTTGCCAGGCTGGTGTTGAACTCCTAACTTCAGATGATCTGCTCGCCTCGGCCTCCCAAAGTGCTGGGATTACAGGCTTGAGCCACCATGCCCGGCCGTGTTCCAGTTTCAAATATCAAGAAGTAGTATCCTCACTTATTGTTTTTAAACTTTTTTATTTTAAAAGATTTGTTTCCAAATAATTTGGGATTTTCCAGATATCTTTTTGTTACTGATTTCTCTTTCAGTTCCATTTTGGGCTAGAGAACATTCTCAGTATGATGTCAGTCTTTTAAAATTTATTGAGTCTTATTTTATGGCCCAACATATGGTCTATTGGTGAATGTTTCATGCACACTTGAAAAGAGTATTTTTGGTGGCACGCGTCTATAGTCCCAGCTACTCAGGAGGCTGAGGCAGGAGGATTGCTTGAACCCAGGAGGCGGAGGCTGCAGTGAGCCGAGATTGTGCCAGTGCACTCCAGCCTGGGCAACAGAGTGAGACTCTGTCTCAAAAAAATAAAAAAAAGAAAGAAAAGAGTATGTACTTTATGTTTGTTGAGTAAAGTGTTCTAAAATGTCAATTAAGTCAAGTTGATTGATAGTGATATTGAAATCTTTTATATATTTACTGATTTTCTGTCTATATGTTTTATCAACTACTGTTGAAAAGTTAAAATCCCCAACTAAAATTGTGGATTTGTCCATTTGGCTTTTTAGTTCTGATATTTTCTTGCTTCTTACATTTTTGAAACTCTTATTAGGTGCATGAACATTAGGATTGCTAGGTATTCTTGATGAATTGCACCTATTACCTTCTTTGTAATGTCCTTCTTTATCACTGCTGTTATTTCTTGCTCAGGAGTCTACCTTGTCTGATATTAACATAGACAATCCAGCTTTCTTATGATAGTGTTTACTGTTTATGTCTCTTTAACAGATCTATCTCTTTGTATTCAAAGTGCATTTTTTTATGAACAGCATAGAGTTAGGTCTTGCTTTTTAAATTAAGTTTGATAATCTTTGCCTTGTACTTAGAGCTTAACCCATTTATATACAGTATAATTATTGATATAGTCAAATTTAAGTGTACCATCTTGCTATTCATTTTCTGTTTGTTCCATGTGAGTTTTTTACTATTGTTGTTACCGTTCTTAGGGTTCCCCCTCCAACTCCCCTGCTTTTTTGGCATCAATTATTTTTTTAGAATTCCATTTCATCTTTCTTTGTTGACTTCTTAGCCATTCCTTTTTTTTTCTTTTAATAGTTTCATTAGGGTTTATAACACAACTTTAACACATCACTTTCAAATTATGTATAAAGTACCACTTCATATCATATATAAAGTGATTTCTTTTTCCTTCCTTCCTTCCTTCATTCCTTCCTTCCTTCCTTCTTTTTCTTTTTTTTTTTTTTTTTTTTTTTGAGATAGGGTCTCACTCTGTTGCCCAAGCTGGAGCACAGTGGTGCGATCTTGGCTTACTGCAACCTCGCTTGCTTCAAGCGATTCTAATGCTTTAGCCTCTTGAGTAGCTAGGATTACTGGCAGGCACCACCACGCCTGGCCAGTTTCTGTATTTTTAGTAGGGACGGGGCTTCACAATGTTGGCCAGGCCGATTTTGAACTCCTGACCTCAAGATCCACCTGCCTCTGCCTCCCAAAGTGCTGGGATTACAGGCGTGAGCCACCGCGCCGGCATAAAGTGATTTTTAATTCAGTTCCATTGTGGGTTAGAGAAACTTACAACACCATACACAATTTTCCATCCCTACCTTTATGCCTTGTCTTACATTTATTTCCACATTGTTGTAAATTTCACAGTGCATTATGTTTACTTTAGTCAAGTCATCTTCTAAAGAGATTAATAAAAAAATATGCCTTGTATATTTATCCACAAGTACCATTTTTTGTTCTCCTCATTCCTTTTTTAGATCCAGATATCTATCTGGTATCATTTTTTCTTCAACTTGAAGAACTTTAAAATTTTTACGTGATCCTGCATACGAGTTGAATGTGCTCATATTTGCATTTAAAATGGGCACTAAATACAGATAAGTGTAAAATTTCTGCTAATAGCATAATTTTCTTTGTTTACTTAAAACAATGTTAAATAGAAAATTTAAAAAAAACCCCACAAGTTGAAAGCAAGGCTGCAGAAGAAAAGAAAAAACTTTATGTGTACCTTTAAAGGCACTTTTACTGCCTTTTGAACAGGGATCTCACATTTTCAATTTGTACTTGGACTCATAAATTATGTCACTGGCTCTGAATGCAGGCCTGCTGTTGACAAATTTTTACAGCTTATGTTTAACTGAAAGCATTTTTATTTCACCTTCATTTTGAAGATTGTGTCTAGAATTCTAGATTTGCAGTTGTTGGTTTTTTTCCTAGCACTTTAAAAATTTTCCTTGTTTTCTGGCTTACCTTGTTTCCCCTGTATATATATTTTTTTTCTCTGACTTCTTAAGAATTTTCTCCTTATCACTGGTTTTTAGCAACTTGGTTATGGTTTTCCTTGTGGCTTTCTTTGTGTTTATCCTGTTTGGGGTTTGTTGAGCCTCTTGGATCTTTGGGTTTAGAGTTTTCATCAAATTTAGAAAATTTTCATCTGTTATTACTTGAAATATTTGTCCCCACTCCCGACCCCTTCATTTCTGCGACTCCAGTTATATGTAGGGTAAAGCAAAACCACTTGATGTTGTCCCAGTGAAGCTCTGTTTTTCATCTTTGTTTTAGCTTTTTTTCTTCACTTTGTGCTTCAGGCTTTTTAAAAACAGTTTCTATTGCTACTTATTCAACTTTATTGGTCATTCCTTCTAAAACAACTAAAATCTGCTATTCAACACATCCAGTGAATTTTTCATTTCAGATAGTATATTTTTAAGCTCCAGAAGTTTTATTTGTTGTCTTTTTTAAATATCTTCCATTACTCTACTTATGTTCATGTTTTCCTTCAAATTTATGAAAATATTTATAATAGCTGAATTGAAGTCCCTGTCTGCCAATTCCATCATGTCTGTTGTTTTGGTTCGATTTCTCTTATTTTGTATTATTTTGGTTCTACTTTTTTTTTCTCTTTTTTGAGACAGAGTCTCGCTCTGTTGCCCAGGCTGGAGTGCAGTGTCACAATCTCGGCTCACTGCAAGCTCCGCCTCCCATGTTCTGGCCATTCTCCTGCCTCAGTCTCCCGAGTAGCTGGGACTACAGGCACCCGCCACCACTCCCGGTTAATTTTTGTATTTTTAGTAGAGATGGGGTTTCACCGTGTTAGCCAGGATGGTCTCGATCTCCTGACCTCATGATCCGCCTGCCTTGGCCTCCCAAAGTGCTGGGATTACAGGCGTGAGCCACCACGCCTGGCCCGGTTCTACTTCTATTGATTGATTTTTCTCCTGGGTATAGGTCTCATTTTCAGGTTTCTTTGTATGTTTAGTAATTTTGATTAGATGACGGACATTTTATTTTATTTCATTTTATTTTTTTTAATTTATTTTTTGAGATGGAGTCTTGCTCTGTCGCCAAGGCTTGAGTGCTATCTTGACTGACTGCAACCTCCTCCTCCTGTGTACAAGCAGTTCCCCTCCCTCAGCCACCCCAGTAGCTGGGATTACAGGCATGTGCCACCACATTCAGCTGATTTTTGTATTTTTAGTAGAGATGGGGTTTCGCCATGTTTGCCAGACTGGTCTCAAACTTCTGACCTCAGGTGATCTACCCACCTTGGCCTCCCAAAGTGCTGGGATTACAGGCATCAGCCACAGTGCCCAGACATTTTAAATGTTACATTGCTGGGTGTCTGGATTTAGTTGTCTTCATGTAAAAATTATTGAATTTTGTTTTTGTGAGTACTTAAATTTCATAAGAATCAACTTAATCCTTGTTAGGGTGGCTCTAAGATAGTCTTTACTCTAGGGTTAATTTCATCCTGCTGGTAAATCATGACCTCTTGTTTCTCTTCTGAATTACCTGGGCATTCAATGAGGTTGCTCCTCTGTTGTTGGACTTTGAAGGTTTCCCAGAGCTAGTGAACCCTGGGTTAGCTTAAAAATCTCCCATAGTTTTTCTTTCTCCACTAGTTGTTTGTTGTCTAGCCTCATGTAGTATTATCCTATGCATTAGCAACTTAGTATTCAACCAAAGATTCAAGGGGACTCTATGTAGATTTCTGGAGCTTTTTCTCTATGTTGCTCTCTTTTCTGATACTGTGCCCTGAAAATTCCATTTGCCTCAGTCTCCATATTCCAATCTTGTTATCCTCAACTCGGTAAGGTTGCCATGTCTGTTTGGGTTCTCCCTCCTGACCCTACTTTCTGGAGTTTCCAGGGAGAAAGCTGGGCCATCATAGGACCTGCCTCATTTTCCTCTCTTCTTTCAGGGATCACAATCTTAAGCTGTCTGTTATCCAGTATCTGAAAGCACTTATTTTATATATTTTTCCAGTTTTATAGTTATTGATGTGGGAAAGGCAAGCCTAGTTCAGCTACTCCATCATGGCCAGAAGTGAAGTTTCCCTGGTCCCTTTCATAAATTTTCTTTTCTTTTCTTTTCTTTTTTTTTTTGAACGAATCTCGCTCTGTCGCCAGACTGGAATGAAGTGGCGCGATCTCGGCTCACTGAAGCCTCTACCTCCCGGGTTCAAGCGATTCTCCTGCCTCAGCCTCCTGAGTAGTAGCTGGGATGACAGGCGTATGCCACCATGCCCAGCTAATTTTTAGTAGAGATGGGGTTTCACTGTGTTGGCCAGGATGGTCTCAATCTCTTGACCTCATGATCCGCCCGCCTCAGCCTCCCAAAGTGCTGGGATTACAGGCGTGAGCCACCACGCCCAGCCAGTTTTCTTTTTAATTAAGGTAAAATTCACTATTTTTACAGTGTACCCCTTCATTATTTTGTAAATCAGGTTTTAGAATGTTCCAAATTCTTCCAAGTTATTTTTCCAGATGCTTATATCTAATCAAATAAAATATTTTAAAAGATTTGGAGTGAGAAACTTGCCCTATCCAAGACTTGAATTGGTAAAATAGAACATCAGTATCCTCTTTCCCAAAGAGAATTTAATTTACTGGAGTGAATTCAGATTGGTTTCTCTTAATATGTTAAAAACACAGAATTCTATATATGATAGGTTATGTTATAAATTATATTTTAAGCTGATAAACTACAGTTGGTATATTTCTTGGATGAAAATAAATACACAGAAGAGCAATAGAAAATAAAAAGAAAGGGACATGATTAAGAGTCATCTCCAAGTATGCTGTTTGATTATGCTTCTAAAAATCATGCTTGGCCAGGCACAGTGGCTCACGCTTGTAATCCCAGCACTTTGGGAGGCTAAGGCGGGTGGATCACCTGAGGTCAGGAGTTCGAAACCAGCCTGGCCAACATGGTGAAACCCTGTCTCTACTAAAAACATAAAAAACTAGCTGGGTGTGGTGATGGGCACCTGTAATCCCAGCTACTCAGGAGGCTGAGGCGGGAGAATTGTTTGAACCTGGGAGGCGGAGGTTGCAGTGAGCCGAGGTTGCACCATTGCACTCCAGCCTGGGCAACAAGAGCAAAACTTCATCTCATAAAAGAAAAAAGTCATGCTTGAGTTTTTATGTTTATACTTCTATTGTTCAGGTGAGGAACTGAATGACCGCTGTTGTTTCTTTTGTTGAGATTGTCCATTGTGGTTATGTGTGCTCTACCTTCTCTTTTTGTGAATCCTACCTGACTTCAATAGTTTTTAATAGCTGGAAAAGTCTCTGACTCATTTCCTGCTGTTAAAAGAAAAGACAAAATGATTTTTAAAATTGTTGAAACTGTTAGATTTTCTCAACCTCTGTTTCTGTTGGAACTGTTAAAGCAAGCTTGAGAAAGCAGTCTCTAGGACAAGTATACAAATAAGTTGGCTTTAGGAAGTTTTCAAAAGATAAATCTTGGGAGAGATCTAGGATTTGAAAGTTGGGCCAGCACTTAGGAGTTAGGATGTCTACCAATAATGGAGGTTAAGGCAAGAAACTGGGAAGATGAGGAATGGGATGAATAAGATCTTGCAGGCTAGGAGAGCCATGGGAGAGGAGGCGCTGAGGAGCAAGGTGGCTCAGAATATAATTAGGTTAAAGGGACAGATGTGAGGTTCCTGTAAGAAAATAACTGAAGTGAGCAACTCTTATTTTTACACGGGACAAAATCACAACCTGTATGTGAGAACACGCAAGCCACATTATAAAGGGTATAAGTTAATTTGGCAAAAATTGGGACTGTGAAATCAGCTCTAAGAAAGATTTTCTGTGTTATCAGTAACAGTCATAGATCTAGTTAAAATTCATTAAAGTGCTTTTATTTTTGAAATAGTTCATTTTTCGAAAGCTATCATGTATTAAAGCATACATTTAGGAGAAAGAAAATACCTACATATTTTAGGAGAGTCTTACCCTGCTGTGCTACTCTGTTCAACTGAAACACCATCAGTACACATCATTTATATTTGTGTGTGAATTCCGTAGATTTAGCCATTTGTTGCCAGTCATTTGACTTTTACCTTTTTTTTTTTTTTTTTGAGTTGGGGTCTCGCTCCATCACCCAGGCTAAATTGCAATGCTGTGATCATAACTTACTGCAGCTTCCAACATCTGGGCTCAAGCAGTCCTCCTGCCTCAGCCTCCCAGCTTGTAGCTGGGACTACAGGTACATGCCACCATGCACAGCTAATTTTATTTATTTATTTATTTATTTAGTAGAGATGAAGTCTCACTATATTGCCCAGGCTGGTCGCAAACTCCTGGCCTCAAGTGATGCTCCTGCCTCAGCATCCTAAAGTCCTGGGATGACAAGTATGAGCCACCACACCCAGCCATGTTGCTAGTAATTTTCAAGTTAAAATTTTTTTTTAGCCCTGACAATTTTCATTTTTTTTTCTCAATTTGAGCCATTCACACTTAAGACACATTAACCAGAGAAAAATAAAGAAAGGGTTAACCAGGACCACCAAAAACCTCTAGGGACTTCCCAGGAGCTGGAGAAAAAAGTCCTGTCTTGTCTATAGTGAAGAAAACCTGAGTCTCAAAGACACCCTAAAATCCTAGGAATTCCTTATAAATACCAGAAGCAAGAAAAGAATTTTCAGTTTTAATAATCAACAGTAGCAGATTAGATCTTTAAATTGTATGCATTAGTTTTTTATCAAGAGTTCTGTGCAACAGTTTTGGTGCTTTGGGCTTTGGGTATAGTTATTTTTTTTCATCCACATGAGCTTAATTTCTTAAAGTTTTTTGGATTTTTTTTTTTTTTTTTTTTGCGTCAGACTATCACCAAAGTTTATTTGCTGGCAAAGCTGGTTTTCCCAGAAATTTGTATGTAGGAATGGTTTAAATAAAAGTTGATGGAATTCTTAGTTAGCAGTTGCTCTGCCAAGAATAACACTTTTGTGTGCTTTCTGTATATAACAGTTTTGGTCAGCTATACTGACAGAGCTGGGCTAAGATATTTTCCTGCCTGTTAATCAAGGCCACACAGACAAAGCTCAAGGAAGGATGATCCCTGCCTCAGGAAGTTTTGAATCAACTGCTATTTTTAACAAGTATACAGTAGAACTTGAGATCAGGTCTTCACTCAGTTGGTAGGAAAAGTTTTCCGCTGAAGCTTACATATAAGGAAACGGTTTATGGGCCTGAATGAAGCCTCTGTGTGAAAGGAAGGAATGTGACAGTGGCTGTAAGTATTTGTATTGATTTGGGTCAAGGGTGTGGTAGCATAGATGTGGGAAGTCCAGTCGTCAAATAGGTTATTACATTTTAAGGCAACTGATAGTTCATGGGCACCTTGAGTTGTCTTTAGTGTATATGGAATCCTGTGCTGCTAATAGTAAAGTTGAAATAGGCTATGTGATGGGCTGATATTATTAATCAACGTAGGACAGGAGGAGAAAGTTGGCTATTGGTGTGTTTCCATGCTAACTGGCTCTTGCTGTGGACATATATAAATTTTGGGGGGGTTTTGAGATGTAATTCTGTGTATATATATGCTCCTTGTTTCATTAAGAGAAGGTTTCATAAAGAATTAATTTATGCCTGGGTGCGGTACCTCATGCCTGTAATCCCAGCACTTTTGGAGGCCAAGGGGGTGGATTGCTTGAACTCAGGAAGTTCAAGACCAGCCTGGGCAACATGGAGAAACTCCGTCTCTACGAAAAATACAAAAACTTAGTTGGGTGTGGTGGCATGTACCTGTAGTCACAGCTACTCAGGAGGCTGAGGGGGAAGATCACTTGAACCCAGGAGGCAGAGGTTGCAGTGAGCCAAGATCACCACCACTGCACTCCAGACTTAGTGACAGAGCGAGACTCTGTCTCAAAAAAAAAAAAAAAAAAGAATTAATTTATTACAAAAATATTGTATACTGCTATGTATAATCTCTTCTAAAACCTCATTCTACCTAACTTTAGGAAATTAAATATGGCAGAACATTAAAGCTGACAATCTGAAAAATACCACAAATAATGTTTTGTTAGTATTATTATCTCACCATCTTAGGAGTGCCTTTATGTAGTTGAATTACTTAATAGATTACAGGTATGTTTTTACATATGCAATGTATATGAATTATGTAGGGATAGGTGGGCAATGTTTTAGTGGAGTTTTAAATTAGGAAATTATAAAATGTGTTAACATATTTTTGTGTCATTTTAACAGGATTATTCAAGATCAGGTTGTAGCCATTTTCAACAAGGATCACTGATCAAAATTTTCTTTTTACAAAGAGATTTACAAGTTAAACATGAAGGGAAAATACTGGAATCATTTGGATTCTGACAGGATAAAGAATACAATATTTCACATTTACTTGTAATGGAACCTTTGTAAGATTCATCACTTGTCATTCACCCAGTTGGGAACATGGATGTTGGTTTTTCTCGTACTACTGTTCAGACACTGTCAAGAAGCCACTGCAAAAACATCAAACAAAAAATTTCTCAATGGGAAGGAAGGGCTAATGGTATATCTAATCCAGAAAAGTGGTGTCCAAAGGACTTTGGAGTGAGATATAACTGTCACCAAGAGATCCGTCTTAAGAAAAATCCTATAGCTGAGAGAAAGAGCAAAAACTTGGATGTAACCAGCCGTGAAAATGTGGGTCTAGATATAAATGAAAATACCAAAAGCCATGATCAAAGTGAGAATGAAAATAAGAAACATGAATATGACGATACACACTTCTTTAAAAATGAATCAGAATCCAACTGGGTATGTTCTCGGGTCAAAGAAATTGAAAGCTGTAAAGAAGATGTCTTAGATCCAGAGACTTCATTACCTCCAGGAAACTTCTATACCTCACAAATACTGTGGAAGAAAATAGAAGCACTTCCCCCAGATAAACTCTTAAATTTGGCTTTAGAACATTGTGACTCTTCAGAAAAAGAACTGAACTTCAGAGTTCTGGATAGTTCATACGGAATAACCAAGAGCTTAGAAAATATTTACTCTGAACCTGAGGGGCAAGAATGTGGACCTTCCATAAATCCTTTGCCAAAACCTCGTAGGACATTCAGATATTTATCCGAATCTGGTGTTACGCCGTATAAAGAAAGAAACTGTGACAAAAAATACTGTGAAAATAACTCTTGTGCACAATCTTCTTTGGCCTCTTCTCAGGAACCTGAACCAAAGAAATATGGTGGAAAAATCAGAGGAAGATCTAAAAGGTATGTTTTTATCCTACAGATAAAGACTTGTAGGTATTTTCCTTACAGGATTATTGAGCTTCTTTTTCCTTTTCAAACCAGTTTCCATTTCCCAGCTTAGGTGATGCCCCTGCTTTGAACATGCAGGTGTTGATTAATGTGGAAGGAAAATAAGAAGTGAAAAAAGTAGAAATGTAGTAATAGCTAAGATAATCTGTTGACATAAGAGCATCAGAACACCTTCCATTTTATTAATATATCTTTAAGAATCTGGGCCAGCGCCAGGCACGGTAGCTCGCTCCTGTAATCCCAGCACTTTGGGAGGCTGAGGCTGGCAGATCACTTGAGGTCAGGAGTTCAAGACCAGCCTGGCCAACATGGTGAAACCCTGTCTCTACTAAAAATACAAAATTAGCTGGGCGTGGTGGTGTGCACCTGTAGTCCCAGCTATATGGGATGCTGAGGCAGAAGAAACGCTTGAACCTGGGAGGCTGAGCTTGCAGTGAGCTGAGATCGTGACACTGCACTTCAGCCTGGCTGACAGAGCAAGACTCAGTCTCAAAAAAAAAAAAAAAGAAAAAAAGAAAATTAATCTATAGGAGCTGGGTGTGGTGGCTCAGTCCCAGCACTTTGGGTGGCTGGGGCAGGAGGATCACTTGAGGCCAGGAGTTCAAGACCAGCCAAACACTAGACAGGGCAACATAGTGAGACCCTGTCTCTATAAAAAAAAAGAAAAAAGAAAAAATTAGCCAGGTGTAGTGATGTGTTCCTGTCGTCCTACCTACTTGCGAGTATTACTTGAGCCCAAAAGCTCAGGCTACAGTGAGCCATGATCACTTCACTGCACTCCAGCCTGGGCAGCAGAATGAGACCCTGCCTCTAAAATAACATAAAATAAAAATTAAATTCAAAAAAATCTGTAGGGAAGCAGTAACATTCTTCCACTTCATTTAGGGCATGCTGGCCTCAGCCCCACTTTTCCTTACAAAGTGAGCTTAATAAAGGAACCCAATGAAGAACATGAATGTGATTGGCTACAAGCATCCAATTTTCTCATGGTGTTCGTAAGGCACAGCCTACTTCATTATTCTTAGATCTCTGATAAAACACCTTTGTAATTTTGCACACTAGTTCTGTACTTATTTATTTCTGTCTCCCATACCAATTTAAAGAAGATTAGAATTTTCTGTAATCCTAGCACTTTGGGAGGCCGAGGCAGGCAGATCACCTGAAGTCAGGAGTTCAAGACCAGCCTGGCGGTCATGGTGAAACCTCATCTCTACTAAAACACAAAAAAGAGCTGAGCATGGTGGCACGCGCCTCTAATCCCAGGTGCAACATCCCTACAGCAATGTAGAATCGCTTGAACCTGGGAGGCAGAGGTTTCAGTGAGCCAAGACTGTGCCACTGAACTCTAGCCTATGCAACAGACTGAGATTCTGTCTCAAAAAATAATAATAAAACAAACAATCAAACAAATAAATAAATAAAAATTTTAAAAAATAAAGATTAGAGTTTTGAAAGATATAACTTTAAAATATATCTCCTTTTTTAAGGAAATCCTTTGAATTTGAGGATATTCAGCACTTTCGAAATCGGAACTCACAGACGATTCGTGAAGAACTTGGAAGAAATTCTGGGTCAGCACTTTATTACACACAGTCTGAGGACAATATCTATGAAGATATCATATGTAGGTGTTGACAACTTTGCAGTTAAATTTAGTGATTATATATTTGGTGAAGCCCTTAATTGTAGGATGGTATTTTCTTCTATAATCAAGCATATATTGCTCTAGGTTTTTCTCTTTAGCATGGAAACGTTTGGTGTATAAATTATTTTATTCTCTAATGAATTTTACAACTAATGTGATAGACTGCTCAGCTTATAAGTACATGTTTATAATATATTATTTTGAGAATTCTTTTAGCTCTGTTGAACCCATAAGCTTAAATTGCTGTTGATCTGGAAACCCACATCCCTACAGCAATGTAGAATAAGAAAGCTGAACATAGTTAGCTTTTTCTTTCTTTTGCCAGCTGTGGTTATCTTTGCATTTAATTATGTTCATGTAAACATTTTTTTAAATTATTTTTTAAGATCCCACCAAAGAAAATCCATATGAAGATATTCCAGTGCAGCCTTTACCTATGTGGAGATCCCCTTCAGCATGGAAGCTACCACCCGCTAAAAGTGCTTTTAAAGCACCCAAGGTATAACCAGATAATGAATTGAAGAAAACATTAGAATCTTATTCATGGTATCTACAAAAAGATTAAGGGGATTTAACTGGGTCCAGAACTAAGAGGCACTGAAATGTAAGTTTTAATGTTGGTGGTAGTTTTTTTAATTTTTGTTTTGTTTTTTGGGATAACATACAGCTTTTTTTTTTTTTTGGTTGTTGTTTTAACACTTCAAAAATAATTGAATATATATGCCTTTAGACAGCCATGAACTTTTCAGTTTACTATAGTTCCCACTCCCCCTATTAGTCTACATCAATCTTTGGCCATTAAATTACCTTCCTAGTCCCTGAAAGTATGTGAGACGCCTAGAAGCAAAGGCTCCCTAGAGTTCATGAAAACTGTGAGCCATTGTTTTCTGGGAATTTGATTACCTTGTAGTGGAACTTTGGATTAGAAACCTGAGAAACTTCTTTACAAATGGTGAGAAAGAAATTATGTTATCTTCATTTGAAATGATTTTAAATTAAATATAGGATAAATACATTTCTGGAATAGCTTTGACTTTGTATGATAATACAGGCATTAACTAGATGATGCTGGCCAGGTGCAGTGGCTCACACCTGTAATCCCAGAACTTTGGGAGGCTGAGGTGGGAGGATTGCTTGAGCCCAGGAGTTTGAGACTAGCCTGGGCAACCTGGCAAAACCCCATCTCTACCAAAAAAAAGAAAAAATTAGCCGGATGTGGTGACACGTGCCTGTAGTCCCAGCTGCTCAAGGGGCTGAGGTGGGGGGATCACTTGAGCTCAGGAGATCAAGGCTGCAATGAGCCATGATCGTGCCACTGCATTCCAGCCTGGGCGACAGAGCAAGACCCCATCTCAAACAAACAAACAAGCAACAACAGCAAAACTAGGTGATCTTACCAGTACATCTTCTCCTGTTTTAGCTCCCTCCAAAACCTCAGTTCCTTCACCGGAAGACTATGGAAGTAAAGAACTCACAGGCTTATTTGCGGTCAAAGCTTACAAAAGATACAACTTTGCCGGTCACTTTAACGGAATGGAAGCTTTTCCGAGCTGGTGAAGTTGCAAACACGAAAAGGAAAAATCTTCCAAGGGTAAAGACTCCAGTGCTTTCATTCTTTGACTCTTACTTCAGCATTTCCATGAATGAGAATAAGTAAACTTTAGACCGAAATGAATAATAGGTTAGAACTGACCTACTGGGATTAGAAGACTTAGAAGGCAGCGTTATGTTTTAAATTTTTGCTCATGCTAGAGAAGTGCATGAATGGCTTTTGCCAGAGTTTCGTTGTGGATTTTTAAATTGATTTAGATGGGGACTTCACTTCAGTTACCTTAGCTCTCATTAAAATCGTCTGCCTATTTCAAGGAAGCACCAGAATCTTATATAAAAGGGCGTTCTCTCAGGATGGCTTCAGTGTTGTTCTAATTCACTCATTCATATGATTGCCAAAGTGAGTTCAGTTTTGTGCTTGAGTTTACAGATTTTCAGTAATGAAAAAGTATATGCCATTTATTTGGGGCAAAAATTTCCAAAGAAAAAAACAAATCTATTACTTGGGAATGGAAATTATCAGCAATCATAATAAATAAATGACTTCTCCCTCAAGGGAGAAAAGGCAGTAAGTCTGTACATCATCTCTACTAGAAGCATTGCAACCAAAATGAAGAAATTGAGATTGCTTGCAGGCAGACATATATTTTTTTTTCTTATTTATTTACTTATTTTGTAGAGACAGAGTCTCGCTATATTGCCCAGGCTGGTCTTGAACTCCTGGCCTCAAGCAATCCTCTTGCCCTGGCCCCCAGAGTTCCGGGACTGCAGGTGTGAGCCACTGCACCTGACTAATAGACATTTTCTTTTGGGAGAAACACTTAAGAAATTATATGAAAAAATTTTAAACTTTCTCTGTTACTTTGTTCTTCTGTAATGCAGGGTGTTTTCAGGATTGTCAAAATACTATGCACATACTCTGCTGTAGTGAAGAAATCAGATCACTTAAATATTATTCCTTCTTTAATCCCATCTGAATTAGCTATATGTGTTCATTTAACATGTAATTTTTGTACCTGATTTTAACATTAAACAAAAGTCACATCTGTTTCTTGGGTTAGTAACTGTTGATTTGTTCCTTGGGAAATATTCTATTCCACAGTTTTAATTCTTATCAGTTTTCTGCCCCTTCCTCTTTACTATGTGAAAAGTTAAAGACATAGAGGTTTTTTAAAGCTAAACTGATCTCTCTTAGTGAAAAAAAAAATGTAACTGTTTATCTTTCTGTGCATCATGAGGAATATTTTTTTAAAAAGAGTCTTAAAGAACTGCCAGGCATCTTGCAGTAGCTGCGCCCTCTGGTAGATCATGTTGGCACAACAAAGCAGCCTCCCACATGGCCCAGCAACAACAAATTGTGTGTTAATAGGGAGAAGAATGCAAACACCTTAAGGGATTGCATTTAAGATGTGGTTCTTATAATGGCATTAACAAATATTTAGGAATTATGGATTATAGAGTTTAATGAGACCCAGGGAAGCTTTATAGTGCTTTCGATTTCTTGCCTCAATGTTTTATGTATTATGGATCTCAAGTACTCAAAACTTGTTCTGTATCTGATTGTAGGTGATAGGATCTAACTTTTCCCTTTCTAATATTTTTTCTGAAGGTTTTTGGAGAAGTGAGGAGAAAAAAATGATTATGAATTCTTAATTGTCAGGCAGGAACAAGCCATGACAGCATTTCTACCTGTGACCCTCCTTGGATTGAATCTTTTTAGGATGTCCCTTATGCAATACAAATTTTGGCTTTGGAGTATCTTCTAGAAAACATTCTATAAGAAAGTCCATTTTCATTTATTTCCCCTTTAATGCCTCCAGCTGTCCCTGGAAGGGAAACTGCTTCACAGTTTCACCTCACTGATCTAGTCCATTTGCCTCTTCCCCACTCTTCCTTTCCTTCCCTGCTGTGGAAGCCTGTGTGGGATTGTTTGCTAGAGTACATTTCCTACTACCTTTATTGTTTGTGTTGTGTGTACAGCAGTATGATTTCCGTCATTTCTTAGGAAGAATATTCTACAGTATTTCTTGTAACTAGAAGGCTCTTCTTCCTAGCTCATGACAGAAATTTAAATTTATCACTTTATCGCATAGTTTTAGAACAGTTATCTTTCCTTTATACTTGAATATACTTTTGATTCTACTTTTCAAATGCAAATTAATAATTATGCTATTTTGGGTCATTATGTAACCCAAATATATATTTATTTCCATACATCTTTCCTATAGCCCTTAGTACTTTTTTATTTTAGATTCTCTTGTTTTTTGTAATAGTAATATTTAAGAACATTGGCAATTTTTCACTTGAATTGCAGTGATAAAAATCTTTAAGAGCACAAACTCATCCAAAAATGTTGTAATAATCTGTGTTTTGGAAGCATATGTTTCTTGCATGTTTTTTGGGGGGTGAGTGGTTGGCAGGGGACAGTGGTTTGCACTGGACTGATTCATTGCCTGTCGATTGTCAGGATGGCTAGAGAAACAAGGACAAAAGAGAATACAAGAGCGTTTTTCTCGGGCAACTTTATTGGTTGTTATCATATATAATGTTCCTAACAATTGTAATTCTAGGCATTAAGTATGTTAAATCAGGACTAATACTTAAGAAAAGCTTGGAATTTTAAGAAAAAAAGAAAAGTATTTATGGAAAAACTGATCAATTCCTCCTTTTAAAAGTACCTGTTGATCAGCTCCGAATCTTTCCTCTTTTTTACCGCATTCTGTGTGTGTCTCCTGTCTGTTTCTCTTACACACACACACATCTCTCCCAGTAGCAAAGAAAAATTTCTAATGAGTAATACTTATGAAATGGAGAGAAGCAATTATATAACAATTTAAAAATAAATAGTCTGGATTTTACTTGCTTGAGAAATAGATTGATGAGTGGAAGAAAAAACATAGTTTTTGTATTTGAGTATATTTGGCTCTCCTAATTTTATGACATATTTCTAAAATAAATTATAATGTTAGTACTCTTAGAATATTCCCTTTGACAAAAGCTTTCTAAGTATGTTTATCTGCTCCTTGGGAAGAATTTCTGGGAGCAGAAATAACTATACCTCACCCTGCCTTTCAGATAAATGAGTGTTCCACTTCCTACTCCAGGCAAGTGAAAACTTGAGTTTAATAGTAAAGGCTTGATCACTATACAAAGGGCAATAGCCACATTTCCTGCATGTTGTGACATGGAGTGACAAGGAATCTAAAAGCCTGTGCTGGGTTCATCCAATATCCTTTCCTGCTTTCCTTCCCCATGTTATGTGAACTTGGTATTAGAACAACATATCATCTAATTAAAGATCATCATTTTAAATCCAAAATTCAAAAAGGTAAAGGTTTCTATTTATAAAATAGGTCTTTTCTCTGAATAAGAATCCCTAATAGATTAATGTCATCAAACTGTGAAACTTTTGGGTGTTGGTCTTAATTTGTATTTTTCTGGTCTTTTTTCAGCTTGTATTGAAAATAGATGACATATTTGAATCTAAAAGAGGGAAGAAGAAGGTAAAGTTACATTCTTACACTGGAAAGGAATTACCTCCGACAAAAGGTAAGAATTGTTTTTCGTTCCAGCTATCCTGTAGCTGTCAGGATATGAGAGGAGAATCACCATATAACTTAATGTTTGATGTGTATTAAAAATTTTGGGGCCGGGCGTGGTGGCTCACACCTGTAATCCCAGCACTTTGGGAGGCCAAGGCGGGTGGATCACAAGGTCAGGAGATCGAGACTATCCTGGCTAAAACGGTGAAACCCTGTCTCTACTAAAAATACAAAAAATTAGCCAGGCGTGGTGGCGGGCGCCTGTAGTCCCAGCTACTCAAGAGGCTGAGGCAGGAGAATGGCGTGAACCCGGGAGGCCGAGCTTGCAGTGAGCTGAAATCGCACCACTGCACTCCAGTCTGGACGACAGAGCAAGACTCCATCTCAAAAAAAAAAAAAAAATTTGGTTTACTTTCCTGTTATCCCACTTAAGCATAAACTTCTTTAAGATAAGGGATTGTTTCTCAAATCCATTTTATTTTATTCTCTGCCAAGTAATAACTATTGGATGAACAAATAAATGAATGAAAAAATAATCATAAACCATTGAGACTAAATTTCATAGACAAATTGAATCACTATTACTTTGATTTATAATCATTTATCAGTATAGACTCTTTTGTTGTAGCTAGGAAAACATTAGTCTTTTTTTTTTTCTCTGAGGATATTTTAAAATTTTTCAATCTGTTCTTCAGACTGGATAATTTATATTGATTTATCTGGTTTTTTTTTTTTGACTGAAGGTATGTGGTACTCAACTTGTAGTCATTTAATAAGTATTATCCTGGCCAGGTGTGGTGGCTTACGCCTGTAATCCCAGCACTTGGGAGGCTGAGGCAGGCAGATCACAAGGTCAGGAGTTCGAGACCAGCCTGACCAACATAGAGAAACCTGTCTCTACTAAAAATACAAAAATTAGCTGGGCGTGGTGGCGTGTGCCCATAATCCCAGCTACTCAGGAGGCTGAGGCAGGAGAATCACTTGAACCCAGGAGGCAGAGGTTGCAGTGAGGTGAGATCGCGCCACTGCACTGCAGCCTGGGTGACAGAGTGAGACTCCATCTCAAAAAAGAAAAAAAATAATAAGTTTTATCCTTCAGATGCCTAGATAAAACTTACATTGTTAATTAAGAAATTGTCAACATTCATAATAAATCATTAGAACTTTCTTAAAAACTTACGCAAGATTCTTAACTTGGTTGTCTGGGGATATGGTTTGGCTGTGTCCCCACCCAAATCTCAACTTGAATCATATCTCCCAGAATTCCCATATGTTGTGGGAGGGACCCAGGGGGAAGTAATTGAATCATGGGGGATGGTCTTTCCCGTGCTATTCTCATGAGAGTGAATAAGTCTCACGAGAACTGATGGGTTTATCAGGGGTTTCTGCATTTGCTTCGTCTGATTTTCTCTTGCTGCCACCATGTAAGAAGTGCCTTTTGCCTCCCACCATGATTCTGAGGCCTCCCTAGCCATATGGAACTGTAAGTCGAATTCAGCCTCTTTTGCTTCCCAGTCTCACGTATGTCTTTTTTTTTGAGATGGAGTTTTGCTCTTGTTGCCAAGGCTGGAGTGCAATGGCATGATCTCGGCTCAGTGCAACCTTTATCTCCTGGGTTCAAGGGATTCCTTTGCCTCAGACTCCCAAGTAGCTGGGATTACAAGTGCCTGCCACCACACCCGGCTAATTTTTTGTATTTGTAGTAGAGACGGGGTTTCATCGTGTTGGCCAGGCTGATCTTGAACTCCTGACCTCAGGTGATCCACCAGCTCAGCCTCTCAAAGTGCTGGGATTACAGACATGAGCCACCATGCCCAGCCTTGGGTATGTCTTTATCAGCAGTGTGAAAATGGACTAATGCATCTGGCAAATATGTAGAATTTAGCAGTTTTTGTTTATAAGTTCCTTAGTGAGAAACACCAGCTAAGTCATAGCAGAGGAGAATGTTTCTTCTTTTTGCAGACTTCTAAAGACAGAATTTTCTTTTTTTTTTTTCTTTTGGATACAGAGTCTCACTCTGTCACCCAGGCTGGAGTGCAGTGGTGCAATTTCAGCTCACTGCAACCTCTGCCTTCTGGATTCAAGTGATTCTCCTGCCTCTTTCTCCTGAGAAGCTTGGGATTACAGGCACACGGCACCACACCCAGCTAATTTTTTGTATTTTTAGTTGAGATGGGATTTCACCATATTGGCCAGGCTGATCTTGAACTCCTGACCTCAAATGATCCACCTGCCTGGGCCTCCCAGAGTGCTAGGATTACAGGCATGAGCCACCATACCTGGCCAGAATTTTCTTTTTCTTTTTCTTTTCTTTTCTTTTGAGACAGTCTTGCTCTGTCACCCAGGCTGGAGTCCAGTAGTGCGATCTCGGCTCACTGCAAGCTCCGCCTCCCGGGTTCATGCCATTCTCCTGCCTCAGCCTCCCGAGTAGCTGGGATTACAGGTGCCCACCACCACACCCGGCTAATTTTTTGTATTTTTAGTAGAGACGGGGTTTCACCATGTTAGCCAGGATGGTCTCGATCTTCTGACCTCGTGATCCACCCGCCTCAGTCTCCCAAAGTGCTGGGATTACAGGCGTGAGCCACTGCGCCCGGCCCCCAGCCAGAATTTTCTTAATTACCCTTAAAAACCTATTTTATATTCTAACAACTTACTATATGAAAATAAAATCTTCTGGGTTACATCTTAAGTCTCTTTCCTGCTATGTACTGATTAAAATCAACTGGTCACTGTTTTTAACGTGAGTTTTCATAATTTGAGAGGCAATTACTAAAACATGTTTCAATCTTCTCTGGGGAAGAAATACTTTTGGTCATTGTTATTAATAGTAGCTACCATTTATGGAATGAAGTAATAGTTTCTTTACATATTTTATCTCATGTATAACGTATGACAACACTAGGAGGTAGGGACTATTATAATTTTACAAACAAAGAAGCTAAGACAGAGGAGGAAGCATAGATTTGAATCAAGGAGCATGGCTCCACATAGCTTATCTTTTTCTATCATCAACGGTTAACTTTCTCATAAATCTTGATTTTTAGCAGTTTAATCATCTCTTTTCCGTGTATTTTTTATCTTCAACAATGGTATTGTCAAAGGTATTTTTGTGTGTTATTTAAAACTAGACATAGAAAATGAAAACTCGTGCCAGGTATTGTGCTGCATCCTTTCTGATGCATTATTATTAATTTTCTAAATAACTCTGTGGCAGATAGTATTTTCATTATTTTACAGATAAGGAAATAAATTACACATTGCAAATCACATAAATTATCATATACTGGGGCCAGGACAAGTGCTTGTAAAACATTAACATTTTCTCAGATTAACAGCAGTCTATTCATAACTACTCTCTTCAGGTTTTTTTTTTTTTGAGACGGAGTCTTGCTCTGTTGCCCAGGCTGGGGTGCAGTTGTGCGATCTCGGCTCACTGCAACCTCTGCTTCCTGGGTTTAAGCAATTCTCCTGCCTCAGCCTCCCGAGTAGCTGTGATTACAGGCGTGTGTCACCACGCCCAGCTAATTTTTGTATTTTTTTTAGAAGAGACAAGGTTTCACCACGTTGGCCAGGATGGTCTCAATCTCTTGACCTCGTGATCCACCCGCCTCGGCCTCCCAAAGTACTGGGATTACAGGCATGAGCCACTGCGCCCAGGTATTTCTAAGTAGGTTATTACCAAGCCCTTAATTTATTTGTATGTCTATGCCTTATGGATTAGGAACATTGTAGTAAATTTGGTTCTAAGACAAGTTTTTGAAGAGCCAAAAATTTGTTTTAACTGTTTTAATGTTGAAAAGAAAAAAAAAATCCTCCAACTTCTAGCCAACTTCTGCTGTCCAAAACAAAAGTAAAGAAAAAAGGAGCAGCCTCTACATTGTAACACTTCACTTGTGGCTCAAATAAAATAAGCATTTACCTTTACCTACCTCTGTGACCAACTCCTCCAATGCACCAGAGGAATTTCTCTCATGCCTGACGATCTCCTGGCTTTGTCATCACAGTTCTCAGATTTTCATTTTCCTCCTTAAGCTTTTGTCTGTATATCAACAATGCCTAATACAATAGATAATTATATTTACCTACTGTGAAGTCCCTGCTAGAGTTTACTGAATATATTCCAACCTAAATATTTCTTCAGTTTTTTTTTTTTTTTTCAAGACAGAGTCTCACTCTGTCACACAGGCTGGGGTGCAATGATGCAAACATGGCTCACTGCAGCCTCAACCTCCTGGGTTCAAGCGATCCTCCCACCAGAGCCTCCTGAGTAGCTGGGACCACAGGCTCATGCCCACCACACCTGGCTAATTTTTAATTTTTCGTAGAGACAAAATCTCACCATGTTGCCAGGCTGGTCTTGAATTCCTGGGCTCAAGCGATCCTTCTGCCTTGGCCTCCGAAAATGCTGGGATTATAGGTATGAGCCACCATACCTGGCCCTAAATATTTCTTAACTTTCAGTTTTCAGGTATTACAAAATGACTTATCAGCCTTCTTCAATTCTGTCATTATAATTTTGTGTGTTGAAGTCTCATATTAAAAGAGGACAATCTGGTACTTTTTCGATCCCTGTGGATTCTCAGTAGATTTTTCTCTTGGCTCATAATCCCACTAACCTTCATTCATTGTCTTAGAATACACATCATCAAAACCCATAGATGTGAATATATTAAGCCAATTAAGTGATCTTTTATAAGGGCTTTTCCAGTTATATTGCCTTTTCTCCCTTTCTTCTCTCTTTTCTTTCTTTCCAAACACTTCCTAAGTTTCTAAGAGATACCTGGTACTAAGACTATAGATAGGACCAGGAGCTCACAGTGTTTATTTCTTTCTCTGAATAATATTTTATAGTCACACTATACTTTTTGTCATGGTGGTTAATTTTGAGTTATAAAACATATGTAATATGCAATATTTAAATAAGCATTTTTTCTGTAACATCTCTTATGTGTCTTTCCCACCTATCTTAAGAATAGGCAGCATTTATTTTAATGTTCTCTTATTCCTTATTATAAAATGAAAAGCCAGAGTTTTCCAAACCTCCTCCTTGCACACCTAGAAAATTTCATGTGCACGCAAATACATTTTCTACACAAATACTCTTACACTATTCAGACTTTGTATGCCTGCCTTTTTAAAAAAGCTTAATTAATGTACTTCAGAGCTCTTTCAGTATCAACACATAGAGATCCACATAGCTGTACTGTATTTCATTGCATAGATGTAAAATTTTATTTAGCTAGTAGACAGTTTAGTTGTTTCTAACCTTTTATTTAACCTGTGGATATTTAAAAGTGTGTGTGTCTACATAAAAATCTTCAAACAATGCTGCAAATGCATCTTTTACTTATATTTCTATATAAGACTATTTTTGTAGAATAAGTTCCTAGCAGTGAGCTTAATCAAAGAACATATGGATTTAAAATGTTGGCCAGGCATGGTGGCTCACACCTGTAACTCCAGCACTTTGGGAGGCTGAGGCGGGTGGATCACTTGACCCCAGGAGTTTGAGACTAGCCTGGGCAACATGACGAAACCCCGTCTCTACAAAAAATACAAAAATTAGCTGGGTGGCTGGGTGCGGTGGCTCATGCCTATAATCCCAGCACTTTGGGAGGCCAAGATGGGCAGATCACGAGGTCAGGAATTCAAGACCAGCCTGACCAACACGGTGAAACCCTGTCTCTACTAAAAATATAAAAATTAGCCCAGTGTGGCGGCACACGCCTGTAATCCCAGCTACTCAGGAGGCTGAGGCAGGAGAACTGCTTGAACCCTGGAGGTGGAGGTTGTAGTGAGCCGAGATTGTGCCACTGCACTCCAGCCTGGGCGACAGAGTGAGACTCTGTCTCAAAAAAAAAAAAAAAAATTAGCTGGGTGTGGTGGCACACGCCTGTAGTCCCAGCCTACTCTGGAAGCTGAGGTAGGGGGGATCAGTTGAGTCCGGGAGGCAGAGGTTGCAGTGAGCCAAGATTGTGCCACTGCACTGTAGCCTGTGCAGCAGAGTGAGACCCTGTCTCAAAAAAAAAAAAAAAAAATTTATAACTGCTGCCAAATTGTCCCACAAACAGATTGTAACAGCTTGTTTCTACAAACATCATTTGAAAATACCTCTTTCCCCATAATCTTCATCAATAAATACTATGCTTTATTAAAGCTTTTTATGGCAATATCATGGTTGAAAATGTATGTCTTGTTTATTGTTTTAATTTACATTTATTTCGTTATGAATTTGGGCAGTTTTCATGTTTATCAACAACTTATAAATCTTTTTCTATGAATTGCCTATTCCCACCCTTTATTCCTTTTTCTGTTGTGCTTTTTCTTCTTGATTTGTAACAGTTCTTTGAATATTAAGAAACTTAGCCTTGTGTCTGCAATGTGTTTACAAATATTTTCCCAGTTTATTGTTCACTTTTTGAGTTTAATACTGATTTTTAAATTAGATACAAGTTTATATAATCAAATTTCACTTATGACTTCTAGGCCTTATTTTTTCCCTTTCTTTGTATTTCTATTTTGCTTTAACTTTTCAAACTTAATCTAGAAATGTTTTATTTTAAAAGCTGCTTTGTGTGTGTGTGTGTGTGTGTGTGTGTGTGTGTGTGTGTTGCCTGTGCTCTCAGAATTATACAAAAACACTCCCTTGGGAAAACAAGATAGCCCCTTGTCCCCAAAATACTTAAAATCGGATTGGGGAAAGTAAGAATAGTTCAAAGCAGTATGAGTACTGTGAGAATTTGGAGTAAAGATCCATATGGACTAGAAGTAGTTTAGAGGCACTTAGAGGCACCATAGAAGAGGTAGGCTGACTTGGTAATATCTCTCTCCTAGTTCTCATGTTTTCCTGTTATTCTAAATTTATAGTCTGGTTGGTGTTTAGATTCTTGTTTAGCCCTGTTGGTGTTTGCCTTTGATACTCTATTTGGAATATACAAACAACTATGTGGATATAGAAATAGAATCCACTCTGAACTAGACTCTTAAAACTGGTCTGAAATGCAATTAGTTTCTAGAATTAGGGATGAGAGGGGAGCCGAGGAGTGAAGTAGGGTATGGGAAGAAGATGTAGTAGAGGAGTTTCCTCTTTGAGCTTTTTACTCTCTTTTGGTAACTATCCCAACTTGATACAACCAAGTGGTTTGGAGAAAGGCTCAGCAGCTTTATTATTCCTTACTCCAAGTCCCCAGGTTTGTGGGTTTACATTGTTCTCATCCTCATGTACTTCCTACTGTTGGACAATACAAATGGAAACTCCTTCTCTCTTTTCAGGTGAAACCAGTGGGAACGAAAGTGATGCCGAGTATCTGCCAAAGAGTGAGTGAGTCAATGGGGCTGCTCCCGTTGTTGTGATGATCATGGGTTAGGTGGAGTGGCACCTACCTTTGTGACTAAGCATGTTTTTTCCCACATGAAGTTCCATTTTGTAGATGATTTCCTTATTTTCAGAGCCTGTTGAGGTTTGGAGAATTAAACAGTCAGAATTAAACACTGTCAGATGTTTGACAGCATTTAAAGTCTCCCATAGTGGAGTGAGGCAAAACAGTATGGTTCTTATGATGGAATATTCTTAGGGGAGCGGCAGAGAGCTGCATGTCCAGACATATATGCAGTAGTTTCCTGGCAGCCAAAACAGAGTGTGTGAATCATCCTCTGAGCAGTAAATATCTGATTTTTTTTTTTTTTTTTTGAGACGGAGTCTCCCTCTGTCACTCAGGCTGGAGTGCAGTGGCGCAAGCTCGGCTCACTGCAACCTCTGCCTCCCGGGTTCAGGCAATTCTCCTGCCTCAGCCTCCTGAGTAGCTGGGATTATAGGCATGTGCCACCACGCCAAGCTAATTTTTGTATTTTTAGTAGAGATGGGGTTTCACCATATTGGTCAAGCTGGTCTCGAACTCCTGACCTCGTTGATCTGCCTGCCTTGGCCTCCCAAAGTGCTGGGATTACAGGCGTGAGCCACCGCACCCAGCCAAATGTCTGATTTTTTATAGCCACTCAAGTGTAATTATTTAAGTAACTTTGATATCTCTGACATTGAAAAAGGAAATATCTATTTGTTATTTATAGGCATTTATATTCCAGATTATTGTGCTGTTTACTTTCTAGTAGAATATAGAATGCACCATGCATTTCTGACTCTCTTTGTCCAAGCACTTCATGGTGCCTTCATCCTTCATCTAACGATGATGCTTTCTAGTTATCACAGCAAGTTATCTACTTCCTATTTAAGTGACTGTCATACTAAGCCATGGAAAAAGTAGAAGACATGCATTATCAAAGCTGAGTACAGGGCAGTTCCAGTTCCTAATCTGACACCCTAATTTTATGATTAATAGTCTTGTGCTCCCTCCACTGGCCTGAATTGCTTTAGGTGTTTGATTCTGTAGCCTGACTGAAGGTGAAATTTAATAATCATCAGGTTCAGCCTAGATGTGTGAAGATGACTAATTTAGGGCTGTTACTACTGAGAAACAGGACCTAAAATTTTCTTGACTTGAACTCAGCCCTTTGAGGTAAGTAAAGCTTTGACTAGAGCACTGAATGTACTGGATAATTCCGGGGAGCCATTCCAGGATGCATTTTTTAAAAATGCTCTTAATATTTTGATCTATAGTATAACTTCTTTTGGGACAGAATGCATTGTATCAAAAAGAAAGGAAAGACAATTAGAGGTTGAGTCTATCAGTGGCTCGGAATTATACATAAGCAAATCACTGGGACGTGTAGACTATTTTTTCTGCAAGTCCACAGTTTCCTTCAGTGGGGACCACCCCAGATTGCTCAAAATTTAGAGATAAATGAGAATAGAGGATAGATGCTATCCAGTTTTAATTGGTATTGCTATGACTGTTTAAATAGTATGCTTCCATAATTTTATTCTTTTAAGAAAGTCAGCTAATGGATGTCTTCTTCCACTTAATTTTTTTCTCTTGTGTGTAGCACCATTTACTGATACAAGTATATATTCATTGTTAGTAATATGTGGCAAGGAGAGAAGGGAACTGGACAGTTTCTTCAATGTGAGGAAAATTTTTATTTTAATTTATCAAACTCCCCCTTTCTGTACTTAGGACTGAATTATTTTATCAGATCTCTGCCCCCTGCCCCGTGCCACCTGGCACCCTGTGATTTCATGGCATTCCCAGCAGTAGCATCTGTTGTCAGTCTAGCGCTTTTTCGTGACATTTTCCATGTGTCCTGGTTTGATGCCATGAAAGATGGGATAGCATAGATTATTTGTTGGGACATACATAAGTATTGGTTGGGACATGGAATGTCAGTCCCACTGCTGGCCAGAAGTGGAGTGAGGCCCCTGCACACTTGTGAGGGTCTGCACTTCTTCCCCCTAGTATGTCACAGCCTTAACAGGTATGTCTATGTGGCAGATGCTGGTTATTCAACATTCATTCAGCAGTGACTGTGTGAAGATTAATCCTATGTGGGTCATGACCTCTGGATGCTGAAAGGAAGGTAGGGCTACAGAGAAAAAAACATTTCTCCATGATTTCATTACAGATCGCCATAAACGCTTAGCACAACTGCAACCGTCTTCCAAGAGGAATCCTCACTACCAGACCTTGGAGCGGGATCTTATTGAATTACAGGAGCAGCAGCTGTTTGAACTTTTTGTGGTGGTGTCTCTACAGAAGAAACCATCAGGAATAAGCTATATTCCCCAGGTCATACAACAATTCCCTGGCAAGGTAGGCACAAGGAGGCCAAGAGGCATTCAGGAATGTTCCTGTGTCTCTGTGTACATGTATTTCCTGTCCTCTTGGTTTTTGTTATCTCAACAAGTTTTTACCAATACTGTTCTTGTGGTAGGATCTGGTGGCTTTGAAAACATCTTATGTTAGGTATGAGCTGCAACCCAGCAAAACAAAGCAAAACAAAACAAGCTCATTTTCCTAGTTAGTTTTTTAAATTTTTGGCTCTGCCATTTAATAATCTTTAACAAGTTACAAAACCTTAGTTTTCTCATCCTTAAGGAGGGGAATAATAAATGTGACAGAATAGGGTAGTGGTTTAGAGCATGGACTCTGTGTGAAAGCTCTGCATTTCCCACTTACTAGTTCCGTGACTTTAAGCAGTTACTTTTCTTTTTCTTTCTTTTTTTTTTTTAGATGGAGTCTTGCTCTGTTGCCCAGGCTGGAGTGCAGTGGTGCAGTTTTGGCTCACTGCAACCCCTGCAACCTCCACCTCCCAGGTTCAAGCCTCTTGAGTAGCTGGGACTACAGGCGTGTGCCACCACACCCCGCTAATTTTTATGTTTTTAGTAGAGACAGGGTTTCACCATGTTGGCCAGGGTGATCTAGAACTCCTGACCTCAAGTGATCTGCCCACATCAGCCTCCCAAAGTGCTGGGATTACAGGCGTGAGCCACCACGTTGTGTCTTAGTTGTTTAATTTGTAAAATGGGGGTAATCACAATAGTATCTACCCCTCTGAGTCATAGTGAGGATTAAATAAGCTAATTTATATAAGGCACTTAGAACAGTGTCTGGCATATAGTAAGCTGAATATGATGTTATCCATTATCAGTAAGGATTTAGTGAGGTAATGTATATAGTGCTAATGCCATCCCTGGCACATAGTATGTACTCAATAAATGGTAGGTATTAATTTTTGGTAGCCATTATTATTAACAATAATATTTGGTTTCTCTACCTTTTTTTAAAAAATTGTTCATTCTTTTAATCAAATATTTTAAAAATACCTAATATTTGCCAGGATTAGATGATGGGAGTACTACTGAAAAAGATCTTCTTAGTCTCTGTTTCACAGAGCTTATTGAGCCTGTGAACCAGTTAAGCCCACAGACATGGTTGGGTTTCTTTTGCTTTGCATAGTGTTTGTGTAAAAGAACAACAATAATTTTTGTTGCCAACATTTAACAATCAAATTTCACATACAAATCTGTATTTCTGCCTTTTCCTGAGAAACTGGAAAGACTGCCAACACAGCCTGCATTCCTAAGTGTCAGGAATGGGTTGAAGCTTAATAAGGAGCAGGACTTCAGAGCAGGTGACCAGTGTAGTTACATAAGGCCCTCACTCAGAAGGGCCCTGCGTGTAGGGTTTAATGATCTGCAGTCACCATCTTGAAATGCTAAATAATTTTATCTTTGAATTTGTGTTTTGTAAATGAAGTCTGGTAGGAAAACTGGGCATGTGCCAAGGTCTTAAAGCCTGAGTTCATGCATGGTGTCACCTTCTGCTGCTTCCCTAGGATGAGTTCTCTTGTTGTCCTGTTCTCCACTGCCTGATTCCCTGGGCCCTAGTAAGTGCCCTTTCCACCCCTACTCAGTGACTACTGCCACTTTCTCCCCCTGGCTGGGCACAGGCATTGGGAGGGTTAGGATCAGACCAGCATTGCCCTGCAACATCTCCAGGCAAGGCATGGGGCAGCTTTCCCTGGCCTGGGCTGGTGGTGCCACTTGTGGGTGACTACTTGGGGATTGCTCAACTGCTGTGGGTTGGAATGGTGGCCCCCATGGGAAGGGGAGATGCCTGGCTTAACTTCCCAACCCCTAGTCGAAACACAGAGTCTCAATTCTGCAGCTACCCAGAGAGGAAACCCAGCACCTTGTGGGCCACTTGTGTACCGGATTGCAGACTGCAGCACCTGGGTGTCTGGGAGAGTCTACAGTCATCCCCCAGGATCCTCATGTCTGAGGGAGTGTGACATTAAATAGCAAATAAAAACTCCATTACAGAGGCCACAGAAGAAAAAAGATGTTTTATATTTAATTTGTTCTGCTTTTTGAACAAGGGGCTCCACATTTTCATTTTGCATTATGCTATCTGAATTATGTAGTTTTCCTTAGTAAGGAGTGATCCCTTTAATAGGGACATTTAGTCACTCTCCTGCTTATTACTTGGACGACTTCTTTCATTTCAGTTATCTGCTTGGCCACTTTAGGACTGTTGGGTTTATAACCCTGAGTTACATGTTTCACTAAAAAAGCTGGTGAAGTACAACTGTACTGGAATCTAAGAGACATTTCCTGCATGGATTCTCATTTTCAAAAAGTCCTCAAAAATATCCCTGCAGTAAATAATCAGTAAGTTTAATTTCTTATAAAATTTCTCAATGTAGCCTGAAAGTACAATGTCACAGCACTGTTAAGTGACCCAGAATGGCTACATAGTTTGTTTTTTTTTAAGAAATTAAAGGAGCTGTGCACAGTGGCACATAATTGTAATCCCAGCTAGTTGGCCAGCTGAGACACGAGGATCACTGGAGCACAGGAGTTTGAGGCCAGCCTGGGCAACATGGCAAGACCTCCTTCTCAACAACAACAAAAAAGAAATTAAAAGGGAGATCATTGTTATTAGTTATCTGAAGGCAATATGGTAATTAGACTTAAGGGCTTGTTTTTATAGAGGACAGGTCATACTAATTTCTAAATGTCTGGTTTACTGAAATTTAGACTGTCATATAAGTACAGTACCAGATTTATGCAAAAGGATCTTCTATGCTAAAATTTTACAAGAAGTTCCAAACCAGCAATTAGGTAGCAAAGATTCTATGCTAAAGGAAATGATTATATATGGGGTGGATTCTCAAAATAGTATCTTTTATGTTTTCTTTTTTTGAGACAGGTTTCTCTCTGTCACCCAGGCTCGAGTACAAGGCGCAATCATGCCTCACTGCAGCCTCGTCCTCCCAGGCTCAAGAAATCCTCTCACTTCTCAGCCTCCTGAGTAGCTGGGACTACAGGCATGTGCCACCACACCCAGCTAACTTTTCTATTTTTTGTAGAGATGGGGTTTCACCATGTTGCCCAGGCTGGTCTCCAACTCCTGGGCTCAAGTGATGCGCCCACCTTGGGCTCCCAAAGTGCTGGGATTACAGGCCAGTGCATCTGGCCGTATCTTTTCTAAATAACATTCATCTACCATTTCAAAGCTTCTTTGATTATTGTTTGGAAAGTGTCTTGAGCCGACTAGGTTTTTGTTCTCAGTACATTGAAGAATGGATTTTTATCTTATACCCCACGGTTCATAAAAATACTGGGTTCCCATTTAGTGTGTGAATCCTGAATTAAGATTTTACCTCTTGATAGGAAACTTTTCACTAATCTCTCTTACAGTAGATGCTGAGATATCCACAGATACCATTTCTAAGTAAAAACAGGATTCTTTTTTCTTAGTAACTCTGTTCTCAGTGCATCCTCAGTGATTTCCAGAATTGACTTTTTAATTTAGTTAAGCAGTACAAAACCATGCTGAGGCTTATCAGCAACTACTCAGGCTTATCAGAGACCTTTTTTCCTGAGACAAGGCTGAGTTTTTTATTTCTATTCCCCACTTACATAGTATAATTTAAGTCACCTATGGTGTTATCTTTTTCAGGATGATCATGGCTATAAGCAGTCCAAAGACATGGAAGAGAGACTTAAAGTTATTCCAAAATTTTGTTTTCCTGATTCAAAGGACTGGATGCCAACCTCAGAACTCAAGAGGTAAATGGGCTAATTTATCTGATTTCTATTCATTAGACCTGCAAAAATAAATCAGAGTATTTGAGAAATGGGTACAGCCATTAGTGAAGCTATGTGAATACTGTGGCAAGTCAAGGATGTGGTAGGAGGAAAGGAAGAAGCAGAACTAGAACATTTCCTATGTGGGGCTTAAAAAAATAAAAACGTGGAATAATTTCAGTGTCAAAAGGAAAACAAATTTGAGAGTCTCTTCAGTTTGCCAGTTCTACAAAAAAAAAAAAAAGTTCTATTTTACATACAATCAGAAATGCTCCCAAGTGGACAGAAAATGAAAAAAGACTTGGATTTTGAGACTCAACCTAGAAACAGAGATAAAACAGAGCAGTGTCTTCATCTTTATCTTCTTTCTTCTTCAAATTAACAGAATAATCCACAGCCCAGCTTTTATGTTCCTCTGTGGAACCTGTACAAAGGGAGGCTCCAGTTTGGGAAGTGTAGTATATTAAGAAAGGAAGTTATTAAAGGATTTCTTCCAGGTATCTAGAGGAAATTACTACTTTTAATTAATAAACTATCATAATCTCTGAATTCTGCTTGTAAATATTAATAGATGCCTGCTTTGTTCAAAACTATAATTATTGATGATGCCATTTAGTTTGAAAAGCTTTATTCATTGAACCGTATCACATGGTAATGACCTTCTGGATAATAGCCTCAGCTGTTGCTTAAATATCTCTGCACTTCAACTTCGTGTTGCTTCCAGACTAAGCTACTATCTCTCATAAGCAGTTTAGCCTGATTGACACTCTCATCTCTCAGCCATCACTGTTGATGCTCTTGTGTTGTCAGTTGCACTGCTACCTTTATAAACAGCAGCTTTCATAGTGGCCTGGCTGCTCTGTGGCTGGCTTTTCCCCACAACAAGTTATATATGTTTATTCTAGACTATTTGGGAAACACAGAAGAGTAAATAAAAAGCAGAAATTACAGATCACTGGCAGTCTGGTTACTCAAAAGTAATCACTGTAAATATTTTGTCATATTCCCTTCCAATCTTTATTTTTAGCCAAATACAGACATGTATATATTGTTCAAGTTTGGATTTAGGCCAGGTGCAGTGGCTCACACCTGTAATCCTAGCACTTTGAGGCTAAGGTGGGAGGATCATTTGAGGCCAGGTTTGAGACCATCCTGGGCAACATAGCAAGTCCCTGTCTCTACAAAAAATACCAAAAGAACTAGCCAGACACGGTGGTGTGCAGTAGCTACTCGGGAGGCTGAGGCAGGAGGATCACTTGAGCCCAGGAGTTCAAGGTTGCAGTGAGCTATGATTGTGCCACAGTACTCCAGCCTGGGCAACAGAGCAAGACCCTGTCCAAAAATAATAATAATAATAATAAAAGGAAGGAAGGAAGGGAGGGAGGGAGGAAAGAAGGTAGATAATAAATATGTCTTCAGAAAATTAAGTTCTGTTCAGTGAGACCCAGTCTCTTAAAAAAAAAAAAAATTGGACTTGGCCAGGTGCTGTGGCTCACGCCTGTAATCCCAGGCCAAGGCGGGTGGATCACCTGAGGTCAGGAGTTCGAGACCAGCCTGGCCAACATAGTTAAACCCCGTCTCTACTAAAAATAAAAAATCAGCTGGGTGTGATGGCACATGCCTGTAGTCCCACTACTCGGGAGGCTGAGGCAGGAGCATTGCTTGAACCCAGGAGGCGGAGGTTGCAGTGAGCAGAGATTGCGCCACTGCACTCCAGCCTGGGCGACAGAGTGAGACTCCGTCTCAGAAAAAAAAAAAAAATGGACTTATTTGATTATTGAGTCTGAGTTTCTTTCTTGGGTATATTTAGGTTTTCATTTTGTAAATTATCAACACATATCTTTTGCCCATGTTTCTAATGAGTTGATATTTTTCTTAATAATTTTTACATATTAAGGATATAATCCTTTGCCTATTGCTGCTCTATACAGCCTCTCAGAACTAAAGAGAAGAATTTGGAACTGAGAAATAACGTATCAAAAGTCTTTGTAGCTTACCTATCTGTTTGACTAAATTGGGCATTCAACAAAAGGAAAATAAGGCCAGGCACAGTGGCTCATGTCTATAATCCCAGCACTTTGGGAGGCTGAGACAGAAGGATTATTTGAACGCAGGTGTTTAAGACCAGCCCTGTCAAGATAGTGAGACCTTATCTCTACACAAAATTAAAAGATTAGTGGGGCATGGTGGCACACATCTGTAGTTCCAGCTACTTGGGAGGCTGAGGTGGGAGGATCACTTGAGCCCCAGGAGGTCAAGGCTGCAGTGAGATCTGTTTGCACCACTGCACTCCAGCCTGGGCAACAGAGTGAGACTGTCTTAAAAAATAAAAATAAAATTTAAATGAAAATAACCCGATTAATACCTAGAGTGGATGAATAAGAAAACAAAAGGAACCAACATCAACAGCTTATCTCATACCTATTCTCTCACTCCAGTACAAGGCAAGATATTCTTAAGGCCTGGGCATTCCTTAGGAGGAGTGTAACTTGCAATGAATGTAATATTATGCCTCCTCTTAGATCACTTGAAAACCTGGACTCTAGTTTTCAATTGTTTTTTCCATGGAGAATGCCGTAAGTGGTTGTTTGGATCCTAACTAGATCACAAAATGACTACTGTTGGACTCTAGTTTTCAATTGTTTGTTCCATGGAGAATGCCATAAGTAATTGTTTGGATCCTAAACTAACTATTGGCTCTTTTTTCAGTGAAACATTCTCCTTTGTCTTGACTGGTGAAGATGGAAGCCGGTGGTTTGGTTACTGTAAGAAGCTCTTGGTAAGTATCAGATTTGTGTTACAGACAGGGTTGGTCAAGGAATAATTGAGTCAGAGTAGGAACTTCAGAAACACTATCTCTAGATGAGTTTGAGGGATGCTCAATGATCTGTGTATTAAGGAAGCTGTATTAGCTTTAAACAGCAAGAGGAAGGTGGGGGTTAACCATGGAGTGTTCTAGAAGAGAAGGGGTATGGATTTATTTTATTTGTTTATAATAGAGGAAGTAACTGATGACATAGTGGCTGAATCTCAGTCTGGATATATTTGAAATAGAGTACAATGAGCTACTCGAAGGAGCTCTGAGTTACTCACCAACCATATTAGGGCTTTTTTCTTGCTTGGGTGGCTTCACTAAACCTAGAATAAAACATGCTATCATTTTTAGCACTTTTCACATCTTTCAGTGTTCACTAAAGATGAGAGCCTTGGTTACTGCTCCGTACTAAAGAGTAGTAAAAGATAATTAATAGTCCAAATTAGTATTAATAAAAATGTATGCGGCTTGATTTTTTTGTTGTTGTTGTTTTTATCTTTTAGCCAGTAGGCAAAGGAAAGCGACTCCCTGAGGTATACTGCATGGTTAGTCGCCTAGGCTGCTTCAATCTTTTTTCAAAGGTGAGTGGAGAATGAGCTGTATGAAAAATGGTGTCCTTTTTGAGCTCTTAATATTAAGTGGCATAGAGTTTAACATGTTACTTCAGAAAGGTTCCCTATTAGTAAACTAGGAACCACGTGCCTGAAGGCTTAAACTTACATCTCTAATCCATTTGCTCTTGCTATATCATCTTCATTTTGGTTTGCTAGAACTTTCAGCTTAAGGGAGAACATAGTCCAAAGCTTATCTTGTCTCGTGTCTTTCTTAGACCAAATTGCAGGATATCATTGTCACTGTCACCTTCTTTGCCCCTCCCTTAGTGAGATGAAAAGGGGCTTCTCCTTTAAAAATAAGTTGATTTATGTTAGTAACTTTTCTTCAGGGTATAATGATACCTCCCAAGAGATATGATGCTTATTTAACTTTTATTGATTGCAGAAGCTTATCTGTCTTAAATTTTATTTGGGTTATTTTAAAGTTTGTACACCAGGTTTGGCAGTTCCTGTAATGGCATTCTTTTATATTTTTTAACTTAGTCCATAATAAAATAACACTTTGCGTATATAGATTCTGGATGAAGTAGAGAAGAGAAGAGAAATGTCTCCAGCCCTTGTTTACCCATTCATGCGAAGTGTCATGGAAGCTCCTTTCCCAGCTCCTGGACGCACCATCACAGTTAAGAGTTACCTCCCTGGGGCTGGAGATGAGGTAAGTTAGCTCATTTTGAAAAGATTTGATAGCACTAAAAAGCAGGACTTACACTAGTAGGCAGTTTCCAGAGCCCAAGGGGATAGATTTCCCTTTTCCATAAACTGTAAAGAATATGTTTTATTTCCATAAAGCACTGGAGAAATATCCAGTTGATCTGTGACATAGTTCTTCCTAGACCCAGGACCCAGAGATTTTCTACCATACATAGACTGAGTCCCTTTGTAATGACAATTTCATGTGATAAATGAAGACTGTATATACTATTGTCAGAAGGAATACAGGATCTTGATTTACAGCACAAAAATAAGCTGTTGGGTCCTGGCATTAGTATAGGAAGCTTCACAGACCCCGTGTAGCAGACCTTTCTTGAATTTAACTTATATAAGAATAACAGGATCCATAGCGTTGGCACTAGGGATTGTTTTCCAACATTAGCTCACCTGATTCAACTTCTTGCATTTCAGTCCATTGAACTCTGCCGACCACTAGATTCCCGATTGGAACATGTTGATTTTAAATGTCTCTTTAAGTGCCTGAGTGTGTGTCATCTCATCCGGGTCTGTGCCTCTCTCCTTTTGGAGCGTAGGGTAATCTTTGTTGCCAACAGCCTAAGGTAAGAAATAAGTGAAATATGTTACTTCACACTGGTGTTTTATTTGTTCCAAATTTTAAAATTGGGGCATTTTTTTTTATTTTACTATTATACTTTAAGTTCTAGGGTACATGTGCACAACGTGCAGGTTCATTACATATGTATACATGTGCCATGTTGGTGTGCTGCACCCATTAACTCGTCATTTACATTAGGTATTTCTCCTAATGCTAGCCCTCCCCCCATCCCCCCACCCCACGACAGGCCCCGGTGTGTGATGTTCCCTACCCTGTGTCCAAGTGTTCTCATTGTTCAATTCCCACCTATGAGTGAGAACAAAAATTTGGGCATATTTTTGAAATGTAGGATCAGTCTCTCAGTTATCTAGTGGTATATAGTGGCATGGATAATTTTAAATGGTAAATCATCAAAAAGCCACTTGCGTTAGGCTATACCAATGACTTTTGTGGGTTGTAATAAATTTCCCTTTTAAATGCATTTTGCTTACCCTATTGTCAAAAGTTGGTAATACTTTTCTAAGTACACTAATTTTTCGCATGAGAAATTGTGGAAATGAGCTGGATTAAGATTGAACATTTTCAGTAAAGTAAGTTTAAATTTTAAGTAAAATGTTAAAAAATTAATGACTGTTTGCATAGTTTTTAATCTATGATCACTAACCAGCATCAATTTTTAATTCTTTAACATAATAACTGAAATGTCCTCCTTATGTTACTCTATATATGACACCATTTGTTTTCTCCTCTGGCTAGCACCCTGTCAAAATGTGGCCATGCTGTGGTAGCTACACTGTATCCGTTCACCTGGCAGCATACCTATATCCCAGTCCTGCCAGCATCTATGATTGACATCGTGTGCTCACCTACACCATTCCTTATTGGAATCCTGTCTTGCTCCTTACCACAGCTCCAGGACCTACCCATTGAAGAGGTGAGATAGAAGAATGGAACCTAATATTGGAGCATTGAGAAGTAAAAATAAGTGATCTTAAGAGTGGTGGAATTGTTATTAATTTAGTTATTACTATTTTATGCTATTTATAATATTTCTATTAAATTATTATAATATTGCTGTTTATAATACTTCTAGTATTAAGATGGGAAAATTCGATAGTACACATAAATCCAAAGCTGTATCTTATTTACAGTAGTAACCTTGGGCTCATTCTTGTGTTATTCTGAAGGGTACACTACTCTGGATTAACTTTAAAAATTATTTCAAGGCCGGGCATGGTGGCTTATGCCTGTAATCCCAGCACTTTGGGAGGCTGAGGCAGGTGGATCACTTGAAGTCAAGGAGTTTGAAACCAGCCTGGCCAACATGGTAAAACTCCATCTCTACTAAAAAGACAAAAATTAGCGAGGCATGGTGGTACATGCCTGTAATCCCAGCTACTTGGGAGGCTGAGGCAGGAGAATTGCTTGAATCTGGGAGGTGGAGGTTGCAGTGAGCCGAGATCATGCCACTGCACTCCAACCTGGGCGACAGAGGGAGACGCTGTCTCAAAACAAAAACCCAAAAAACCTTATTTCAAATATAACACACATATAGATAAGTGGTTAAAGCAAAATGTACAGATACATAATGAGCATTAGAATGGAATGGAAATATTACCACAATGGGATCAGTGCCAGCCCCCTAGAAGACCCCATCATGCCTCTTTCTGTTTCCATCCCCATCCCCCACCAAAGGTACTCATTATCTTGACTTTTATGGTATTCATTTACTTGTTTTTGCTTTATAGTTTTACCCCTTGGCATTCCTCCCTAAGCAATGTAATTCAGCTTTGTCTGGTTTTAAGCTTGATATAAATAGATTCATATGGTATATATATTTTTGCCTGGCTTCTTTTTCTCAACATTATATCTGTAAGATTAATCTATGTTGATGAGGTCAACAATAGTCTGATCATTCTAATTGTATATAGGATTCCATTGTGTGAATGTACCACAATTTTCTTATCCATTCTACAGTTGAACATTTGAGTTGTTTCCAGTTTGAGGTTGTTATGAATAATGTTGCTATAAATATACATGACCCTCAGTGCATACACACATGCAGTTCAATGGGTATATACTTGGAAATTGAATTGCTGAGTCATAGGGTAAACATATCTCCAACTTTAATAAATAAAGTTAAATTGTTTTCCAAAGTAGTTGTGCCAATTTAAATTCCCTTCAACAGTGTATGAGAGTTCCTGTTGCTCCACGTCTTCACCATCACTTTTTATCATCAGTTGTATAATTTAGCCTATCTGGTGGGTGCGTAGTGTTATTCATATTGTGGTTTAATTTGCATTCCTTGATTCCTGTTGAGGTTGAGCATCCTTCTATTTATTGGTCTCTTGAATATCATCTTTTATAAAAATCTTTGTCTCTTTCCACTACATTGTTTACTCTCTTACTGTTTTGTTTCGTTTTTGAGATGGAGTCTCAATCTGTTGCCCAGGCTGGAGTGCAGTGGCGTGATCTCAGCTCACTGCAACTTCTGCCTCCCAGGTTCAAGCAATTATCGTGCCTCAGCCTCCCAAGTAGCTGGGACTACAGGTGCACACCACCATGCCCAGCTAATTTTTTGTATTTTTAGTAGAGACGGGGTTTCACGATGTTGGCCAGGCTGGTCTCAAACTACTGACCTCAAGTGATCTGCCTTCTTCGGCCTCCCAAAGTGCTGGGATTACAGGTGTGAGCCACTGCACCCAGCCCCTACTCTCTTATTGTTCAAGATGCCTTTTTTTCCTTTTCTTCTCTTTTCTTTTTGAGATGAAGTCTCACTCTTGTCCCCCAGGCTGGAGTGCAGTGGTGTGATCTCGGCTCACTGCAACCTCCGCCTCCTGGATTCAAGCGATTCTCCTGTCTCAGCCTCCCAGGTAGCTGGGATTACAGGTGCCTGCTACCACGCCCGGCTAATTTTTGTATTTTTAGTAGAGACGGGGTTTCACCATGTTGGCCAGGCTGGTCTTGAACTCCTGATCCCAGGTGATCCGCCCGCCTCAGCCTCCCAAAGTGCTGGGATTACTGGAGTGAGCCACTGCGCCTGGCGTTAACATGTCTTTTTATATTCTGGGTACTGGCCCCTTTGTCTGTGGCTTGCCTTTTCATTTTCAAAAATGATGTTTTTTAATGCACAGAAATTCTTAATTTTAATGTGGTTAAAATTATCAATCTTTTTCGTTATAGATGGTGTTTTTAGTGAGCTGCTTAAGTTACTTTATATTAACTTCATGAAAATATCCTCCTATATCATCTCTTGGGCCTTTCATTATTTTGCCTTTAACTTTTGATTATGAATCCTCCTGGAACTTGATTTTTGTGTGTATAATGTGAAGTAGGGGTTGCTTCATTTGTTTTTATATGGATAACCGTCTGTGTCGATACCACTTACTGAAAAGACTGTTCCCCATTACTCCGCTGCCTTGTCCTTCTTTTAAAAAATAAAAAATTTAAAAAAAAACTTTTTATTTTGGAAACTTTAAACATATGTAAAAGTAAACAGAAGAGTGAAATGAATCCTTGTGTACCAGTCACCCCACTTCAGTACTTATCAAGTCATGGCCTGTCTTTACTCTTACCCATTCCTCTTTCCCATAATATTTTGAAGGATATCCTGACACAATTTCATCTCTAAATATTACAATGTGAATCTCTATAACATAAGGGCATATTTAAACATAAACTCAATACCATTATCACACCTAAAATATCCAACAATTCCTTGATATCAGCAAAATCCAGTGTTTAAATCTCTAGTTGTCTCATAAACTTTTAATAATTTGTTTAAATCAGGTTCCAAACAGAGTCCACACATTGTACTTATTTATTTATTCATTTATTTGTTTATTTAGAGACAGGGTCTCACTCTGTCACCCAGGCTGGAGTGCATTGGCGCAATCACAGTCACTGCAGCCTTGACCTCCCAGACTCAAATGATCCTCTCAGATCAGCCTCCCGAGTAGCTGGGACTACAGGTGTGTACTACACGCCCAGCTAAATGTGTAGAGACAGGGTCTCACTGTGTTGCCAGGGCTGGTCTCCAACTCCTGGGCTGAAGAGATCCTCCTGCCTCGGCTTTCCAAAGTGCTGGGATTACAGGTGTGAGCCACCGTGCCTGGCCCCACACACTGTATTTAGTTGACATATTTTTAGTCTCTTTTAATCTATAGGTGTGCATGTCATCATTCTTTTACTTGCAATTTATTTTTTGTTGTGTTGATTGGCTAACTTTTAAATGGGCTGAAACTTTGAGTAAATTTTGTTTAAAACTATTCTCATTGCCTGTATTTGTCTGTGAATGTCTCTGGTTGAACTTGCCTGGCTCCTTTATTTCATAGGTGCTGATAGTTGATCTCTGTGCAGACAAGTTCTTACAGGAGGTGAGTGCCAAAGGAGGTAATTACTTATGTTTTAGGATAAATGTCTACTGTAGATAATTGGACAGACAATATGTGAAAGTACTTAGAGAATATGACTCAGGCAAAACTTTTAGTTCCTACACATACTTGAATTGACACCATGGCCAATCATGCAAGATTGACCTGAAAAATTTGGCTTCAGTTTATAGCTGCCTATCCCAAAGGAGGAAGGAGGAAACATAAATGTCTCATTCTCAAAAGAGGTAAAACCACCCTTCAACTCCAGGTGGGTCGACACATAAGCCTCTAATTTAATTACATTTTAAAAGCATTTATTAAGCACTGATTATTTCTTTTTTTTTTTTTTTTTGAGATGGAGTCTCGCTCTGTCGCCCAGGCTGGAGTGCAGTGGCGCAATCTCGGCTCACTGCAAGCTCCGCCGCCTCCTGGGTTCACGCCATTCTCCTGCCTCAGCCTCCCGAGTAGCTGGGACTACAGGTGCCTGTCACCACACCCGGCTAATTTTTTGTATTTTTAGTAGAGACAGGGTTTCACCGTGTTAGCCAGGATGGTCTCGATCTCCTGACCTCGTGATCCGCCCGCCTCTGCCTCCCAAAGTGCTGGGATTACAGGCGTGAGCCACCATGCCCGGCCAAGCACTGATTATTTCTAGATATTCTGTTAGAATGTAAAAATGAGTAAGACACAGTTTGAACCCTCAGGTCTTACAGTCTAATGGGGAGAAACAGACACACATAAAGTTTTAGAAATTGTATAATAGAAATTTGTACAAGGTACAGTGGGAGCAAAAATGAAGTGACCATTTATTCTGAATATTGAAGTGGAAAGGAAGAGTTCATAAAGCCTCCTCAGAGCAGCCCTCCGCATATAACCTGTATGTAGGAGTGTGAGCTCTGAAACACAGGGTGAAAAGAAGAGTGTTTCCCAGGACATTTTCAGAATCAATTAGCTCATCATGTTTGAAACACTATTTGTGGATGATCTTCATAATATAACAGAAGACTTGTAGATGAGAGAGATCTGGTGGAAAAGTGCCAGAAAATTTTACAAAGTATATATTTTTTTAATATAGTTAAAATATACACCATAAACATGAAAGATTCTTCATGTAGGGAAGGAGACTTCAGACTGACTCTTTAGCCAAAATATATACAGTCACTTGTGGAATTTTGGAGAAATAACTAGGGCATATTTGAGACTTAATCCCTCAAATCTCAAACAAAGAAAAATCTCCATTTTTTTTTCTTCTTAAGGTATCTGATGAGGATGAAATTCTACCACCAAAACTTCAAGCTGCCCTGATGCAGATTTTGGAAGAACGAAATGAAATCTTGACTCAGGAGCAGAATTTTTCACAAGGTATGAGACAAGTGAGCCAAGGACTTAAGGTTAAGGGTTAAGGTAGTAAATATTTACTGAATGCCCAGCACTATGTTAAAGGATATACCAAAGTAGCATTAGATTGCCTGTGCGCTGAAAATCCTATAATCAGCTTCCTTGCTTATCCTCAGTATGCCAGGTCCTCTTCTATTTCAGGACCTTTGCACTTGCTCAGTTACATTTATAGAATGCTATTCCCGCAGATATCCACATGACTCCTGCCCTTTCTTCCTGTAGGTCCATGCTCACATCATCTTCTCACTGAGGCCCTTCCTGACTGTCCTATATTAAATTGTACCCATTCCTCTAGTGCTCCTTATCCTCTTCCCTTTGCTTTAATTTTATTCAAGGCTCTTAGCACTATCTCATATTCTACAGCATAAGTTCCGTGAGAACAGTGGCTTTATTTTGTTCTCTATCTCTAGTACTTTAAACAGTATTCGGTAAATAGGTACTCAATAAATACTTGTTAAATAAATGGGCAAATAATATTTATTGGGTGTTTATACTGTATCAGGCATATGCTAAGCACTTGACATACATTTTGTTTTATCTTTATGAAGCAGGTATCATTATTTAATCTTCATTTTACAGATGAGAAAAGGCTATGTACTGACAGGGAACATTAGGGAAGGAGCAGCGTTTTTTGTTTGTTTGTTTTGGGTTTTTTCTTTTTCTGTTTTTTGTTTCTTGCTCTGTCACCCAGGCTGGAGTGCAATGGTGCAATTATAGCTCACTGCAGCCTCAACCTCCTGGGCTCAAGCAATCCTCCTGCCTCAACTGGGACTACAGGCATGCACCACCACACCTAGCTAATCTTTTTATTTTTTGTAGAGACAGGGTCTCACCACGTTGCCTAGGTTGATTTCAAACTCCTGGTCTCAAGCAATCCTTCCGCCTTAGCCTCACAAAGCACTGGAATTACAGTTGTGAGCCACCACACCTGGCCTAGAAGGAGCAGATTTAGAGGAGTAATAAAAAGTTTAGTTTTGGATGTTACAGTTTGAGATACCTATTAGAAGTTTAATACTTAAGCAGACATCCAACTGGAAATGTTTTAGAAGAAAGATTTGGGCTAAAAGCAAACATTTAGAAATTGCTGTTTTAAAGCTGTGGGACCAGATGAGATGATCGTATAGAGTGAGTATTGTTAGAAAATAACAAAGGTTTAAGGATTGAGCCCTGTGTTGGTTGTAAATGGCGTGGTTAGATTTCCAACACTTGGAGGTTGGAAGGAGGAGAACTATCCAGCAACAGAGGAGCAGCCAGTAAAGAAGGAGAAAAACCAGGAAAGTATGTGTGTAAACTGCCAGGAGTGTGGGCAGGTACAGTGGCTCACACCTGTAATCCCAGCACTTTGGGAGGCCAAGGCAGGAGGATTGCTTGAACCTAGGAATTCCAAACTAGCCTGGGCAACATAATGAGACCTCATCTCTACAAAAAGTGAAAAGAAAAATAAAAAACAAACAGGAGTGTGACATTGCAAAAGTTGAGCAAAGAGAATACTTCATGAAAAGAAGAGTAATCAATTATGCCTACAGCTGCAAAGAGACCAAGTATGGCGACGATTAAGATTTGACCAGTGGATTTGACAATATGAAGACCTTGATAACAGCAGATTCAGTGGAATGAGGGGAAGAAAGTGAGATGGGAGAGGGTTCAAGACAGAATTAGAATTCCATTCAGCAATTGATTGTAAAATTTATTATTTATTATTTTTATTTTTATTTTTGAGACAGGGTCTCGCTTTGTCACCCAGGTTGGAGTGCAGTGGTGCGATCATAGCTCACTGCAGCTTTGACCTCCTGAGCACAAGCAATCCTCCCACCTCAGCCAGCCATGTAGCTGGGCCTACAGGCGTGCACCCTCACACCTGGCTGGTTTTTTTGTATTTTTTGTAGAGACGGGCTTTCACGATGTTGCCCAGGCTGATCTTGAACTCCTGGGCTCAAGCAATTCACCCACCTCAGCCTCTCAAAGCCGTGGGATTACATGGGTGAGCCATTGCGCCCAACCATAAAATTTAATTGTATGTACAAAGGGCCAAGAATAGCCAAGGCACTCAAAAAAGAACAAGACTGGAAGGCTTGCACTACTAGACATCAAAAATTATTATAAAGATAGTAATTAAGATAGTTTGGTTTTGGTGCAGAAATAGAGCAATAGAAAGAATACAGAGTGCATATACATAAGGAAACTTGATTTGTGTCAGAGCCAGCGTTGTGTATCAGTGGAAAAAGGATGGACCATTTAATAAATGATACTAGGGCCGGGCACGGTGGCTCACATCTATAATCCCAGCACTTTGGGAGGCGGAGGTGGGCAGATCACTTGAGGTCAGCAGTTTGAGACCAGCCTGGCCAACATGGTGAAACCCCATCTCTACTAAAAATACAAAAATTAGCTGGGTGTGGTGGTACGCGCCTGTAATTCCAGCTACTCAGTATGCTGAGGCAGGAGAATCGCTTGAACCCGGGAGGTGGAGGTTGCAGTGAGCCAAGATTGTGCCACTGCACTCCTGCCTGGGTGAGAGAGTAAGACCCTGTCTAAAATAATAATAATAATAATAAAAATAATAATAATAATAATAAATGATACTAGGACAATTGGTCTCTATATGAAAAAAATGAATATGGATCTACACCTCACACTATACAGAAAATTAATTCCAGTGAATTTAAAGACTTAAATGTTAAAAGCAAAGCTTTTGAAAATATTTTTAAAAGAATAGAAGAAAATATTTTATGTCAATAAAACAGTGGTGGGGTTCTTAAAAATACGGCACAAAGAGCAGAGACCATAAAGGAAAAGACAGGTTAATTTGACTGTGTTAAATCTTTACATTTTCTTTTCGTCAAGGGACACCATGGAAAAGAGATTTTAAAAACTAGTTACAGACTAGGTGAAGATATCTTGAATATATATAACTATCAAATGAATAGTGTCTAGAATTTATTTTTTTAAAAAACACCTGCAAATCAGTAAGAAAAAGATAAACAATCCAATAGAAAAATGAGGAAAAGATAGGAACAAACATTCAAAGAAGAAGAAACATGATAAGCCCATAAATAATTGAAGAGACATGCAACCTCACTACATCATTTACATTCAGGGAAGTGTAAATGTAAGCCACAATGCAATACCATTTTTTATACCCACCATATTCACAAAAACTAAAAAATCTGTCCAGGCACTGTGGTTCATACCTGTAATCCTAGCACTTCGGGAGGTCAAGGTGGGAGAATCACTTGAGCCCAGGAGTTCAAGACGAGCCTGTGTAACACAGCAAGACCCAGTTTCTACAAACAAAATTAAAACATTAGCCAGGAGTGTTGATGTGTGCCTGTAGTCTCACTACTCAGGAGGCTTGGGTGGAAGGATCACTTGCGCCCAGGAATTTGAGGCTGCAGTGAGCTGTGATGGTGCCACTGCACTCTAGCCTGGGCAATAGAGCAAGACCCTGTCTCAAAAAAAAAAATTAAGTCTGACAATATCAAGTGTTGGTAAGAATGTGTCAAGTAGTTCAACCACTTTGAAGTTGGCATTATCTAGTAAAATTAAAGGTGTACATATCCTACAACCCAACAGTGTAGTTTGTAAATACATACCCTAGTGAATCTCTTGCACATGATCACTAGGAAACAAGTTCAATAATTTTTTTTTTTTTTTTTTTGAGACGGAGTCTCGCTCTGTCGCCCAGGCTGGAGTGCAGTGGCGCAATCTTGGCTCACTGCAGGCTCCACCCTCCGGGGTTCACACCATTCTCCTGCCTCAGCCTTCCGCATAGCTGGGATTACAGGCGCCTGCCACCTCGCCCGGCTAATTTTTTGTATTTTTAGTAGAGATGGGGTTTCACCATGTTAGCCAGGATGGTCTCGATCTCCTGACCTCGTGATCCGCCCGCCTCAGCCTCCCAAAGTGCTGGGATTACAGGCGTGAGCCACCGCGCCCGGCCAAGTTCAATAATTTTTATAGTGCCATTATATGTGATAGCAAAAACTAAAAGCAGGGTGAATATCCATTTTCAGGAGAATAAAGCCTTAAGAATGAATTTTTTTTTTGAGATAAGGTTTCATTCTGTCAACCAGGCTGGAGTGCAAGTGTTGTGATCATGGCCCACTGCAGCCTTTATCCCCTATGCTCAAGCAATCCTCCTTCCTCAGCCTCTTGAGTAGCTGGGACCACACTTCTGTGCCACCACGCTCAGCTAATTCTTTAATTTTTTGTAGAGATGGAGTCTATGTTGCCCAGCCTTGTCCTAAGCTCTTGGGCTCAGGTGAGCTGCCTGCTTCAGTCTCCTGAAGTGTTGGGATTACAGGCATGAGCCATTTTAGCTGCACCCAGCTAAAAATGAATCTTAAAAACATATATTGAATAAAACAGTAAGTTGCAGAAGAATACAATATTTTGTATACCGTTCAAAGACATACAAAAACCTACTAATATGCTATTGGGGTTTTATGTGTGTATAGTGAAACTATAATGCAGGGCAAGGGAATAACAAATACAAAATTCCATGGTCACTCTGTTGGAAAGTAGAAGAAGAATGCCATTGGAGTCGCATAGGAAACTTCAAAGACATTAGTAATGTTCTGTTTCTAAGCTTTGTTTGTGGTAGAGAATTTATTCATTTCACTTGTGATGTTATAAAATATTCATACATATCAAAGAATATGTAAAGTATATACATTAAAAAGGAAAGAATAAAGAAATTATAGAAAAACATAATTTTTAAAAGAAAGAAATTAAGATGTAGCAGTGAGGCAAAAGTGTTGAAGATAAATGCAGTGTTGGGGCTGGGTGTGGTGGCTCATACCTATGATCTCAAGCACTTTGGGAGGTCAAGGCAGGATAAGTTCAATACCAGCCTGAGCAACATAGCAAGACCCCATCTCTACAAAAAAAAATTAATTAAAAAAAAGAAAAAAGATAAATGCAGTGATGAACATGGATTCTCAGCTGCAGAAGGAAAGAGATGAGAAGGAAGGGTGTTGGACAAAATATAACAAAAACCTAGATTACAGTCAAAATGTAATTCAGAAAGAGACCTTGGAAATCACCTGGTCAGCCCTGCTAGCTGCATAGATATGGACAGGCCAACTGAGAAAAGTGAGCCACCCACTATTATGCAACTGCTTTATGGTAGAACTCTGACTAAATTTAGGTTCCTGATTCCCATCCTGTGTGGATCCCTGGGAAAAGAGCAAGAGACAGTGTGAAGAGGGCGGGGGGAAAAAGACGATTTGGATATGGAAGAAAAAGAGGGAGTGTAAGTCGAATCTGAAGTTTGAGCCTGGGACCTGGAAGGCAATATAATGTAGTATATTATAGGGATTAAAAATCACCTGACTTGTGAGTCCAGCATCTTCACTTACTAGGTGGGATGACCCTGGAGAATTTATTTAATCATTTGGCATCTCAGTTTCCTCTGTAAAAGAAAAATAAAAATAATAGATTATTATGTTTGTAGAAGCACTTAATACAGTACAACATACCTTTAGCACTCAAATCACTATTTTTATGGAATAATTATAGTGCAGTATGAAATGGCAATGTCAGCCAGGCATGGTGGCTCACATCTGTAATGCCAGCACTTTGGAATGCTGAGGTGGGAGAATTGCTTGAGCCCAGGAGTTTGAGACAAGTGCCTGGGCAACATAGCAAGACCTTGTCTGTATTTTGGGGAAAAAAAATCTTTATTTAAAAAAATGGGAATATTGAGAGGGAAACTTATTTGGTGGGGAAATATAATGGGTTTAGCTTTAGATATGTATTGTTTGTTTAATTGATTCATAGTCCAAGTTCCAAAAAGAACCTGATATAGTGACCTTTAGACAGATGGAACTTATGTGCTAATGGGACAGCCAAATAATAACCACCCGTAGGTAGCCTGAAAATGTAGAAGATGAGATAACAGGGCTGGAAAACTAAGGTTTGGAATTACAGTATTATCATAGCCAGCTCTATCTCTGTGCCAGTTAGCCCTTTACGGAAGGGAATGTTGAAGAGGAGTGTCTGAGCACCATGCTCAGGAAGAGAAAGAAAGGACAAGAGAAAAATAACTGCTTTGTCATCAAGTCAGGAAAGGAATCAGGAAATCAGAAGAGCATAGAGTTGTAGGGGACAAGAGAAATGAGGAGGTAGTTAGCACAAATGCAGCATGGAGCTTAAAGGAGATAAAAATAGAAAAGCAGATTAAATTTGGCTGGCTCTCACCAGTGGCCTTTGAAAGTGCAGTTAAAATGAAATCAACAGATGTGCAAGCCAGGTTGCAAGATGTAGAAGGAGTATGTATGGGAAGAAAATGAAGGGAAGGGTAGAAGCAATTAGCCTTTTCTAGGTCGTGCAGAAAGAAAGTGAAGAATGAACACTCCTAGATTTATTCTCAGTCCTTTAATCTATAACTTCTTAGGCACGACTTCCATAACCAGAGCCAGTGTTTCCAGATACAGATAACTGAGGAGATTTTTTTCTTTTTTTCTTTTTCATGTTGCAGCAGATGTGACACTCAACTCTCTGGTGTCCGAAGCATTTGTCAGGTTTTTTGTGGAGTTGGTAGGACATTATTCTTTGAACATGACTGTCACTGAGCGTGGGGAGCGTGTTTTCCAAAGGGAACCATTCCGTAAGTCCCACACCTCCCGAAGTGTACGCCACTTCCTGGATCTCTTCATGGAAACTCAGATGTTTGCAGGATTCATCCAGGACCGAGAGCTTCGGAAAAGTGGAGTTAAAGGTCAGTTTCATTATAAAGTTCTCCCTCTCTATTTAGTGAATACCTTGAAAGATTTTACTATATTATGAATAAAAAGTATTGTAAAGCGACAAGGGCTTAAAATCTGAGTTGTTTATTATGAGAATTATTTTGTAATATTGTTTTAGCCCTGGAAATAATACACTGGTTATAAGCACAGAATTTTATGTAATTCCCAGTCTGGAGTGTTACACAGTTTCACCAACATGAGTTTTTCCTTGTAGGTTTGTTTGAGATCCGGGCCATCCAGTATTTGGAAACAATTCCTGAGTCGGAGCCCAGTGGGATGAATAGAATTTTGCGGAGTCTTGGTTAGTTGCTGTGTTTTCCTGTTAGATAAATGTGGCTGAAGACCAGGCGCGGTGGCTCATGCCTGTAATTCCAGCACTTTGCGAGGTCAAGTAAGGAGGTTTGCTTGAGGCCAGGAGTTTGAGACCAGCGTGGGCAACATAGTGAGACCCCATCCCTACACAAAATTTTAAAATTAGCTGGGCATGGTTGGGCATGGTGGCTTATGCCTGTAATCCCAGCACTTTGGGAGGCTGAGGCAGGTTGATCACCTGAGGTTAGGAGTTCGAGACTAGCTAGCCTGTCCAACATGGTGAAACCCCATCTCTGCTAAAAATACAAAAATTAGCCTGGTTTAGTGGCAGGCACCTGTAATCCCAGCTACTTGGGAGGCTGAGGCAGAAGAATTGCTTGAACCCAGGATATGGAGGTTACGGTGAGCAGAGATCACACCATTGCACTCCAGCCTGGGCAACAAGAGCAAAATTCTGTCTCAAAAAAAAAAAAAAAATTAGCTAGGCATGCTGGCACATTCCTGTAGTTCTAGCTACGCAGGAGGCTGAGAGGCCCGAGGGGGATCGCTGGAGCCCGGGAGTTTGAGGCCTCAGTAAGATGATCTTGCCACAGATGACAGAGTGAGATTCTTGTCTCTAAAAAAATAAATAAATAAAAATTAAAAAAATAAATAAAAATAAATAAAAAATAAATAAAAATAAAAAATAAATGTGGCTGAAAAAGCTTTGCAGTAAGTGGGCCTCATCACAAAAGCTTTATAATCAGATCAGCAATATAGCCTTAAATAGGCTGACCATAAACCATGATGCTAGTTTCAAAGTGTTTTGGAGAAAAAGCAGCATTTTTCTCAAAATTTGGGATCCCTCATCAGAGTGGTCTGTGGGGCCATTTCCCAGAGATGAACTTCCCTGATATAAGTTTATTTATTTCATGATATGTTTGCATATCATCATTATTAATCATTTCTAGGACACATTCCTTGGAGAATCTTATAAAAACCATGGTCCTTTTTCCCAGAAAAATGTATTTACAGCATATAAATAAATTTTGCACATAATTTTAGGCTGCTCATATACCCCATGAAGTCTATCTTTGGTACTCCAGATTAAAAACACTTGGTTTAGAGGGACTTCTGAGGCAAAAGAGGATTTCTTACAAGTCTCTAATTTTCTACTTCATACAGAAACACATTTATGATTTTTCAGTAATAGTTAATTAGTATGATACAAGAGAACAGGGGTGTGGCTAGCCTAAAATAATGAATAACCTATATGCTACGATATTTATATTTTGTCTTTGAAATATATGCCCCCTAATTAGGCCCTGTCCTTCACTAGCTGACAGACCATGGACAAATTAGGCCTTAGGCTGTTATTTCATCTTTATACAATGGGGTTAGATTAGATCAGTGGTTCCCAGCTCTGACTACATTTTATAATTTCCAGAGAACTTAAAAAAAATTTTCCCCTGGGCTCCAGGAAATCTCTGGGGAGAAGCCAGGTGATTTTAACCTATAGTCAAGGTTGAAAACCACTGGATTACATGATGTCTGAGTTCTTTTCTGCCGCTACAATTAACTAGACATATGGGGTTTGGGGTTCATTTTTGTTTTTGTTTTGGGGGTTAAACACATCAACTGAGTTTGAGATGTCAGCTTAACTCTTGGGCTGTTCTGAATGACTGACCTGTTAATCCCTTACCTCAAATAATGTACAATAAATAAAAATGAATTGAGCATTCACTGTACTTTTCTTTCCCTTTAGGAAGCAAAATGAAATTTCTGCAAAAGAAATGAAATCTCTGATTGTCTCCATCCTGAATATACAACAGAAAGTGCCAAAGAAAATATTTTTCTAAGGGTCAGGATCCCATGAAGTATTCTACAAAATTCTTGAAATTTTAAAAGGTTAAAGAGCGAGTCAGGCTGTTAGAGGAGGATTCTCCTGTTGCTGCTGTAGTAATCACTGGAGAATTGTTGGGAATGGTCTGGCACCATGCCATCTTTACTCTGTCTCCATTTTTTTTTTATAGCAGCCTTTTCTATGTGATTCTTGGGCTCATTCTCTGTTTTGTGCTTTGTCTGTGAAAGTAGTTGTGTTTCACAAGGAAAAGCCTTGTTGTTGTTACATTTAAAAAATAGCTCAAAGATGAGAATAATGAGAGAAATGCTGAGTTTAAGGTAGTAGAGAGACATGATGGAAATGGAGAACACTAGCCTTATACACATAATTCTCATCACTGAACTATCATGGCCCCTTTAAACCCATGGGCTGTTTGACCTGGGCTAAGGAATAGACTCATCACATATCTCCATTGTTTTGCCTTATATTATATCTAGGGGAATCTCACTTAGGAGGAAGCCCTACTTGTAATATTATAAGGTACTGTTATTAAGTACCTTATAAAATTAGACATCTTGCAACTCCTCCTCCAAATTATGTGGCATTTGAGTAGTTTGCTTGTGCCTCACATGTCAACATTAAACTTTGTGGAGGCTGGATGCAGTGGCTCACACCTGTAATCTCCACCACTTTGGGAGGCTAAGGCAGGAGTTTGAGGGTGGGAGTTTGAGACTAGCCTGGGCAACATAGCAAGATCCCATCTCTACAAAAACATTTTAAAAATAAGTAAATAAATTTAAACTTTGTGAAATTATAGCTAATATGAAAATGTCCTTTCAAGGGCATGGGAGCCACCTTTATTTTTTAGTGTCCACCATGTGCCATGCACTGTGGTATATGTATGCATATCATCTCAACCAATCCTTAAATCAACCTTATGAGATAGATATTTGCATCTCCATTTTACTAATAAACTGAGGCTGGGTGCTATGGCTCACGTCTGTAATCCCAGCACTATGGGAGTCCAAGGCGAGTGGATCATTTGAGGTCAGGAGTTCGAGACCAGCCTGGCAACATGGTGAAACTCTGTCTCTACTAAAAATACACACAAAAAATTAGCTGGGTGTGGTGGCAGGTGCCTGTAATCCTGGCTGCTCGGGAGGCTGAGCCATGAGAATCGCTTGAGCCCAGGAGGCAGAGGTTGCAGTGAGCCGAGATCGCGCCACTGCATTCCAGCCAGGGTGACAGAGCGAGACTCCATCTCAAAAAAAAGAAAAAAGGAAAAGAAAAAAGAAAAAAACAAATTCAAAGAAGTTAAATACGTTGCCCAAAGTTGTACAACACAGAACTGAAGCCAAGACTTTTATGGACACAGAAAAAGTTGGTTAGTCCTACAGATGGAAATTTCATCTCAGTAGGATTATATAGCTATTTCTTTTATTAATAAAAATTTTCTATTAAGTGTACCAGAGCCACTTTTCAGCTCTGAGGATAAGGAACTTTATAGGTGCCTAGATGAGACTCTTTTTATTCCCCTAGAAATGTTGAAATTTTTGCTCTAATTAAATTAGACTCAAAATATGAACATTCCTTGAACATATACCACTTAGTCATCCAGACCTTTAATATCTAAAGTAGTAGTAGTAGTGATTGGAAAGAGAAAGTTTTCAGTGATGGTGCAGTGTTTTTTTTGTGTGTGTATGTGTGTGTGTGTGTGTTTTGTTTCGGTTTTTTTTTTTTTTTTTTGAGATGGAGTTTCGCTCTTTTTGCCCAGGCTGGAGTGCAATGGTGTGATCTCGGCTCACTGCAACCTCCGCCTCCCGGCTTCAAGCAATTCTCCTGCCTCAGCCTCCTGAGTAGCTGGAATTATAGGCACCCGCCACCACACCTGGCTAATTTTGTACTTTTAGTGGAGACGGGGGTTTCACCATGTTGGCCAGGCTGGTCTCGAACTCCTGACCTCAGGTGATCCACCCACCTTGGCCTCCCAAAGTGCTGGGATTACAGGCATGAGTCACTGCACCCGGCCTGTGTGTGTGTGTGTGTGTGTGTGTGTGTGTTTTCAAACTCATGGGCAAATTCAAGTTCAGATGGTGCACTTTTCATTGATTAATGTTATAGCAAATGTCAGTTTGTTTTCTTCAGTTTCTGCTGATGGTTTTAACTGGCACAGAAAGTATTTATTCAACCTTACAAAACTGTGTAAGTTGTATTGTGATACAGTTTATTGACTTGTACAGTATTGTCATTACAACCCATTCAGGTATGCATGAATCTGAAGCAGAACACCATTTAAGACTGGTGCTGTATAATATAATTCCTACAGATGTGGGTCCAGGGAATAGAACTGAGCCTGTCTTTTTTTTAATGTTAAGCAGGTTACCCCCAGTGGGGCTTCTACTAGACATCTCTCCATTTGGTCTCTTCTTACACTCCAACCCAGCAGGAACAGTTAATAATTGGATGTTTATAAAATGGGGGTAAAAGGGTTTACTGTGATGGATCCTGGCTATCCCTCTAGGAGGAGACCTTTGCTTCAGCAATGGTGTCTTCATCCTCGCAGCCTGAAGCTGCTTCATTTCCTTAGGTCTGTTGTGTTTTCTGTAAAGTGTTAGGAATTCTGGATATTTTTGTAAAAGAATCAAGATTTGTATAAAATGTTGTTTACAGATCTTTTAATGAATAAATACATAAACCCCCCACAGATCCCTTGGAGAATTCTTTAAGATCTTTTATGTCACTTAAATCTATAGCTAGCACATTTACCTAATGGTACTTCGGTAATAAGAATTAGTCTTAGACTGACCAGGCTTAATAACGGAGGTCAACATTTCCAGGCTCTTGGCAGACAAAGGCTGGGTCTAGACTGCACACTGGGCAGGGCATATAGTCTGACAACTTTATTTGGTTTTTACCTGCTTAATCAAAGGGAGGCTGCTTAGTCCAGGAGCCATGCAGAAGAGAGTGCATGGGCAGCAGCTTGAGTGGTTCGGAGGCAGTGAGGAATGCCATTCTATTACCGTTAAGTCCTAAAGGCAAAATGACAGGATTTTTAAGGAACTGAGGTTCCTTTTGATACGCAGACCATAAAGCTTCACAATTTTAATTGGAGACTGGCGCCCAATTCTAGAGTCTCTTTAAAAAATGTACTTACCCAATGCAAAGGTTTTAAGGGCACCGAGGGGGAAGGATAGTTGGGGTACAGCAAGGAAGTAAAAGAGGAATGACCCGGGGTGCAGTGGCTCACGCCTGTATTCCCCACATTTTGGGAGGCCAGGAGTTCGAGGCTAGGCTTGGCAACATAGAAAGGCTCCATCTCTACAAAAAAAATTAAAAATTAGCCAGGCATGGTGGTGTGCACCTCTAGGCCCAGCTACTCGGGAGGCTGAGGTGGAAGGATCGCTTGGGCCCGGGGGGTTGAGGCTGCAGTGAGCTATGATCACGCCACTGCACTCCAACCTGGGCAGCAGAACAAAGACCCTGTGTCTACAATAAAAAAGGAAAAAAGTCTCGCACAGAGGAAGAGAAGATTAAGGGGAGAAGGTGGGAGTAAGCAGAGGTGGGAAACCAGTTTATCTCTCCCCGCCAAATGCTGCAGCCAGTTCCCTCCAAAAGTGTTAAGGGGCTCCCTTTCCAGATATCAATGTTTTGGAGGAAACGAAAAGCCCCAACTTCAAATCGCCGCCATTCGCAGGCAAAAAAAGGGGCAGTAAGCAGAGGACAGGAAATTGAGGCCTTTCGCTGACGCAGACAAGCCAAGACGTTACGTCACGTCCGCCCAAAACAAACCAGCCCGGCAATTTCTAGATACCGGGCGGACCCGCCTTCAAAATTAGCAACTGAGCATGCACTAACGTCAATACGGAGGGAACGTGATTACATCAGTGTCAGGCGCCGGCGTAATTAAATATAACTGAGTTTACGCAGACGCAGAAAACGCAGGCAAACCTGAGGTCCTCAGAATGGCGGGCACAGGTTTGGTGGCTGGAGAGGTTGTGGTGGATGCGCTGCCGTATTTTGATCAAGGTTATGAAGCCCCTGGTGTGCGGGAAGCGGTGAGTGCGGGGTGTCTTTGTAGCTGACTCACTGCTAGCTGGCTCGGTACTGAAAGAAACATGTTACAATTTGCCACTTCTACCCTGGTCCCTATTCTCTTTCTTAGGCTGCAGCGCTGGTGGAGGAGGAAACTCGCAGATACCGACCTACTAAGAACTACCTGAGCTACCTGACAGCCCCGGATTATTCTGCCTTTGAAGTAAGTATGTCTTGAGCCTAGGTGTGAACGAGAATTCCTGTGAACCTTTATTTTGGATTGAGAGCTTTAAATTCCAGTTTTAACCATTGCCTGCATAGCTACTACTTACCTACTGTATAGGTGTCAGTCTATTGAAAACAACTAGATAGATAAGTCTTCTCCGAGGTTCTTATTCTAAGATCCATAGGAAGACTTTCTGGGGCTCCACAACTCACTTAATGCAAAAATTTGTGGCTACCATTCTTTGAGATAGGATCCATGCGTAAATTCTCAAAGGGACCCTCTCCTGCCAAGATTCACTCTACAGCAAGTGATCTAGGGTTTTTTAATATGTATAAGCCTAATTACCTAAGCTCTTTAGAACCACTGGAGAGTGGCATATTAAAGTCTAGTTATTTACCAAATGTATGTGATACGACTGAAAGGACAAACCATATCCAAGTGTATACTACTTTTTTCTCAGCCTTCTCCTTTTTTCTGTAATCTATCCGATGTTTTTATTAACACATTTCTGATTAATGTAGGCAATAATTTTCACTGATATGAATACTTTACAAGTGCTAGGTGCCATTCTAGATTCTGAGATCATAGAGATATATGGGGTTTCTTTTTTAATATATTTTGTTTTCTTTTAATTTTTCTTTTCTTTATTTAAGACAAACATCCTCTCCAAAAAAGATAGGGTTTCTGAATACAGAAAAATACAATACAGTGAGGAGCTAGATATATAAAACAAAAAGTTTACAATAGTATGTATAAATGTGTAATAATATGTAAAGGACCTATAGCGGAGGGTATGTATAAGGACAAGAGGATTAGAGAAGGGAGTGTCCATGATTGCCTAAGGAGTCAGATGCTGTTCTACTCCACACATTGAGTATGATACTATTTTAAATGTATAACCTTGAAGTACACCCAGGATTCTAGTTAGGGTCTAGTTAGCTAAATGAAATGTAAGATATCATTTCTAAATTATTGGATTCAAGTATTTCAGTATGTACAGCTTGGAGGATTTTTTCCCATTATACCTAATCGTTTATTTATGAAAGGATTGTATTATTAAAAGGCAGTATTTAGCTGGGTGTGGTGGCTCACACCTGTAATCCCAGCACTTTAGGAGGCTGAGGTGTGAGGATCACTTGAGACCAGCCTGGGCAACATAGTGAGACCCTTTCTCTACAAAAGAAAAATTAAAAAGTTAGCCAGGCATGATGGCATGCACCTGTAGCCCCAGCTACTCAGGAGGCCAAGGTGGGAGGATCACTTGAGCCTGGGAGTTCAAGACTGCTACAGTGAGCCATGATAATGCCATTGCACTCCAGCCTGGCAATAGAGTGAGACCCTGTCTCAAAGGGAAAAAAAAAAAAAAAGATATTATTTACATTAAAGTAACATGAAAAAATTGTTAGTTAAGTTTGTTGTTGTTTTTGTTTGAGACGGAGTCTCATTACGTCACCCAGGCTGGAGTGCAGTGGTGCCATCTCTGCTCACTGCAACCTCCACCTTCCGGGCTCAAGTGATTCTCCTGCCTCAGCCTCCCGAGTAGCTGGGATTGCAGGTGCCTGCCACCATGCCTGGGTAATTTTTGTATTTTCAGTAGAGACGGGATTTTACCATGTTGGCCAGGCTGGTCTTGAACTCCTGGCCTCAAGTGATCCACCCACCTCAGCCTCCCAAAGTGTTGGGATACAGGTGTAAGCCACCATGCCCAGCCTTGGCTGAGTTTTAAGTAGAAGACGTATGTTCCTATGAACGTGTTTTCCTATGCTTTTTCTAAATATTTGTACCTAGGTGTAGATGTTAACCACATTAAGAACTAAGTACAGTAATGCTTCCTTATTGGACTGATTTCTGAAGGTTTCAGATAACTGCATTCAATCACAGACTTTTTAAAATACTTTTGCCAGTTTTTTTCCTTCTCTCTTAAATACCTTTGTAATTAGTTTACTGATGATTTAATTAGTAAACTCCCAGGTTCAAGTGATTCTCCTGTAATTAGTTTACTGATTATTTAATCCTTTCTTTTTTTGAGACAGAGTCTTGCTCTGGTGCCCAGGCTGGAGTGCAACTCCTCGGCTCACTGCAACCTCTGCCTCCTGGGTTCAAGCCATTCTTCTGCCTCAGCCTCCCAAGTAGTTGGGATTACAGGCACGCACTACCATGCCCAACTAATTTTTGTATTTTTAGTAGAAACGTGGTTTCACCATTGTGGCCAGGCTGGTCTCGAACTCCTGACCTCAAGTGAATCACCTGCCTCGGCCTCCCAAAGTGCTGAGATTACAGGTGTGAGCCACCACACCTGGCATCCTTTCTTAGTAATAGTTGGTAATATTTACTGGGTTCACTGTCTTACTTGGTGCACATAACAGCTCTATAAACTATATAACTATGTTTGCTATCCCCATTTTTTAGCTGGGAAAACTGCAGCTTAGAGAGGCTAATTGACTAAGACCTTAACTGTTCTTCAAACTGCCTCTGAAATTACTCTTTCATTAATTCATTTAACAACTATTTACGAAGGTCTGTTCCATTCTGGGTATTGGAGAACAGTATCGGCAGGGTCCATACTCATGAACCTTAAAATCTAGAGTGTTGAGACAGACAATAAATAGATCAGAAAAATTGTTGATAAATGCTGCACAGAGAATGATAGTGATAAAGTGACTGGGCGACTCCAGGTTGGGTGGTTGAGGAAGGCCTCTCAAAGCTAAGATGAGACTACTCCATGAGCAGGGATTGCCCTTGCCGCTCCATGAACACTGGCTTAGTCTTTGGAGAGAGATGAGCTAAAATTCCAGATTTATCACTTACTGAGCATGTGAGTTAGTTAAGGGTTCCTCCTATGCTACATGGCTCAAGACTACTTATACTGCATTTTTATACTGCCTCGTGTTTAATTGGCTGTTTACTCCTTGTCTGTCACTGCAGAATTTTCTAGCTAGAATGCCCTGGTTTTTTTTTTTGCAGGAAACTAGGTAACTACATTTTCTTAAGATTGTGTGTAATTTAGCAGTAGCCCCTGCAAAATACTTTCTGCAGAAAGAAATGCTTAATACGAAATTTTTTGTTTTTTGTTTTTTGTTTTTTTGTTTTTTTGTTTTTTTGTTTTTGAGATGAAGTCTCACTCTGTTGCCAGGCTGGAGTGCAGTGGTGTGATCTCAGCTCACTGCAACCTCCACCTCCCAGGTTCAAGCAATTCTCCTGCCTCAGCCTCCGAGTATCTGGGATTACAGGCACGTGCCATCACGCCCAGCTAATTTTTGTATTTTTAGTAGAGATGAGGTTTCAACTTGTTGGCCAGGATGGTCTTGATCTCTTGACCTCGTGATCCACCCACCTCGGCCTCCCGAAGTGCTGGGATTACAGGCATGAGCCACCTCGCCCGGCCTAATAAAAACTTTTAAACATTCATGCAGGCTTCTGTAAGGCCTTTGATACTTATTTAGTCTAATTGTTAAGATAGTTGAAACCCTCAGAAAATTAAAATTACATGGAATAACCGAAGTATTACTACAAAGAAATATTTTAAGCAGTTCTTTATCCTCAGGGTAGGAAATGTGCAGAATGGAAATGGGTTAGGACGTTGGCCCTAAAGAGGAACAGCTATACTACATTTACTTGCGAACAGTAAAATTGCTAGAGAAGATAGTGAATATAAAGAAAAGACACTTTGGGAGGCTGAGGCAGGCCGATCACCTCAGGTCAGGAGTTCGAGACCAGCCTGGCCAACATGGTGAAACCCTGTCTCTACTAAAAATACAAAAATTAGCCAGGCATAGTGGCAGATGCCTGTCATCCCAGCTACTCGGGAGGCTGAGGCAAGAGAATCGCTTGAACCCGGGAGGCAGAGATGAGCCAAGATCGCGCCATTGCGCTCCAGCCTGGGGGACAAGAGCGAGACTTCGTCTCACAAAAAAAAAATAAATAAATAAATAAATTATTTCTTGGATTTCTGGAGGCTGGAAAGTGTACGGTTCACAGGCTGCATCTGGTGAGGGCCTTCTTGCTGGTGTGGACTTGGTGTACAGTCCTGAAGCAGCACAGGGCATTACATGGCAAGGTAGGGGCACACAAGAGAAAGACAAACTGGCTTTTATAACATACCCACTCTGGTGATAACTTATTAACCCATGAATGGATTGAGCCTTCATAACCCAATCACCTCTTAAAGACCCCACCTCTTAATACTATTACATTGGGGATTAAGTTTCTGTATGAATTTCAGAGGGGACAAACATTCAAACCATAGCACTGTCGAACTGATTCTGATATGCTTCTGGAATTAAGAACCACTGGTTTAGGATTAATCCTTTTCTCTGTGGGCTCCTTAATACATGCCACTTTTCCTGAATGTGAAGTGAGTGAGTGAGTGTGTGTGTGTGTGCTTCAGATTCTAGAGAGCATTTAACTCAGAGAAGAATTAGGGAAAGGTAAACAATTCATTATAATGGGTAGTGTAGCTTAAATCTGTTCTTTGGTGATTGTTAATTTTTAGTTGTCAACATGATCTTAGAAATCTTTTTTCTGATTTACACATCAGACTGACATAATGAGAAATGAATTTGAAAGACTGGCTGCTCGACAACCAATTGAATTGCTCAGTATGAAACGGTAAGAATATTAAAATGGAAATTAAAATTTAGTTTGTAGTAACTCAGTAATGAGCTGAGATTTGTGAAGAATGTATTTGCTGGCTAATATTGGCAGTGTTGGCCGGGTGTGGTGGCTCACACCTGTAATTCCAGCACTTTGGGAGGCCGAGGCTGGTGGATTGCTTGAATCCAGGAGTTTGAGACCAGCCTGGGCAACATGGCAAAACCCCATCTCTACCAAAAATAATTAATAATAATAATAATAATAATAATAAACGTACCTGGGTGTGGTGGCACGCACCCGTGGACCCAGCTACTTGGAAAGCTGAGGTAGGTGGATCGCTTGACACCCCCCAGGAGATGGAGGTTGCAGCAAGCCGAGATTGTGCCACTGCACTCCAGCGTTGGGGACAGAGGGAGACCCAGTCTTGAAAAAAAAACTATATATATATATATATAGAGAGAGAGAGAGAGAGAGAGAGAGGCAGTGTTGAAGGACTGACTGGGTAGTATGAAGAGAGAATAGAAGGAGTCATATCGCTTCTCATTTTTTTCTCTACCGGCGCATGGGTATGTTAGTGGATGGGTGGGTGTGAGTATTTTACAAAAATGGTAGCAAACTTTTTTGTCTACTGCTTTTTCCCCTTAATATATTACTGACATCTTAATATTATTAAATATTCTTCAGTAACATTTAATAGCTAATGTAACAATCTTTTATGTGAATGTAATGTTGCTTATTTAACCAGTTCACATTGAAGTGAACATAATGGTGCTAAATCATATTTGTAAATTGATTGTTAGCATATATCGGTTTCTTATTATTGCAAGGTTTACATCCTTAGTCTTCTGTAGTTTTTATACTATATGGAGACTCATGGGACATTCTACTGAGAAGAGATGTAAAGGCTTGGCAGTATAGATGGTTTTATTTTATTTTGTTGTTTAATTTCAGATATGAGCTTCCAGCCCCCTCCTCTGGTCAAAAAAATGACATTACTGCATGGCAAGAATGTGTAAACAATTCTATGGCCCAGTTAGAGCATCAAGCAGTTAGAATTGAGAATCTGGAACTAATGTCACAGCATGGATGTAATGCCTGGAAAGTATACAATGAGTAAGAACCTTTTTCTTCATCTTCTGTTTTTTTTGTTTTTTCTCTTTTCTTTCCATCTCACCCAAAGTTTTAGTACATTTTAAAAGTATGGGAGGTGCTGGGTGCAGTGGCTCATGCCAGTAATCCCAGCCCTTTGGGAGGCAGAGGTGGGTGGATTGCTTGAGGTCAGGAGTTCGAGACCAGCCTGGCCAACATGGTGAAACCCCATTTCTACAAAAAAAAAAAATACAAAAAATTAGCTGGGCATGGTAACGTGTGCCTGTAATCCCAGCTACTCTGGAGGCTGAGGCATGACAATTGCTTCAGCCTGGGAGGCAGAGGTTGTAGTGAGCCAAGATTTTGCCACTGCACTCCAGCCTAGGCGACAGAATGAGACTCTATCTCAAAAAAAAAAAAAAAAAAAGAAAAGAAAAAGAAAAGCCGGGCGCGGTGGTTTACACCTGTAATCCCAGCACTTCAGGAGGCCGAGGCGGGTGGATCACCTGAGGTCAGGAGTTTGAAACCAGCCTGGCCAACATGGTAAAACCGCATCTCTACTAAAAAAAAAAAAAAAGATTAGCCGGCCATGGTGGCGCTTCTGTAGTCACAGCTACTCAGGAGACTGGGGTAGGAGAATTGCTTGAACCTGGGAGGCAGAGGTTGCAATGAGCTGAGATTGTGCCACTGCACTCCAGCCACAGTGACAGAGCGAGACTCCATCTCAAAAAACAAACAAAAAAACCCCACAAAGTATGGGTAGGGGAAGTGTGATAAAAATAATATAGCTAGACTTTGTCTTGGGATTATGTTCTAGAACTGCAACCCATATGAAAGGCCACTATTTTGAAACCCACCTCAAAGTTCAAGAGTACTAACAGGACCTAAACCAAACTACGACATTTATTGTATAATATTGTAACAAAACTAGTTCTGAGGTCCCATTTGCAGAGCACCACTTGATAGAATGTTATCAAGCGTTGCTTAAACAGTTGATTCTCATTAGTCATGGGTTATGTTCTTTAAGTCCTATGAACACTGAATTAGCAAATACTGTACCATTTCTCCTAGGGGAAATATATACATATTCATGTGCACACATATACATATCTCTCAAATAGATTATAATCTTAAATCCTAAAATAAACTCATCCTGGTAGACTTCTTTATTTTATAAAAGAGAAAACAAAGTTGAGAAATGTAAAGTAACTTTCTTGAAACTGCCCCACTAACAGATCCCAGACTTGGAACTTGAACTTCATCCTCTGGTTATTTCTGTATGAGAGCTAAAACAAGAAGGCAAAGCACCTCCTTGTTCATCCTCAGCTGAAAATGTGCATGCTCAGCTGCTCAGATTTTTCACCACTGTGCACATGTCCATGAATGACTGCAAAACACTACAAGTAGTAATTTTGGGATTACAAATAAATTTGAGCAAGTATTTGTTGTCAAAACAAGCCACTGACATCCTGTTTCTGTTCCATGTAACTAGCTCTAGCTTTAGTATTTATTGTCTATCTAGAATTCAGATTCCTTGCTTGCAAAATTCCGTGGTTAGATTATCTGCATGGCCCCTTTGTGCCCTAAAATTTCCTGAGTGTCTATTCACAATTTAAGAGAAAAAGGCCACTGAACTTCATAACAGTATGTACAACTTTCGTTAGAGTATGTTTCCTGAAACATAGCTATATAAAATAAAGCAAAACCATGAAATGATAATACTGTTTCTCAAATCTTCAGAATTATGCATTTAATATTTGTAGCCACATAAAAATGATCCAGTGGACAAAATCCAGAATTTGGGAAACTCTACAAAGCCAACAACTAACTTTCTTTTATATATCTATATATTGCAAGGGGGGAAAAAGAAGAAAGAATGGGATTAGGGTGATTAAGAAATGTAAGCGACATCAATAAATCTGTTTCACAAAATGGAAAAATGTGATTCTTCTCAAGAAGCTTTATCTAATGGAAGAGATAATAAGTTTTATGCCAAGTAACCAATAGTCCATTTTTGGCAATATGGGGGCAAGTGCTACATTGTGTGCTGTGGTCTGTAAACTAAGCGTTAAGAGATGGGGCATTGCCAGGCGTGGTTCACGCTTATAATCCTAGTGCTTTGGGAGGCTGAGACAGGAGGATCACTTGAGGCCAAGAGTTTGAGACCAGCCTGGGCAACGTAAGTGAAACCCTGTCTCTATAGAAAACAATAAAAAAAATAGCCAGGTATGGTGGTACACACTTGTAGTCTGTTTCAAAAAAAAGAAAAAAAAAGATGGGGCATTAAGTTGAAGGTTGTTGAAGAAAGGTGAAATTGGGATGTTTAGAAGGAAACAAGGAAAACATTCCAGGAATGGAGAGCATAGATGCAGAGGAAAAAATATGACATTGAAAAGAACACTGCTGTCAACTTACCTGAAAACCTTTAATAATTCCCTATTACCTGCAAGGTAGAGGCCAAGTTTTTTTTTTTTTTTTTTTTTTTTTTTTTGGAGGTGGGGGCGGGGGGCGGGACAGAATCTTGCTCTGTCGCCCAAGCTAGATTGCAGTGCCACAATCTCAGCTCACTGCAACCCTCCCGGGTTCAAGCAACTCTTCTGCCTCAGCCTCCAGAGTAGGTGGGATTATAGACACCACCACGCCTGGCTAATTTTTGTATTTTTTGTGGAGACGGGGTTTCACCATGTTGGCCAGGCTGGTCTTGAGCTCCTGGCCTCAAGTGATCCTCCAGCATCAACCTCTCAAAGTGCTGGGATTACAGGTGTGAGCACCCGGCTGGGCCAGGCTTTTTAACGTGGTATTCAAGGGCTTTTCCTTACTACCTCAACTGTAGACTTTTAACTCAACCCAAACTAGTCCTTTCTCTGGTGATTATTGCAAATCCTGCCTCTGGGCCTTTACTTGCCCTTGTCTTTACCTGTTATACCCAAATTCAGCTTGTTTAGGGCTCAGCTCTAGTTTGCTTACTTGTCTTCTTCCCTGATTGAAATTCTGCTTCTAGTATTGTCTCCCTCTTCTGAGTAACTATACACAGAATTATTGTGCACATCACTTGTTTTCCATTTAATCACAAAGTGCTCTATAGTGCTTCACATTCCCCTAAGCATATTTTGTCTCCTCCAAATTCAGTGGACACTTCTCCAGAGGAGATGTACTATATTTTATCAAAGTATATTTAAGAGGAAGGGTGGGAGAAGGGAGAAGACAAACTAAACTTTCAGGGAGAGCCAATTCAAAGGAAAGCTCCCTGTTAGTGGTCAGAAGTCTGGAATAGAGCACTAAAATCAATAGTGCTCAGCATGGAGTGATTGTCGAAGTCAAGGAAAGGGGGATGACCTGAGGGAAAGCCTAGAGAGGCACAGCTGTTTAAAGACTGAATCTTGAGAGAATTGCAGCTAATGCAAGGAAACCAGTCAGTAGAGGTAGGAGAATAACTCAGGTGAGCAACAGAAAATTTGAGTCACAAAAGCCAGGAAACAATATTAGATTTAGAGCAAGAACACATTAGGGCCAGATGTGGTAAAAATGGACCCTGTAGGTGATTGATCCACTGCCTTAAGAGGAAATTGATATGATGTGGAATTATATCTTAATAAAGTTGTTATTTAAACTTAAAAAAGAGATTAAAATCTGTTTCATTACTTCTCTAAAATAATTATATGGTACTCTGTATTATTGAACTTTTCCCCTGTGCTAGTTACAGCTGACCTGGACTGGTATCTATTTTTTATTTTGCTATGCATATGTTACATGCAAATATGGACTGATATCTCATTCTACAACAGTTTTCTTTTTCTCACCTCTCTCTAGTTAGCAGTAGACAGGAGGAGAGAATGACAAGGTGAATGTATATGCAGAAATATAGAGATAAAAGGGGGTTGAGAAATAAAATAAGTGGGTACTCAGATATATTCCATCTTTTCTATGACAAGAAGTCATGACAGTTTAAGAAGTGACAAAAGGCCGTGTGGCTCACACATGTAATTCCAACACTTTGGAGGCTGAGGTGGGGAGATTGCTTGAGCCCAGGAGTTCAAGACCAGCCTGGACAACGTGGTGAAACCCTGTCTCTACAAAAAAGTAATGAAAATTAGCCGGGCATGGTGGCTTATGCCTGTAATCCAAGCTACTTTGAAGGCCTGAAGTGGGAGGATCAGTTGAGCCCAGGAGGTTGAGGCTGCCATGATTGCACCACTACACTCCAGCTTGAGCAACAGGAGAGCAAGACTCTGTCCCTCCCCTCCGCAAAAAAAAGCTGGGTACAGTGGCTCACGCCTGTTATCTCAGCACTTTGGGAGGCCGAGGCAGATGGATCACTTGAGGTCAGGAGTTCGAGACCAGCCTGGCCGACATAGTGAAACCCCATCTCTACTAAAAAAAAAAATACAAAAATTAGCAAGGCATGGCAGTACATGCCTGTAATCCCAGCTACTTGGGAGGCTGAGGCAGGAGAATCTCTTGAACCAGGAAGCAGAGGCTGCAGTGAGCTGAGATCTCACCACTTCGCTCCAGCCTGGGCAACAGAACGAGACTGTCTCAAAAAAAAAAAAGTAACCTAAGTACTCCAAGATCAGGCAGGGCATGGTAATCCCAGCAGTTTGGGAGGCCAAGGTGGGAGGATTGCAGCTCCTTGGGAGGCTGAGGCAGGAAGATTACTTGATCATGGGAGGTGAAGGCTGCAGTGAGCCATGATCACACCACTGCATTCCAGCATGAGTGACAGTCCTCGATTATGGAGTGTCCAACATAGTTCTTGGCACAGAGCTCCATAAATATGATTTTTGGCAGAAAAACTTGAAAAAGTTCACTTTTAATTGGTACTATTTTAATGTATTTTAATCTGATTTTCCTCTTTTCCTTCAGAAATCTAGTTCATATGATTGAACACGCACAGAAGGAACTTCAGAAGTTAAGGTAAATTGTTTTTTCCTATTACAGAATGAAGTTTAAGTGAACCTTTAATAAATAGAAAATAGGAGGAAAAAGAAAGCAAAGAGACTGCAGCCAGATGAAAGTAAACAATTGATCCACTCTCTTTGTTCAACATCTGACACTGGGTTTGCCCTACCTAAGTAGAGGAGAAATAGGCCTGAGGTCTGAAAACATCTCTGCCACTTGCAGCTTGCAAGTCTGCAAACATAGAAAGGCACTTTTAGAGTGGGAAAAGTTGCAGAATAACACATATAATCTGATTTTTAAAACCAATTTCTACACACACATATAGGAAAGCCTGGAAGGACACCCAGCAAAAACTCAACAGGAGTTATCAGGAAAAAGGAGACATGCATGAGAGGGGGGACTTGAGACTTGTAATCTGTGTGTGCTTGTGTGTGTGTGTGTGTGTGATTTCTCACAATGAGCATGTTTTATGAAACTTGTAATCAAAAAATAATTAGAAGAAAGGTAATTTCTACAGTTAGCCTATAACTGTACATAATATTGTTCTCATGGGATTAAGATATTCTCTTGTGTTATAGAGTTTTCTGTTGATTTAGGTCTTACATTAAAATGTAATTGGGTTGTATAAATAATTTTTTACAGAAAACATATTCAAGATTTAAACTGGCAGAGAAAGAACATGCAACTCACAGCTGGATCTAAATTGAGAGAAATGGAGTCAAAGTGAGTATCTATAATTCCATCATCTTTTAAATTGTTTAGCCCTTTCTAAGGTCGATTCAATAATATGATTCAAATAGCATTCAAATGGGATGCCACAGGTAACAAAGAAATGCTATTTTCTGAATTCACCCTTCCCCGTCTCTGCCTCTTTATAAGGTGTTAAAGAGAACTATAAACGAGAATTGAACCATTGGCGAAGGATCCTTTGCTAAATTGAACCATTGCTAAAGGATTCTGGTCTTAGAATACCCTGTTTTTAGTCTAGTATTTTTGGCCTTGAATAGAACTCTACCTTTATTCTCCTTTTAAACGGAAAAAAAAAAAAAATAGGCACGGTGGCACATGTCTGTAGTCCCAGCTACTCTGGAGGCTGAGGCAGGAGGATTGCTTAACCTGGAAGGTTGAAGCTGCAGTGAGTCATAATCACACCACTGCACTCCAGCCTGGGCAACAGAGCAAGACCTAGTCTTTAAAAAAAAAAAAAGGAAAAAAATTATTTTATAAAATCTTGTAGGGAGGGAGATTTCATACTTGGTAATTTTTTTGTACCTCAGGTTTATGCATTTTTAAAAATGTTCTTTTACATACACACATGTATACCTTTATACAATATAATCTTGAATATTTGTGTCATTTCTCTCTTCCTTTTTGCTTGGCCATTCCCTTTCTCCCTTCATTACTCAAGTCATTCTTGTTCCACCGTCTCCATGTACGTCTTACCAGTCTCGTTGGTACCCTTTCACGCTTTTTCCTCAATTTAATAAACTATTGCCTCTTTCCTTTTTGTTGATTAAATACTATCTTCATCACTCTTTCCTCTTTCTTCTGGTTTGCAAGTTCTCTCATCTGTTTCTAATTTGCTTTTTTATTAAACTTTTATTTTTAGATAATTATAGATTCACATGCAATTGTAAGAAATAATACAGAGAGCCAGGTGTGGTGACTCACATTGTAATCCTAGTGCCTTGGTAGGCCAAGGTAGGAGGATTGCTTGAAGCCAGGAGTTCAAGCCAGCCTGGGCAACATAACGAGACCCTGTCTCTACAAAAAAATGCTTTTAAATGAGCCAGGCATGATGGCATGCACCTGTAGTCTAAGCTCTTCAGGAGGCTGAGGTTGGAGGATTGCTTGAGCTCAGGAGTTCCAGGCTAGTGAGCTGTGATCACACCACTGCATTTCAGCCTAGGCAACAGAGCAAGACCCTGTCTCTGGAAAAAAAAAAAAAAAAAAAAAAAAGAATACAGAGAGATTCCATGTACCCTTTACCTACTTTTCCACAATTGTGCCTTGATTTTTTTTTAATGGAAAGTTGAAAGTGAAGGTTAGGCCAGGCATGGTAGCTCATGCCTGTAATCCCAGCACATTAGGAGACCGAGGTGGGTGGATCACCTGGGGTCAGGAGTTTGAGACCAGCCTGGCCAACGTGGTGAAACCCCATCTCTACTAAAAATACAAAAAAGTAGCCAGCTGTGGTGGCGTGTGCCTGTAATCCAGCTACTCGGGAGGCTGAGTCAGGAGAATCCCTTGAACCCGGGAGGCGGAGGTTGCAGTGAGCTGAGGTTGCGCCATTGTTCTCCAGCCTGGGCAACAAGAGCGAGACTCCGTCTCAAAAAAAAAAAAAAAGTGAAGGTTAGTGTTATAGCTCTGGGTGAACATGTGTATACATTTAAAATAAAATCTTCTAAGAGAAGTTTTACATTGAGTAATTTTTTTCTTTTCTTCCCCCCCATTCTAGTTGGGTATCCCTGGTCAGTAAGAATTATGAGATTGAACGGACTATTGTTCAGCTAGAAAATGAAATCTATCAAATTAAGCAGCAACATGGAGAGGCAAACAAAGAAAACATCCGGCAAGACTTCTGAAAAGACAATTTAGCAGGTAGAAGAAAAGTTGGGCTTTCACAAAAGGCATCTGAACTTTTAATGAACTTTGAAGGACAACAGCATCTTCCCAAAACCATTGATGTTTAAGTGTTTAGAAATCATAGAAGGTGTAGGCTGCTGTGGTAATTCTATTTGTATATCTCAACAGAATTAAAATGTCTAGCTTGGTGGTATTTTTATAGCCATAAAAGAAAATCTTTAGGCTTTCAAAATAAGGATGACTTTAGAATAATATTGTGTCATAGAATTAATTTTCAGCCATGTGGACCATATTTTGTATCCAAGGATCCTTATTTAAAGCTTTCAACATGTACAGGAAGTTGGAAATTTTTGGTTTATGACTTTGTCTAATAAAGAGATAGTTCTAAACACATTCTTGATCACCAAACAACTTCAGAAAGACAGTGACTGTACAGTTATCATTATCATCATCATCGTCATCATCATAGGTAACAGTTATATCAAGCTTAATATGTGCTGAACATTGTTCTGAACACTTTAGGTAGATGAACTAGATGTATGTGAATAAAAATTATTTGGTCCTCACAAAAACCTCAGGAGGCGGTTACTGTTTTTCTCATATGTGGACATGTAACAGACACCAGTTAAATAACATAACTTGCCAGAGTTTTATAGCTGAAAGTGTCAGCTTTTTTATAGAAAGTTGTCAGTCAGGTTTTGAACCCAATAGTCCAGCTCCAGAGTTAATGTTCTTACTTCTCTACTTGTAAGGAATTAAATTGTGTAAAAGATTCCTGCCCAATTCAGAAAAAATATTTGCAACATATCAAAAGGTAGTGTTGCTAGGTGTGGTGGCTCACGTCTGTAATCCCAGTGCTTTGAGAGGCTGAGGCAGGAGGATCACTTGTGTCCAGGAGTTCAAGGCCACCATAAGCTATGATTGTGACACTGCACGCCAGCCTGGGTGACAGAGCAAGACCCTGTCTCAAACGAAGCAAGGTAGTCTTAATGTATAAAGACTGACTGAAAATTATTGCAAGGTCAGTGGCTCACACCTGTAATCCCAGCACTTTGGGAAGCTGAGGTGGGCAGATCACGAGGTCGAGAGATCGAGACCATCCTGGCCAACATGGTGAAACGTCATCTCTACTGAAAATACAAAAATTAGCTGGGCATGGTGGCATGCGCCTGTAGTCCCAGCTACTCGGGAGGCTGAGGCAGGAGAATCGCTTACACCCAGGAGGCAGAGGTTGCAGTGAGCCGAGATTGCACCACTGCACTCCAGCCTGGCGACAGAGTTAGACTCTGTCTCAAAAAAAAAAAATTACTGAGAGGTGTTCATCTCAATAACTGATAAATATAAATTTGAAAAATCTAAAAATTATTTTTCAATTTTGAAAAAATAAAAGGATGTTCATTATAATACAAAATAAACCTAGAACTTTTTGATCTGTGATATTGATAAATGGTTAGTACTTTCGAAAGTACCTTAATACAATTGAGAGCCCCATTTCTTTTTGTTTGTTTGTTTTGTTTTGTTTTGCACTTGTTGCCCAGGCTGGAGTTCAATGGTCTGATCTTGGCTCACCGCAACCTCCACCTCCTGGGTTCAAACAATTCTCCTGCCTCAGCCTCCTAAGTAGCTGGGATTACAGGCATGTGCCACTTCGCCCGGCTGATTTTGTATTTTTAGTAGAGACGGGATTGCTCCATGTTGGTCAGGCTGGTCTCAAACTCCCTACCTCAGGTGATCTGCCCAAGTCAGCCTCCCAAAGTGCTGAGATTACAGGTGTAAGCCACCACGCCTAGCGAGAGCCACATTTCTGTGTTGAAGATAGGGATTGTAGGAATGAACGCATATGGAGTGTTGTCATCCATCTCTTCATTGCCCACCCTCGAACTTCTCTCAGAAGGAAATTGGAAGAGTTGTGGAGTATCTGACCAGCCTAAGAGAAAAGACCTACTACAGTTGTTGAAATTGAGAGTTTCCCAACAAATGACCAAGCCAGGACACAGAGCAGAGAGGCTCAACAAACCACCCCGCAACCAACACAGCTTCTAAACCGTGCTTTAGCTCCCGACTTTTAAACATGAATAGACAGTTGAGGATCACCAGATAAGGCAGTTCTACATTGTGAAAGATAAGGAGTAAAACAAATCTGGGAAAGACTATGGAGAAATAGATGATGCAAGAAGAAAAAAATTGTTTTTAAGAAATATATCCTCAGGTTGGGTGTGATGGCTCATGTCTAAATCCCAGCACTTTGGGAGGCCAAGGTGGGAGGATAACTTGAGCCCAGAAATTTGAGACTAGCCTGGGCAACGTAGTGAGACCCCCATCTTTACAAAAAATAAAAGAATTAGCCAGACATGGTGTTGTGCGCCTATAGTCTCAGCTACTTGGGGGGCTGAGGGAGGAGGATTGCTTGAGTCCAGGAATTCAAGCCTTTAATGAACTATGATTGTGACACTGCACTCCAGCCTGAGTGACAGAGCCGGACCGTGTCTCAAAAAAAAAATCCTCAGAGGAGATACTGCAGCCATAATAATATATAAGATGTTATTAAGAAACAGAACAAAACAGCTTGTCGAAATTAAAAAATATGGTAGCAGGAATTAAAATTCAATGGGAAAGTTAGGAATTAAAGTTGACACACTCAAAGAAAGTGGAGGCAACAAAGACAAACATGGAAAACAGAGAAGAGAAAATAGGAGGACTGGTCTGGAAAGTCAGTAGCCGAATAACCTGAGAAAACAGGAGGGAAGAAGTCATCAAAATAATTCAGAATTTTCCAGAACTGATTGATTGATAGAATTTCCAGAGTCAAAAGGTCACTGCACAATGGATGAAAATAGACCAACTCCGGAGCATGTTACTTGTGAGATATGAGAACACCCAAGCACACGAAGATTCTGCAGGCGTGTAGGGGGGACGGAGGGGCGGATTGTTACATATAAAGGATCAAGAATCAAAATGTCTTCACGCTTCTCAACAACATCTTTGGAAGCTAGAAAGAAGATAATGTAGAAGTGCCTTTGGAATTCTTACAAAAAATTATTTCCAACCTAGAACTCTTTACATAGCCAAATTATAAGCCAAGGGTTATGGTAGAATAAAGACACTTGGAGATATATGAGATCTCAAAAGCATTTACTTCCTGAATATCATTTCTCAAGGGGCTGCTGAAGGATGTGTGCTCTTCCAGCCAAACACAGGGAAGCAGTGACGGGACTCTTCCAAAGAGCTTGGTGAAGGGCTGTCTGTCAGGATTATATATGTACACTCCGTAGAAGGCAACGGGTTCAGATTGGAACACTGTGGCTCATGAGAGCTGTCATCACAAAGATGGCTGCTATCGTTGTACCATCATTTTACACTGAGAAACAGCCCAGGGGAAAACTGGCCCACAATCTGACCGTGTTCTTCCCCACCACACGCAGGTTATTGGGATGCAAGTGGTGGTTGGTTACATGAGTAAGTTATTTAGTGGTGATTTGTAAGATTTTGGTGCATCCATCACCCAAGCAGTATATGCTGCACCCCATTTGTAGTCTTTTATCCATTGCCCCACTCCCACCCTTTCTCCCGAGTCCCCAAGACTGTGTTCTGTGTTCTAATGAAGTTCCTGTTCCTTCTTTGACCTGCTGGAAATGTTCTACTATGTACCTACTCTTGGAGAGCTTGCAAGTAGAAAATTCATAGGAGTTCATCCCTGAATTTATGCCTGCCAAATGCATGTTCCAGCCTGGCCAGAAACCCCAACAATATTAAGCCCTTTGTTTCCAAGAAATCACTTAAAGCTTTGTTCCCTCACTTCCCCAGAATAGGCTTTGTGACTGTCAGGGAAGCTGAAGCCAGACCAGCTTATTTTTCCTTGGGAGCTTTCATCCAACCATTGAAATTGTGCCTTTTATTTACAAAGGTAGGCTGTGCTTACTTCACAGTTTTTATATTAATTACCTTTCATATTCATTTACATGTAGATAGTTGTGGAAGGCTGCAAAATGGCCCCTAAAGATGTCCAGATCTTAATCCCTGGAACCTGTTAATGTGTTACTTTCCATGGCAAAAGAACTTTGCACATGTGATTAAGGCTCTTAAAGTGAGATTATCCTGGATTATTTGGGTAGATCCAATGTAATCCCAAGGGTCTTTTTTTTTTTTTTTTTCAGGATCTCATAGTAAAGTTTAAGGAAAATGGTGCATGCTAAATTTGGATACATATCAAGTTTTTGGGTTTTTTTTAATATATATTTTTTATTATACTTTAAGTTCTAGGGTACATATGCACAACGTGCAGGTTTGTTACATATGTATACATGTGCCATGTTGGTGTGCTGCACCCATTAACTCGTCATTTACATTAGTTATATCTCCTAATGCTATCCCTCCCCGCTCCCCCTACCCCACAACAGGCCCCGGTGTGTGATGTTCCCCTTCCTGTGTCCGCGTGTTCTCATTGTTCAATTCCCACCTATGAGTGAGAACATGCGGTGTTTGGTTTTTTGTCCTTGCGATAGTTTGCTGAGAATGATAGTTTCCAGCTTCATCCATGTCCCTACAAAGACATGAACTCATCATTTTTTATGGCTGCATGGTATTCTATGGTGTATATATGCCACATTTTCTTAATTCAGTCTATTGTTGGACATTTGGGTTGGTTCCAAGTCTTTGCTATTGTGAATAGTGCCACAATAAACATGTGTGCGTGTGTCTTTATAGCAGCATGACTTACAATCCTTTGGGAATATACCCAGTAGTGGGATGGCTGGGTCAAATGGTATTTCTAGTTCTAGGTCCCTGAGGAGTCGCCACACTGTCTTCCACAATGGTTGAACTAATTTACAGTCCCACCAACATGTGTTCCTATTTCTCCACATCCTCTCCAGCACCTGTTGTTTTCCTGACTTTTTAATGATGGCCCTTCTAACTGGTGTGAGATGGTATCTCATTGTGGTTTTGATTTGCATTTCTCTGATGGCCAGTGATGATGAGCATTTTTTCATGTGTCTTTTGGCTGCATAAATGTCTTCTTTTGAGAAGTGTCTGTTCATATCCTTTGCCCACTTGTTGATGGGGTTGTTTTTCTCTTGTAAATTTGTTTGAGTTCTTTGTAGATTCTGGATATTAGCCCTTTGTCAGACGAGTAGGTTGCAAAACTTTTCTCCCATTCTGTAGGTTGCCTGTTCACTCTGATGGTAGTTTCTTTTGCTGTGCAGAAGCTCTTTAGTTTAATTAGATCCCATTTGTCAATTTTGGCTTTTGTTGCCATTGCTTTTGGTGTTTTAGACATGAAGTCTTTGCCCATTCCTATGTCCTGAATGGTATTGCCTTGGTTTTCTTCTAGGGTTTTTATGGTTTTAGGTCTAACATTTAAGTCTTTAATCCATCTTGAATTAATTTTTGTATAAGGTGTAAGGAAGGGATCCAGTTTCAGCTTTCTACATATGGCTAGCCAGTTTTCCCAGCACCATTTGTTAAATAGGGAATCCTTTCCCCATTTCTTTTTTTTTGTCAGGTTTGTCAAAGATCAGATGGTTGTAGATGTGTGGTATTATTTTTGAGGGCTCTGTTCTGTTCCATTGGTCTATATCTCTGTTTTGGTACCAGTACCATACTGTTTTGGTTACTGTAGACTTTGGGGGCAGGGCATAGCCAAACAAAAGGCAGCAGAAACCTCTGCAGACTTAAATGTCCCTGTCTGACAGCTTTGAAGAGAGTAGTGGTTCTCCCAGCACGGAGTTTGAGATCTGAGAACGGACAGACTGCCTCCTCAAGTGGGTCCCTGACCCCTGAGTAGCCTAACTGGGAGGCACCCCCCAGTAGGGGCAGACTGACACCTCACACGGCCAGGTACCCCTCTGAGACGAAACTTCCAGAGGAATGATCAGGCAGCACCATTTGCTGTTCTGCGGCCACTGCTGCTGATACCCAGGCAAACAGGGTCTGGAGTGGACCTCCAAGGGTCTTTTTAAGAGGGAGGTAGAAGGTGGAAGGTTAGAGAGGAGAAAGGTTGCTAACCTGCAGGCCTTAAAGATGAAGGAAGGGGACCATGAGCTGAGGAATGCAGGTGGTGTCTAGAAACTAGAAAAGGCAAGGAAACAAATCTCCCATCAGAGTGTTGGCCAGGAGAAACTGCTTTGCGGACCCACTTTGTTCTGACTTTCAGAATTGTAAGATGATAAATATGTTTTGCTTGAAACCACCCACTTTATAGCAATTTGCTACGGCACTGATAGGAAACTAATACAATAGTTGGTAAAGAGTGATGATAAATGTTGAGGAAACTAATACAATAGTTGATAAAGAATAATGATAAATGTTTGATTTAACATGGTGAAAAATCTACATATGTTTATTATAGGCAAATCAGAAAATGCAGATAAAAAGAAAATGAAAATTATTCATAAGACTGCCACTCAAGGTACTATGTTTATTTAGTGCCAGAAGAACACAGAAACCACATTTCATTTAATTTCAATACAAATTTGTTGGATACCATAGAATCAAAAATAAGTTGGACTAATGGGACACTCTGTAAACCTGTTCATGAACAGAAGTTTCTATTTCTGTTTCACCCTGCTTTCTACCCTGAGAACTAAGATTTATTATATTAGACCCACTTCACTTCCTCTATCCTTAGAAGTCTATTTCTGGATATTAGAAGTCTGTTTGCAAGTGACAGAAAGCTAACTAAAACTACCTTAAGCAGTAAAGGGGGATTTATTGGTTCATTTAATTTGTAAGCACAGAGGTGGAACTAGCTGCATCGTCAACTAAATCCAGGGATTCCAGTTGGGCATGGTGGCTCATGCCTGTAATCCTAGCACTTTGGGGAGGTTCAGGCAGGAGTTTCAGGCTGCAGTGAGCTATGATCACACAGCTGACTCCAACCTGGGTGACAAAGTGAGACCCTGTCTCAAAAAAAATTTTTTTTCAATAAATAAAATATAAAAAATAATTCCAGAGATCCCGTGTCGTCCTGTTTTTCATCTCTCTGTTTCTCTTTCTGGCCATATTGTCTCCTACAAATAGGCTTCCTCTATACAACAGAGGCCAAAGCCACAGGCAGCTCCAGACTTACATCATCTCAGTTTAGCAGCCTTAGAAGGAAGCAAATATATCAGTATATATTATTTCAGAGGATTTTGATTGATGTGCTCTAAATTTCACGTTCAGTCCTTAGAGTCAGAAGTATAGCTAGGACTTGGGGGCACTGTGATTGGCCAGATATCGATCATATACCTGTAGAATTGAGGGTAGAGTACTATGCTTGGCAGTTGATTGGATTGGAGTAATAGCTCCCCAAAGTAAGATAGGATGGCGCTTCTATCAGGAGAGGAAGTAGTTGGGCAGATAATGACAACATGTCTATTACACCCTGGATCTTACCTGAGTTAAGAGGCAACCCCTTGGCCAGGAGCAGTGGCTCGCGCCTGTAATCCTAGCACTTTGGGAGGTGGAGGGGAAAAGATCACTTGAGGCCAGCAGTTCAAGACCAACTTGGCCAACATAGTAAGACCTCGTCTCTATAAAATAGAGAGAGAGAGGTAACCCCTTTCACTTAGCTGGCCCAGTATGATAAACAGTTCACCCAACTACTCCCTAGGATTTTTTTCTTTCTAAAGAAAAATATAATAGGTTATATTTATTATGGCATAATTTTAGTAGTGGAGAACTGGGATGGTCTGTCTGTTTCATAGTTTGTGCTGGGAAATAGCCATAAAAGTCAATAAGCTGGCTATTGTGGTTTGTTGAGAGATGTGGGCCAAGTAATTTGTTATTCACTGTAACTTAAGATCTGCAGTTTTTAGCTGGGCACGGTGGCTCACACCTATAATCCCAGCACTTTGGGAGGCTCAGGTGAGAGGATCGCTGAAACCCAGGAGTTTGAGACCAGCTTGTGACCTACATAGTAAGACCCCTATCTTAAAAAAAAAAAAATTAAATGAATAAATAAATAAATAACCTGCAGTTTCGTTTTTGTGTTTTGAGACAAGGTCTCTCTCTGTCACTCAGACTGGAGTGCAATGGTGCAATCCTGGCTCACTGCAACCTCTGCCTCCCAGGTTCAAGTAATTCTCCTGCCTCAGCCTCCCGAGTAGCTGGGGTTACAGGCACATGCCACCACGGCTGGCTAATTTTTGTGTTTTTAGTAGAGATAGGGTTTTGCCATGTTGGCCAGGGTGGTCTGAAATTCCTGTCCTCAAGTATTCCACCCGCCTTGGCCTCCCAAAGTGCTGGGATTACAGGTGTGAACCACACCCAGCCAAAACCTGCAGTTTTTAATAACTTTCTTTCTAAATATATCATACAGATTCAAGATGATCCCTATGCATATCTCACTTGGTTGTATTTTTACATGTCTTTGAGAAGGAAAGGGGTAAACCCAGAACTTGTTGTCTCAGTGACTTACTGTAGCAGGGACTACATACTTGCCCCTCTAATATATGTTATCCTCTCCTATAATAATAGAAGTTTTAGCTGGGCATATGGATGCTCAACTAAAAACTTAACTGCTAGCTTCCCATCCAACCATGTACATATGCTGTGTGACTAGGTTGTGTCCAATGAGATAGGAACTGAAGTGATGTGTGCAACTTTCAAGTTCTGCTTTTAGTTACCACATTTTACCAACCAGAAATCTTTTTTTTTTTCTTGAGACGGGGTCTCACTCTGTTGCACAGTCTAGAGTGTGGTGGCACAATCTCAGCTCACTGCAGCCTCAATCTCCCGGGCTCAAGTGATTCTCCCTCCTCAGCCACCCGAGTAGCTGGGATTACAAGCAGACGCCACCATGCCCAGCTAATATTTCTGGTTTTTGTAGAGATGGGGTTTCATCATGTTGCCCAGGCTGGTCTCAAACACCTGGGCACGAGTGACCCACCCACCTTGGTCTCCCAAAGTGCTGGGATTCCAAGTGTGAGCCACCACACTCAGCCAACAGTTTCTCTAACATATTTTTTTTTCTCTAGATCTTAAAAACATTTGGTCAAGGAATTTAGATATGGACTTTAAGGGTACATAATTCAGGATAATAAAAAGCTCAGCTTCATCTTAGCTCAGTGTTCCCTTCTTCCTCCACACTTTACAACTAAATGCATTCAAAGGAATACGCTATTGATGTGTGTACAACAAAGTGGTCTTAAATTGAATTCTGTCAATGGCCATATATATTAGACTTTTGCTTATAATTACAATTAAATTTTACCACTCACTAAAACTAGCCCTAAGAACATCTTCTTAGTCACACTTAAATGTTATTTGGCTTATTTTCTATTTTGGGCTTTTCACTAAGTTTCAAGATCTTCTTTTCAGTCTGCTATCTATTATGCTCTCCTACTTTTAAAAGAGGGCCTGCTTATTTCCTGTAGTATTCTTGTTTGACCATAGAGGGCACAAGGTCATTAAAAAGTGAAATAAATTACCCATGCAGCAGCAATTTATACCTGCCTGCTTTCCATTACATGACTTGAGAAAATTGAGATAATTAAATTTACTCTGATGTTTCATATATTGAAGGATCCTTGCATTTTTTTCAGAGTTTAAATTTAATCCCACATAGACTTCACTTTTATTGTTAAAATTATGAAGTGCGTCCAACTCACCAGAAGTCTAAAATAATTAGTCCTGCTAAATTGTTAAATTCACACTTTGGAGATTTGTAAAGAAACAGAGCTCTACTTTATATAGAGTAGCAATTACCTTGCCACCTTAAATCTCAATTTCTAACAAAAAATAAACAATAGTGGATACTTATGAGTTCTAGTTATTACAATTCTTTTGGATTACTTTGTTCCATTTTTTTAAATGCAGTGCTAGTATACCAATAACACAGGAAAAACAGATTAGAAAATTAGAAACTACAGTAGCATAAAACAATGAAAATTGTAGCATAATAAATTTTTATCATGAGTAATTATACAAATTCCCAGTTTCCTTCCAAACTCACTGAGTTTAGTCAATTATAAAAAGGGACTTTATAAAGAAATCAACTATCTTTAATACATCAGAGCCTTTTGTGACATAATAGAGTATAACACAATGAGCACATCTTTTTATGTTAATACCAACTAATCAATTGTAATTGGTATAATTACTACTTTGCTATTTTCTCCTAGTATTCATTATTGCTGAATACATAATTACAGCACAGGATATAATTTATTCTTTGGCAATCTGTCAATTACAGACCCAGCATTTTCAATATATTTCCCTTTACAGAATTTGTTGTATTATAAAGAATGCCATATAAACCCATCTATTTCCATATTAAAAATTTGATAATTTCAGTGAGCACTGAATGTTATTTGTCTCTAAAACTGTATCTCTTAATCGTGTTGAGGAAAGTACATTTTACTTTATTTTTTATTATGGTTTTATTTTTGCCCTTTGCAAACAGAGGAAAGGACATTTTTAAAAACCGATGTCATAAGGACAAAAAAGTGATGTAGGAGCCAGGCAGGGTGGCTCATGCCTATAATCCCAGCTACTAGGGAGACTGAGGTGGGAGGATTGCTTGAGCCCAGGAGTTCAAGGCTACAGTGAGCCATGATCATGCCACTGTACTCCAGCCTGTGCAACAGAGCAAGATCCTGTCTTTAAAAAAAAATTAATTAATTAAAAATTTTAAAAGGACATAGACCATTGGAAATATAGACGGACAATTTCTCGTTTTTCACCCTTCATCTTTCCCTCTTAAGAGCTACCAGACGGGCACAGTGGCTCATGCCTGTAATCCCAGCACTTTGGGAGGCCAAGGCAGGTGGATCACGATGTCTGAAGTTCAAGACCAGCCTGGCCAACACGGTGAAACCCCATCTCTACTAAAAATACAAAAATTAGCTGGGCATGGTGGCCAGCACCTGTAATCCCAGTTACTCAGGAGGCTGAGGCAGGAGAATCGTTTGAACCTGGGAGGCGGAGGTTGCAGTGAGCCGAGATCACGCCATTGCACTCCAACCTGGGCAACAAGATCAAAACTCCATCCCCCCCGCCCCCCAAAAAAGCTGCAAGACCAATTGTCTCAGCAAGATGTTTTGCAGGGGTACTTTGATGTTCTGAACACTCTGAGGTAACCATTCTAACAATGCTGATCACTTTATTACCACCAACTTTACAATTTTTTTTGCCCATTTTTATTCCAAGTTTTAAATTTCTGAACTTTGTTCTAAAGCTTTTAAACTAAAGGAGAGTAATGTGCTTAGCTGAGAGCTGCCTGATAGTGTCATAGTTGGTGATTTTTTTTTTAAGTAGTGCTAAGTGCCAAGTATATAGATTAAGATATTTTGGATAAACGCAAAAAAAAAAAATCAAATGGTGTCACAGTTTCTTTGTGATCCAAAACAACACTCTGTAAAATTTCCAGTTGTGGACTACCTCCGTGGAGTACCTGGTGTCTCCAAGAGTATTACTATACAAGACACTGAGCAATGCACTCCATCAACCTATGGTATATCCTGCTAAGACATAGTTACCACCAATTCATTATTTCCTTTTGATTGATATTCCTTACATATGCTTAGCTATTTGTATCTACTACTGTCTCCACAAAAACTGAACTGAATGTATAGTGCCAAAATGGGTGTGCGATTTTAGAGAGTGCAGGTTTTATAAAAGGTAGATCTTGGTGTTCTAAACTACAAATGTCAAAATTGTTAAAGAACATTCCTCACGCCAAAATCTGGGCTCATAAAATGTTTCTACAGTTTAATTGTTAAGTAGCATAGATGAAAAGTTGAGTACCACAGATGAAAAAGTTGAGTAGCATAGATGAAAAGTTGAGTGAAAAGTTGAGTGAACGTAATTATCATGTATGTTTCAGTTTGATTCCCCAGAAAACAGATGGAAATTAGAATGTAGGAAGTTTATTAGGAAGTATTCTTGGGATCAACACCTGTTGAGAGCAAAGGAAGCAGGATTGAGCAGGAGATGAACTGTGCTACACTTGCAACAAAGGCCTCAGCCAGGAGGCTCTGAAGCTAGGGGGAGGACACTTCAAGGTTTTTCTGAACTGGGGTGGGGAGGCTGGGCCTTTGTAAAGCTCATCAACCAGTCATTAATGTGCACTGCTCCTGGTAAGGTGGTGGGACATTAGGCAAAGTGGTTCTGTTCAGCTGAGCGCAAGTCCTGGAGAAGGACTTAGTTGAGAGTTGCCAGCCGTCTACTCTCCCAGAAGGTGGGGGCATGCATGCATGCATCAGACCTGGAGCGAGGTGATCTGGGCAGCACACCACAGCAGCCACTGTAGTGTGAAATTGGCGATGGGAAAACGTATCATAGCGATAGACATTTTGTGCAATAAAAATAGCTATCAATATATCCCGTACAATAAACATCACAAACCTGCCCAACAACCTACAGTAGCTCGCCACTGCTTCCATGTCTATTCTAAGTCCCAACTAAGTTATATAAGTTGATTAGTAAGGTAGGCCTTGTGCTACCTATCTAAAACCTTACTTCCCATGAATTCCCAGCCGAGGTCTTCAAGTTATCAGGTAGGTGAACTCATACCTTTATTTCTGCCCACATTATTCTTCTCTATCTGAATCCAGCCCAAGTCCACTCTCTTCCTCCACGAAGCTTCTATACACATATTATTACACCTTCCTTCTCTGGATTGCAGCCCACAGGCTATGCCACAAAATTCAACCCTTAATTATAAATGATCTCCATCTCCAGTGGGTTTTGTTTGTCCAGTTTTTTTGTTTTGTTTTGTTTCAGTAGCTGTGCAGAGACTAAGCTCCCCAGTAAACCGAAAATTCTTCTAACCAGGCATGGTTGTGCGTGTGTGTAACCCCAGCTACTTGGGAGGCTGAAGTGGGAGGATCGCTTGAGCTCAGGAGTTCAAGGCTGCAGTGAGCTAGGATTGCGCTACTGCACTCCAGCCTAGGTGACAGAGCAAGACTCCATCTCTAAAAACAAACAAAAAACTAAATTAAGAAAGCTCTTCTAGAGTAGGGGTTGTGCCTTTCTTTCCATAGCATCTATCATGTTAATGGGCACATGGTAGACACTGAATAGATTCAAAGGTTTAGAGACAAAAGTGATTTCAGAGATCACTTAGTCCAACCTGATTTTACAGGTGAGTTAACAGAGACTCAGATTAAGTTGTAATCCTACTTTGAACTCCCACATTACTTTGTTTGTACCTCTTTTATGGTATTTATTGCTTTCTGTTTAGTATTTTAATTATCTTCCTACCTGTTTTACCCATCTTTCTCTGTATTTTCATGGGCTATTTCTCTTCTTCTGCCCATTGCTTGAATGCTGGTGTTCCCTAAGGCTCTGTTTTGGATCAGCTAACCTGAGCAATCCATTCCCATAGACTTTAATTACCACCAGTGAAGTGGATGACTCACTAATCTGTATCTTTAGCCATATCTCTCTCCCCAGCAGTATTGCGACTGACAGCTCCACCTGGATGCTCTGCAAGATTCTCGAACTTGACTTGTTGTCCTTGACTCCTCCCTAATCCTTATATCCAACTGGGCACCAAATCCTATTCATTTACTTTGGAAATGGCACACTAATCCTGATCTGTGTATTCACTGCCACCTGTCATGAATTCAGGTCCTCCTCATCTCTGAATCATAGGAATAGTCTCTTCCTTGTTCTCCTTATAAACTTTCTTGTTCTACTAGTTAACCCTCAAAGCTGGTACCAAAGTAATCTTCCCCCAAAATTAATCTAATAAAGCCATTCCTTTGCTTAAAAATCATTGGCTCTTTGTTCCAATTTTTTTTTTTTTTTTTTTTTTGAGACAGAGTATCGTTCTGTTTCCCAGGATGGAGTGCAGTGGCATAATGTCAGCTCACTGCAACCTCTGCCTCCTGGGTTCAAGTGATTCTCCTGCCCCAGCCTCCTGAGTAGCTGAGATTAGAGGCACCTGCCACCAAGCCTGGCTAATTTTTGTATTTTTAGCCTAGACAGGGTTTTGCCATGTGGGCCAAGCTGGTCTCGAACTCCTGACCTCAAGTGATCTGCCTGCCTCAGCCACCCAAAGTGCTGGGATTACATGTGTGAGCCACTGCGCCCAGCCTGTTACCTAAAATTAAAATCTAAACTTCTTACCATGGCATACAAAGTTTTTAAGAGAAAGGCAGATAGTGGCCAGACATGGTGGCTCACACCTGTAATCCCAACACTTTGAGAGGCCAAGGCAGGAGGATCACTTATGCCCAGAAGTTTGAGACCAGCCTGGGCAATATAGTGAGACCCTGTCTCTATTTAAAAAAAATTAAATAAATAAAAGAAAGGCAGATAGTGAACCTAGCAGTGAAGTCAAACTGCCAGGAGTCAAACTGTCATTTAATAGCTATGTGATATCAGACAAGTTTATTTACTTCTCTGTGTCTGTTTTCCAGGTGGAAAATTAGCACAATAATTCTACTGTATCTGATAGGGTTGTTGTAAGAATTACATAAATTATTACACATTAAATGCATAGAACAGTGCCTGGCACATGTTAGATGCTGCTATTATTTCCAAATCTTGTAAATCTCGTCTGCCTGAACCCCTTCCTCAAACCATATTTAAATTTTCAGCCAGACGTGCTCATGCCTGTAATCTCAGGCATTAGAGATTTACACACCTGTAATCTCAACACTTTGGGAGGCCAAGGCAGGCAGATCACTTGAGGTCAGGAGTTTAAAGCTAGCCTGGGCAACGTAGCAAGATCCCGTCTCTACAAAAAAATAAAGTTATCTGGATGTGGGCACGTGCCTGTAGTCCCAGCTACTCAGGAGGCTGAGGCAGGAGGCCAGCTTCAGCCCAGGAGATCAAGGCTGCAGCGAGCTATGATCATGCCACTGCACTCCAGCATGGGCAACAGAGCAAGAATCCACATCTAAAAAAAGAAAAAGAAAAGAAAAAATTTCCTGTTTCTCTACACCCACCATGATGCATCCTTCCATTTTTTACCCATTTTCATGTGCTTTTTTCTTTCCTTGGAATACCTTCCCCACTTTGTTTCTTGATGAATTTATGTTTATCCTTCAAGGAAGAGGTTAAGGATAGTAGGCTCTCTGCAGTCTTCTCCATGATGCAGAGGTATATTCATCTTTATACAAATTTTTTAAGTTGCAGACATTTATCTCAAAATAGAGTAGGCTGGGCATAGTTGCTCACACCTGTAATCACAATACTATGGGAGGCCAAGGCAGGTGGATTGCTTGAGTCCAGGAGTTCAAGAACAGCCTGGGCAACATGGCGAGATCCTGTCTCTACAAAAAATAGAAATATTAGCCAGGCCTGGTGGCATGTGCCGGTAGTCTCACTTACTTGGGAAGCTGAGCTAGGAGGATCACTTAAGCCTGGCAGGTTGGGGCTGCAGTGAGCTGTGAGTGTGCCGCTGTACTGCAGAGACCCTCTCTCAAAAAAAAAAAAAAAAAAAAAAAAAGAGTAACTATTACCAAAAAAAAAAAAAAAAGGATGAAGTTGAGATATATGCTGGTAACAGAAAGATATTTGTGGTAGGCAGTTTCTACAGTGGCTCCCAATTCCTGCCTCCGATATTAACACCGTTGTATCATCTTTTGTGTGTGTGGGCTGGACCTAGTGACTTGCGTCTAACAAGTAGAATATGGCAAAAGTGATAGAGAGTCACTTCTGAGATTAGATGATAAGAGACTGACTTTCACTCTACTCTCACTCTCTGACTCTTGTGTTCCTTCTGATGAAGCAAGCTGCCATGTTGTGAACTGCCCTATGGAGAAGTCCATGTGGCAAGGAACTGAGGGTGGCCTCCAGCAGACAGCCAGAGCAAAACTGCACTCCGTGGTCCAATGGCCTGGGAGAAGGTGAATTCTGCCAACAACATGAGCAAGCCTGAGTCTACTGCAGTCCCAGGCGACACTTTTTCTTTTCCTTTCCTTTTCTTTTCTTTTCTTTTTTTTTTTTTTTTTTTTGAGACAGTTTCACTCTGTCACCCAGGCTGGAGTAAAGTGGCACAATCTCTGCTCACTGCAATGTACGCCTCCTGGGTTTCAAGCGATTCTCCTGCCTCAGCCTCCTGAATAGCTGGGATTACAGGCACCTGCCACCATGCCTGGCTAATTTTTATTTTTATTTTATTTATTTATTTTTTTTGAGACTGAGTCCCGCTCTGTCGCCCAGGCTGGAGTGCAGTGGTGCGATCTCAGCTCACTGCAACCTCCACCTCCCAGGTTCAAGTGATTCTCATGCCTCAGCCTCCCGAGTAGCTGGGATTCCAGGTGTATGCCACCACGTCCTGCTAATATTTGTATTTTTAGTAGAGACGGGGTTTCACCATGTTGGCCAGGCTGATCTCAAACTCCTGACCTCAAGTGATCCACCCACCTCAGCCTCCCAAAGTGCTGAGATTACAGGCATAAGCTACCGTGCCTGGCCTAATTTTTGTATTTTTAGTAGAGACAGGGTTTCTCCATGTTGGCCAGGGTGGTCTCGAAATCCTGGCCTCAAGTGATCTGCCCACCTCAGCCTCCCCAAAGTGTTGGAATTACAGGCGTGAGCCACCGGCCTGTTTTTTTTTTTTTTGAGCTGGGCTTTCACTCTATCACCCAAGCTGGAATGCAGTGGTGTGATCATAGTTCACTGCAGCCTTAAATTCCTGGGCTCAAGCAATCCTCCTGCTGGGCAACATTTTGACTTGCAGCCTTTTGAGAGATCCTGAAACAGGAGCCCCAACAAAGCCACATCCAGATTCCTGATCCATAGAAACTGTGAGATAATAAATGTTGTTTTAAGCCACCAAGGTTTGGAGCAATTTGTTATGCAGCATTAGATAACAAATAACAATACTATATTGCTAAGTGAAGGAAGTTGCAAAATAGCATATATATATATATACACACACACACACACTGTCGTCGCATTTGCACATAAAAACACAATTACATGTTTTTTCTATATAGTCACATCTCTTTTTACTAATTTTCACGTTAACTAAGAGGTTATTTGCATTTATGTAAGGTACATAGGGTAGACAAACTCATAGAGATAGAAAATGGAATGAGAGTTGCCAGGGGCTGGGGAAATGGGAAATGAGGAGTTGTTTAACAGGTAGAGAAGAGTTTTAATTAGAGACGATGAAAGTTCTTTGGATGGATGGTGCTGATGGTTGCACAACAATATGAATGTATTTAATGCCAGTGAACTGTACACCTAAAAATGTAGAAAATGGTAAATTTTACGTTACGTATATTTTACCATAATTTTTAAAAACCACAAAATGGGGAAAACATTTAAAATGAGACAATCTAATAATTTAAAAGGTTTTTATATATTACATTTTTTAAAAAAGATCCTATTCACCCTTTTTGAACAAATTCTAGTGTCTACATTGCAAAGGTTATCCTCTGACCAACTTAAAACTTAGGGTTTTAAGAGGGATGGTACGCCTGAAAAATCAGCCTTCTTTTCTCAAGTTCACATTCAGCAATGGGCTGGAGTTATCACCAATTACTTGCACTTAGTGAGCAGGCAGACACATAGCTACCATTTCCAGTGCTAGAGGGGAACCAAGGCTTTAAAAAAAACTCTAAGAGAATGGCAAGAGAGCTTCTTGAAAGATCTGATGGTATCTCAACCCTCATCAGGTAAATTCAGCAAAAGTCATCTGACCTCAGGGGGGAACCTGCAGAGCAGGGAAGCTGACCTCTCTATCTGAGTATGCGGCTGTGTCCTCTATGTTTTCAAGCTGTTAAAATTCTTGTGTGTTTACCTACATTAAAGAAACTTGTATTGTTGGCTTGGCTCTGTTGGTGTCTTTTAGTTAATCATACCATCATTGCTTTTTTTTTTTTTTTTTTAAGAAATGGTCTCGCTCTGTCGCCCAGGCTGGAGTGCAGTGGGACAATCTTGGCTCATTGCAACTTCTACTTCCCAGCTCAAGCGATCCTCCAGCCTCAGCCTCCCAAGTAGCTGAGACTACAGGTGCAAGCCACCACATCCGGCTCATTTTTTCAGTTTTTGTAGAGACCGGGTTTTGCCATGTTGCCCAGGCTGTTCTCCAACTCCTGAGCTCAAAGTGATTGGCCAGCCTTGGCCTTTCAAAGTGCTAGGATTACAGGTGAGCCACCATGCCCAGGCCATCATTACTTTTTTACATCTATACAGACTGGTATCAGAAGTGAAATTGGCTCAAAGTCCTAGCTCCTAAAGTAATTTGGGGGAATTTTTATGAAATGCAAGCAGAGATAAATGCTGCAAGATTTCTAGGATGGTTCTCAGATCATCCTTAGAGCAGGAACCCCAAAATGTTGTGACTTTTTATAGTAGAGAGGTATCAATTCACTGTCCACTCACATCTTGACTTCAAGTGGTTTGGCACAGTAAATTGAAAACATATAAACATTTGATGAGGCCAAAAACATAATCTATGGGTGCTTCTATCAGTTTTTGCTAGAGTAGCCCAGGTTCCTGGGGTTTTCTTCAGGTTCCCAAGGTTTTCTAAACAAGTTAACTAAGCTTATAAGAGAAGGAAATTATTAGCTGGGAGTGGTGGCACCTGCCTGTAATCCCAGTTACTTGGGAGACTGAGGCAGGAGAATTGCTTGAGTCCAGGAGGTGGAGGTTGCAGTGAGCCAAGATCACGCCATTGCACTCCTGGGCAACAGAGCAAGCCTGGGCAACAGAGCAAGACTCCATCTCAAAAAAAAAAAAAGAACGAAATTTAAACCAGTAGACACTGATATCTGGGATAAAAATACCTGAGTTAAAAAACTAGTGATTTGAAGAAAGACTGAGGACTCATTCAAGCCACAACTAACACTAGATTGAGCAACTTCTCAAGCAGAAACTGGGTAACCGCTGAGGCTGTGGAATTGAGAGGGGATGAGAGTGGTGCCAAAGTACGCTGACTCTCACTGGCCCCACCTTTCCTGGCAGTACCGAGAAAACCAAGGAGGAAGGGAGGTGAGCAAGTCATAGCTAAGGGGAAAATATTAAGTTAGAACAGCAATAGGACATTTTGGGGACACACTTGGGTATTACAGATTTACATAATATTGCATCAATTTTTTATTTCATGGGTAAGATAAAGGTATTGTGGTCTTCAAAGATACGTGCTGGAGTGTTTTAAGGATGAAGCGTTATGATGTTTAGGACTTACTTTCAATGGTTTCAGCAAGAAAAAAAGACATGCATAAATAGGAAGATAGATAATAGATGATAAGCATATATATATATATAACACAAATATAGCACAATACTAGCAACTGGATAAATCCAAGTGAAAAGTATGTGGGTGTTTATTATACTATCCTTTCATCTTTTCTGTAGGTTTAAAATTGTTCAAAATTAAAGTTTTTTTAAAATAATTTAAACTGCTGTGAATAGCTTTGTTTCAATATGTGTGAACTACTTTTGCTACTCTCAGAGACAAGGCTGAAATACATTATGACCTTGGAGCTCTGTCGTTTGTGAAAACTAACTGAAATTAAAAAAAAAAAAAAAATATATATATATATATATATATATATAGTAGAGGCTGGATGCAGTGGCTCATGCCTATAATCCCAGCACTTTGGGAGGCCAAGGCAGCACAATCACTTGAGCTCAGGAGTTCAAGAACAGCCTGACTAACATGGTGAAACCCCATCTCTACTAAAAATACAAAAATTAGCCAGGCCTGCTGGTGCTCACCTGTAGTCCCAGCTACTCAGGAGGCTGAGGCAGGAGAATCACTTGAACCTAGGAAGTGGAAGTTGCAGTGAGCTGAGATTGCGCCATCGCACAATTTGCATCGCACAATTTGCACAATCGCCATCGCACAAGTTGCAGTGAGCTGAGATTGCGCCAGCCTGGCCGACAAAGCGAGACTCTGTCTCCAAAAATAAAAAATAAAAAAATGGTGGAAAACTTCAAGCTAAAGAAAGTGAAGTGAATGTTTACATTTATTTCTACTACCTCCCAAAATCACACTACAACATTTAGTAAAAGTTTTTTGTTCTTTGTTTTGTTTCAAGGCATAAATCCACAAAGACAAAGAAAATGAGAGATGAGACAACAGCAAGAAATTGGAGAAGATGGAATGCAAATGGAAGAGGGGTAACTGATTCAACAGATGCAAAGAAGCTAAACCTTAAACCAACAGTGAGAAAGCAAAATATGAAAGTTAAAAAGCAGTTTTGTTTATCCACACAACCTTCTGGACCCAGGATTTGGTAGCACCAGTGACCTCTGGGAGTGGGGGTGACTGTGAGGTAAAAAGTGAAATTGGGCCAGGTGCGGTGGCTCACGCCTGTAATCCTAGCACTTTGGGAGGCCAACATAGGCTGATCATTTGAGGTCAGGAGTTCGAGACCAACCTGGCCAACATGGCAAAGCCCTGTCTCTACTAAAAATACAAAAATTAGCGTGCTTCTGTAGTCCCAGCTACTCTGGAGGTTGAGGCAGGAGAATTCAAGCAATTCTCCTGCCTCAACTCCCAAGTAGCAAAGGCGGAGGCTGCAGTGAGCCGAGATCGTGCCACTGCATTCCAGCCTGAGTGACAGAGTGAGACTCTGTCTCAAAATAAATAAATAAATAAATAAATAAATAAATAAATAAATAAATAAAATAAACACAGATATAATAATATTATTTAAATGTACAGTCTCAATGTCCCCCAGATGTCTTTATGGCTCTTCGAATTTAACTTTAAGAAGGAGTTAGACCCTGTTCTACCTTAACTTTAAAGAAGCAGTGAAAGGCTCAAATCCCCATCTTCAATACAAGCTGGCTGGGCAGACAGAAGGCAGAAAGCATGTTTTCCAAAAAGGGGGAAAATAGAGAATTGCTTGACTGGGAACACCTAGTACTGTCAAGGGCAAGGATTCAATCTTGAAAGAAGAAAGATTAAGTGAGAGCTTATATACTTAGGAAGAATCCCTCAGCCCTCTTTCCCCACTCTGCTAGCAGCCTCCTTCTGGAAGGAGATTATAAGGGTCTTTGCTGGCAAAATCTGGTCTGGCCGAGAGAAAAGATCTAAAGATCTAAAGACATCATTGAAATGAACCAGCTAGATTACTCTACAGTGAAGGGCAGAGTTGACAGGCCCCATCTACATGCACAGGGTTTTCTAGAAAATTTTTTGTGCTCCCTCTGTAAAAGTTGAATAAAGAATATGTATTAGATGGCCAGGAACAGTGTCTCATTCCTGTAATCCCAGCACTTTGGGAGGCCTAGGTGGGAGGCCAGGAGTTTGAGACCAGCCTAGGCAAAATAGCAAGACCTTGTCTCTCAAAATAAATAAATAATAATATGTATTATATATAGTATTGTATCAATGTTAAATTATCAGAATGTGAAATTATATTGTGTTTGCATCAATTCCTAGCCAACTAGGAAGTCAGGGGGAATAGTAGCTATAAAAGACCACTCTTACTTCTGACACCAACTGCAAGTCTGGGAGTTCCCCAAACCATCCTCAGGTTGATAATCCTCTACAAGGACTCACAGAACTCACTGAAAACTACTATATTCATGGTAATAGTTTATACAGGAAAAACATACAGATTAAATTTAGCTAAGGGAAGAAGCGCATAGGGCCAAGTCAGGGACGTACCAAATGTGGAGCTTCCCTCGTCCTCTCTTCATAGAGTCAGAACACATTACTCCGCGAATGAATAAGAGAATGAACACCCACGTACTTTTCACCGAGATTCATCCAATTGCTAGTATTGTGCTACGTTTGCAATGTCTCTTTCTCTATATATATATATATTTATATATATTACCTATCACCTACCTATTATTTATCTATCTTCCTATCTATGCATGTCTTTTTTTTTTCTTGCTGAAACTGTCTTCCAATGTTGATGTGTACAATATGCCCAAGTATTCCTAACCAGGGAAGCTCACCCAGGCCTAAGTGTTGAGAGTTTTACTGGGACTTCATTACATAGGCATGATTGACTAATTGTCCATGTGGTTGATCTCAAACTCCAGGTCAACTGATACTACATCAACCAGAGCCCCCACCCTTCCGATGAGAACATGGCCTAGAGAAAAAATAAAAATATAAGGAAAAAAAGAAAAAAAACCCTAAAAACCAAAGCGCCTTCACCCTAAATAACATGTGAGTCTTTCTGGTTTGGCCAGCCCCAGCCCTAAATCACATTGTTAGAATATCCAGTCTGACACAAGGTGCCCTGACAAAGACTGTCCCGTCAGGCATAACATTCCAAGTACCCAGAGATTACATCCATGAAGCCTAGGGCAAAGGCCAGAACTTCTACTTGGGCAAAGCCAAATTCTTTACTACATAGTGTTTATATAAGGTAACATCCTTATTATTGGAAGTGTGCTAAAGTTTTTCAGGTGAAGCACCATATTGTCTACAGCTAACTTCTAAATGCTTGAGCAAAAATGTGTGAGTGTGTGTTTATGCATGCACATGGGTTGACAGAGAGAGAAAGAAAACGTGTCAAACTGTGAACAATTCAAGGATTTAGGTCAAGGGTATATGGATATTTATTGTACCATTACAACTTTTCTGTAGGTTTTTTATTTTTTCAAATGAATATTGGGGAGGGATTTTAGTAGGCTTTTCAGTTTAATGGAGGGTACCTTTATCAGAATAAGAGATAGAAAGGTCTCACCTTTAATCTGATCTCTGCTCTGAAGGCTTTATTCAAATGACAGGTTTTACTGGCATTATACCTTTGATCTGAATTTGCCCTGAGGCACGTTAAAGCACTAAGGAGTTTTAATAATAGGTATGAAACCACCTCCTTAATGTGATCTTTGCCTGGAGAATTTTAATCAAATAATAGGTTTTATAGGGTATTTTTTCACTCAAAACTTTTATAAACTCTCATCTTTTTCTATTTAGGATCTAGAAGCTCAAATGCTGATGAGGATATGGAGCAAAAGAAATTCTCATTCATTGATGGAAGGAATGCAAAATGGTACAGCCACTGTGGAAGACAGTTTCTTACAAAACTAAACCTACTCTTATAATAGCATCCAGCAATTGTACTCCTTGGTATTTACCTAAATAAGTTGAAAACTTACATCCTTACAGAAACCTGCATACAGATGTTTATAGCAGCTTTAATTATGATTGACAGAACTTTAAAGCAACCAAGCTGTACTTCAACAGGTGAATGGATAAATTAACTCTGATATATCCAAAAAATGGAACATTATTCCATGCTAAAGAGAAATGAGTTACCATGTTCTAAAAAGACATGGAGGAAACTTAAATATCTATTACTAAGTGAAAAAAACAACCTGTAAAGGCTCTATACATATTGTACCATATGATTCCAACTATATGACATTCTGGAAAAGGAAGAACTATGAAGACAGTAAAAAATTAGCAATTTCCAGGGTTTGAGAGGAGGAAGAGATGAATAGGTACAGAACAGAGGATTTTTAGAGCAGTGAAACCATTCTGTACAATACTATCATGGTGGACACATGTCCTTATACATTTGTAAAAACCCATGAAATGTACACCAAAGTGAACTCTAATGTAAACTTTTGACTTTAGGTGATAATAAGGAGTCAGTGTAGGTTCACTGATTTTCACAAATATACCACTCTGGTGTGGCATGGCGATAGAGGGGGATGCTGTTCATATTTAGGGGTAAGGGGCATATGGAAACTCTCTGTACTTTCCACTCAATTCCTCGGTAAACCTAAAACTGCTCTAAAAAATAAAGTCTAAGAAAAAATTTTGGGGTCAGGCATGGTGGCTCGTGCCTGTAATCCCAGCACTTTGAGAGGCCGAGTTGGAAGAATCACTTGATCCCAGGAGTTCAAGACCAGCCTGGACAACATAAGGAGACCCTGTCTCAAGAAAGAAAGAGAGAAAGAGAGAGGGAGAGAGAGAGAGGCAGAGAGAGAGAAAGAGAGAAAGAAGGGAAGAAGGAAATAAATTTTCTGGGTCGGGTATGGTGGCTCATGTCTGTAATCCTAGCACTTTGGGAGGCCGAGGTAGGCGGATCACTTGAGGTCAGGAGTTTGAAACCAGCCTGGCCACCATGGTGAAACCTCATCTCTACTAAAAATACAAAAAAATTAGCCATGTGTGGTGGCGGTCACCTGTAATCCCAGCTACTCAGGAGGCTGAGGCAGGAGAATCGCTTGAACCCGGGAGATGGAGACTGTGGTGAGCTGAGATCGCACCACTGCACTCCAGCCTGGGCGACAGAGTGAGACTCTGTCTCAAAAAAAAAAAAAAAAAAAAAAAAGAATTTTTTGAATGCTGAACCCTTTAATGGGAAAGCATACTGTACTCTCTGTACTCTATTCCAAGGCAAATTGAATTTGAGAAGTCAAGGTATTTTCAGCTTCTCACTCTGGGAGACAATCCAGACCTTTTAGGAGTGGTGTCTTCGTTGTGGGCTAAGGTAATGCAGAAGCTAATTAAGTCTCTACTGTCCATCCTGGTGGCCACTAATCCTATGTGGCTACTGAATATTTGAAATATGGCTAGTATGAATTGAGATGTGGTGCAACTGTAATACACATTGGATTTTGAAGGCTTAGTACAAAAAAGGAATGTAAAATACCTCATTAATACATTTTTATATTAATTACATAGCAGAATGATATTTTGGGTATATTGAATTGAATATACCCAATTGAACAAAATACATAATTACAATTAATTAATTGATCTCACCTTTTTTTTTTTTTAATCAAGATGGAGTCTCACTCTCTCACCCAGGCTGGAGTCCAATGGCATGATCTCAGCTCACTGCAGCATCTGCCTCCCAGGTTCAAGCGATTCTTGTGCCTCAGCCTTCCAAGTAGCTGGGATTACAGGTGCCCACCACCACACCTGGCTAATTTTTGTATTTTAGTAGAGATGGGGTTTCGCCATTTTGGCCAGGCTGGTCTCGAACTCCTGACCTCAAGTGATCTGCCTGCCTCAGCCTCCCAAACTGCTAGGATTACAGGCGTGAGCCACCGCACCCAGCGTGATCTCACCTCTTTAAAAACTTTTTATATGTGGCAACTAGAAAATTTTAAACTATAGATGTAGTGCACATCATATTCTATCGGACAGTGCTGCTCTAAGCAGAAAATTCCTGCTGATTACTTTGGCAAGAGCAATTCACTAACAAACTTGGGCAGCTAAAAATGTGTTACTACAAATAAAAAGGTGTTACTAGTCTTGGCTAAACAAAGGTTCTGGAGGATACCCATTATTTGGTGCCCTACTTACATTTTGGAAAAACAATATTGCACCCAGGGGAATCTTCTTGGACCCTTTCCATCAAGTTATTCAGAAGAAAATGTAATTGTTTTTCTTTTTTTCTATTCTAGTGACAATTACACTGTCACTGGCAGTGTAGTTGCCCCAAATAATAAAAGAGCATGTATTTAATCCGTGCAAGGATGAATGTTTTATGAAGGGATAAAAACCTCTGGAAGTTACTTCAAAAAAAAAGTCTGGAAACTACTTATAAATATATTGAGACTACTTATAAAGAATATCTACATCTAATGTGAAATGAAATTGTAACTTAAATATACTGTAATCTATAAATGCTGTGGCTTTTACAAGCTGATTTTTCAGAACCTAGACAACATTATAAAAATATAAATCTAGGCTGGGTGTGGTTGCAGTGAGTGGAGATTGCACCACTGCACTCCAGTCTGGGCCACAGAATGAGACTCCATCTCAAGAAAAAAAATTTATTTATATATATATATATATATATATATATATATATATTTAAATCTACATACAGTTTTAAAGGACTATGATGATTCTTTTATCATGGTGGTAGATTGTATTTTCTAAATTCACAAAGAGATTTCAAACATTGAACTATATAATTATATAATAATAAATAATATATGTATTAGTAAGATGCTGTTAATCCAAACACTTATAATAAAGAAATTGGATTGCAAAAGAAAGGTGTTTGGGATAAAATATAAGTAGAGACACTAGTGCCAAGAAAAACAAAGACTTTAAACACAGTTTTTTTTTTCTTTTGGAGATAGAGTCTCACTCTGTTGCCCAGGCTGGAGTGCAGTGATGCAGTCCTGCTCACTGCCACCCCTGCCTCCCAGGGTCAAGGGATCCTCCTACCTCAGTTTCCCAAGTAGCTGGGATTACAGGCACATGCCACCATGCCCAGCCAATTTTTGTATTTTCAGTAGAGACAGGTTTCTCAATGTTGGCCAGGCTGGTCTTGAACTCCTGACTTCAGGTGATCTGCCTGCCTCGACCTCCCAAAGTGCTGGGATTACAGGCATGAGCCATCACAGCTGGCCTGTTTTTTTTTTTTTTTTTTTCAATTCATGTTGCTGCCTAACAAAGGTCTTTAAAATAGAGTTAACAGGGGCAGGATTATTTTGAATCAGGGTGATTCTCCTGCCTCAGCCTCCCAAGTATTATAGGTGTGCCCCTCAGCCTCCCTGGGATTACAGGTGTGCACCACCACACGTGGCTAATTTTTTATATTTTTGGTAGAGATGGTGTTTCACCATGTTGGCCAGGCTGTTCTCGAACTCCTGACCTCAAGTGATCTGCCCGCCTTGGCCTGCCAAAGTGCTGAGATTACAGGCGTGAGCCACCACACCTGGCCTAAGATGAGTCCTTTAAAACGGAAAGAAATTCAGATTGGCATAGGTTTCCCAACAGTGAAACTGAATACCAGAACACAGAAGAGTAATACCTTCACTGTACTCAAGGAAAGAAACTGATGGAAAGACTTTTTATTCAGACAAACTGTCCTTCAAACATAAAGGTTAGAGACAAACACCTTTTTTTAATTTATTTTTATTTATTTATTTATTTATTTTTTTGAGACAGAGTCTCAGTCTGTCACCCAGGCTGGAGTGCAGTGGCATGATCTCGGCTCACCGCAACCTCCACGTCCCAGGTTCAAGCAATTCCCTGCCTCAGTTTCCCGACTAGTTGGGATTACAGGTGCCTGCCACCCACGTCCGGCTAATTTTTTGTAGTTTTAGTAGAAATGGGGTTTCACCATGTCGGCCAGGCTGGTCTTGAACTCCTGACCTCGTGATCCACCTGCCTCGGACTCCCAAAGTGCTGGGATTACAGGCGTGAGGCACTGCGCCTGGCTGACAAACACTTTTAAGCTAGCAAGAACCCACAGAATATTGACTATATAAACAATACTCTTGAGGAAACTACCAGCAAACTACAGCCAGCCAAGAGAAAATGAGCAAACTTTAGCTACAGGACTGAGAGTAAGAATCAAATGTTTTTAACTCCAGATCTAAAACAAACAAAAATAAGGCTAGGAATAGGAAAAATAAAGGTGCGAATGAGGATGACAGAATGTTACATACTATGACAATGTAGGAAAACTTGAACTGCCAAAAATACATGAGAGAAAGGAGAGATAATTTGGAAGTAGCATAAGTCTTGAAAGCTTCCTCTGTAATTGCTCAGAATCTAAAGGTATCTTTAAGGGTGGCAAGTCAAGTAGAAGGATAAATGTATAAAGGTAAGCCCTGAGTCAGGTAATGTTATTTACTAAAATTGAATGGAGAAAGAGAAGGAGGTTAGGCAGGAGGAAGAGGTTACAGCTCATGTTGTGCATGGCAGGGAAGCAATAAATATTGCTTAAGAGGAAAGGTAATATATAAAGGTGTCATTATAAAAATAACTATCAGAAAAATAAAACAGCATTTAAATAGCAGAAGAATGACAGAAACAACAGCAACGAAAAGCAGAATTAAACTTCTTAATTATTAACTGCAACAGACATACAGAAAAACACATAAAATACGAATTACAGAATAATCAATAATGATAAAGCACATACGTATTAAGCACTACCCAAGTCAGGAAATACAACATTACTAGCATTCCTTCCTGATCATAATCTCTTCCCCTATACAGATAGCCACTATCCTGACTTTTATAGTAATTACATGCTTTTTTTGGTTTACAGTTTTACAATCTATGTATGCATTTCTAGTTTTGCCTACTTTTGGACTTTATATAATATAATCATACTGTATTTATTCTTTTGTATGTCCTTTGTTTTATTTAAAAATGTGTTTCGAGATTCATTCACTATATTGCATGTATCTTTAGTTCCTTTTCTTGGAAGCATAGTATTCTGTTGTTTGGATATAACAACAATTTGTAAGACTATACTTTCAGGGATCATTTCTTTTTATTTTATTTTATTTTATTTTACTTTATTTTATTTTATTTTGAGGCAGAGTCTCACTGTGTCGCCCAGGCTGGAGTGCACTAGTGTGATCTCAGCTCCCTGAAGCCTCCGCCTCCCAGGTTCAAGTGATTCTCGCGCCTCAGCCTCCTGAATAGCTAGGACTACAGGCACACACCACCAAGCCTGGCTAATTTTTGTATTTTTGGTAGAGACAGGGTTTCGCCACGTTGGCCAGGCTGGTCTCAAACTCCTGACCTCAAGTGATCCACCTGACTTGGCCTCCCAAAGTGCTGGGATTACAGGCATGAGCCACCACGCCAAAGTGCTGGGATTACAGGCATGAGCCACCACGCCTGGCCTGTACTCTTTTAATGATGTTTTCAGATAAACAAAAGTTCTTATATTTAATGTAAACTAATTTATCTTTTTTTCTTTATAACTAATGCTTTTTGAAACTAGATTAAGAAATCTTTCTCCATCCTGAGGTCATAAAGGTTTTGTTTTTTATTATCTCCTAAAAGTTTTGTAGCTTTCTCTTGCATGGTAGATTCATATCCTCTGGAGTTATTCTTGTGAGTAGCACCGGTTACTTTAAAAGGTGAGAACAAGGATCTAGGTTTTAAACAAGGAAAATTGTTGAAAGTGTATTTACAAAGCAGTTAGACTCATCAGGTCCCTTTTCCAGCTGGGCATAACTGGGCAACAACCTCTCCAGATAAAGGATCCGGGAAGGGCTCCAGACTTAGGTACATCAGGTGCATCAGATAACAGGGGTTTGTACAGGGGCTAAAAAGAAGAGAACGCGTGAAAATTTGGTTCTTTTCTCCAGCTCTGGACCCTGAACTCATGCAGCCAGGCGTATGCTGCCTGGGAGATTGGAAAGTTCTTTTCTGAAGAAATTGAACCTCTCTAGAAAATAAAGACCTCCAGATAAAAACATTTGTGGATATCCAATACATAGGTCTACCAGATCACCTTATATTGTAGCCCAGTGCATGACAAATTACCCCAAATATAGTGGCTTAAAACAACAAACATTTATTATCTTACAGTTTGTCCAGGTCGAGAATCAGGGCATGGTTTAGCTGGGCACTTCTGGCTCAAGGTCTCTCATGAGATTACAGTCAAGTTATCAGCCAGGGCTGCAGTCTCATGTGAAGATTCAACTGGGGTAAGGATCCGCTTCCAACCTCAATTATGTGTGGTTATTGATCACAGGATGAGTGGGCGTCTCCACAGGGCCACCTCAGGACATGAATGCTGTCATCTCCCAGGGCAAGCAACACAAAAGAGAGCACCCACAATGGAAGACTAATCTTATTTATAAACTAATCTTAAAATGGACATCCTGTCACTTCTGTCATATTTTATTTGATAGAAGCAAGTCCCTAAGTCCAGCCCATACTAAAGGAGACATGACTACATAAAGATATTACAAATGTAGGGAATCCCCAAGAGCACCATGATTTCTGACCCCAACTGCAAGCTTGGGGTCCCTGAGACACTGTCATGTTTGACAATTTGTTAGAAGGACTCACAGGACTCACTGAAGAGGCACATAGGACAGTGTCCAGGAGAGTTTTTGTTTTTTTTTTTTTAACTTCAGCTGTTGTTTATTGATATACAGGTAGGCTCTATAGCAACAGGCCCGGAGGTGCTGCAGTAGTGGGGGAAAATGGAAGGTGGAGGGTGGAGTGTTTGCCGCAGGACAGCTGAGTGGAGGGTGGGGACAGGCGCAAATTGGGGAGGCCCAGGGGTTTGGGGAAGCAAGTAAGGGTCAGGCCAGAGTACTTAAATGGAAGAACTGTCCTGTGCCCTAAGGCCCCTAACTCTCGCTGGCTGTTTCCTGACCCCAGACCAGGGGTTGGGAGTCCTCTGGGCATCTGTTTTCTAAAGGAACTGAACAGAGTACACACAGGAAAAGAAGCTGTCATCCTCTTGCCATCTGGCTTTTGGGGCCTCCAGTCCAGCATTCCTCCTTCTTCCCTTGATTGGGTGGGACCACATGATGGGCAGCCAGGCTCTGGGCTGTCCTGCCAGAGCAGGCTGTAAACACAGCCATGTTTCAGCAAGGCATTTATCTTATTCCCTGGTGTCCCAGCCCACCAGTGCCACATTACAGCCCAGACTGAGCTCTACAAGCGTTGTTGGCCTAATGGATGGTTCGGGGAAAGGAGGTGGGACAGGCGCTGGAGCAGGGGCTTTGGGGTCCATCACCGCACAGGAACAACACGCATGGTGTTGGTGAAGCCAGAGCCAGGGCGCCACCCGGTCAGCACAATGACCACATCTCCCTTCTTTTTATTTTTATTTTTATTTTTTTGAGACGGAGACTCGCTCTGTCGCCCAGGCTGGAGTGCAGCGGTGCGATCTCAGCTCATTGCAAGCTCCGCCTCCTGGGTTCACACCATTCTCCTGCCTCAGCCTCCCGAGTAGCTGGGACTACAGGCACGCGCTGCCACGCCCGGCTAATTTTTTTGTATTTTTAGTAGAGACAGGATTTCACCGTGTTAGCCAGGATGGTCTCGATCTCCTGACCTCGTGATCTGCACGCCTCGACCTCCCAAAGTGCTGGGATTACAGGCGTGAGCCACCGAGCCCGGCCCACGTCTCCCTTCTTAAAGAAGCCTCGGGCCTTGCCAACATTCAGGGCCAAGTTCACCCAGCGGTCCACATCCTCAGCCCTGGCCTCCTGGACTGGGTCCTTGCACAGCACAGGGAAGATGCCACGGTACAGGTGGGCCTGACTAGCTGTCTGGGGATTCCGTGTCACAGCAATGATGGGGGCACGTGGGCGGTATCTAGCCACCTGGTGAGCAGACCTGCCAGACTTGGTGAGGACGATTATGGCCCCACTGCAGCACTTGAAGGAGGCCTCGTTGGCACCCACGGCGGTGGCTTTCGTGGGGTCGCTAGTAATGGGCGCCAGTGGGTGGGAGTTCCTCAAATAATTGCAAGTGGTAGATGGTGGCCTCTGCCTCATGGGCAATCAGGTGCTGCATGCGCCCAGCCTCCAGATAGTCCGCTTTGGCTGTTTCTCCAGACAGCATGATGCAGTCGGCTCCATTCAGTACTGCACTGGCCACATCACTGTCACAGATAGGCTTCCCAGCTCAGCTGCAACGCCCAATCATCATCCTCTGAGCAAGGAAGACCTTCTCTGCAGGAATCTCAATGCCTGGATTACCACGAGCCACCATGATCCCATCACTGGCCTCTAGGATTTCATCAAACCTCTGAACCCCCACATGATTCTCGATTGTGTTGATTGTCTTGATGTTCTTTCCCTTCTCTCCCAGGGCCTCCCTAACTTCATGGACATCAGATGCCTTGCGGATGAACGACGCAAACACCATATCGACATCCTGCTCGACCCCAAAATTCAGGTCCTGGATGTCCTCTGACACAGCAGGCAAGTCCACAGCAGCCCCAGGAAGGTTCACACCCTTCTTGCTGCCCGAGGAACCACCAGTTTCCACCTCCGTCACCAGGAAGTCAGCACCTTTCTGCTTTACCTGGAGAGAAATAAGCCCATCATCCACGTAGATCTTGCTGCCCACTTCCATCACCTTGCAGATGTTCTTGTAGTCCAGCCACAGGATGTTCTCGTCACACTTTTTCATGTAGGTGTTATCCAGCATGATTTTGAGAGTGGCTCCCATCTTCAGCCCCACCTCCATGGTGCTGCTGCCCTTGATGAGCCCAGTTCGGATCTCAGGTCCTTTAGTATCCAGAGCCAAAGCAACAGGCCGGTAGAGGATGGGGTCAGCAGCAAAGCTTTCCGTGGCTGTGCACATGTTCTTGATGGTCTCCACGTGGTACTCATGAGTTCCATGAGAGAAGTTCAGACAAGCCACATTCGTTCCAGACTTAATCATCTCCTTCAACATCTCCACCGATTGGGAAGCTGGGCTAATGGTACAGATGATGCCAGTGTTCCAGGCTGGGATGGGTGGTGTGTGAATGTCCAGGTGGCACATGTGCTCCAGGAATGTGTCAGCCGTGGCTGCATGTAGCTGCTGGGTCTGAATGAAGGCAGTCCCGGCTTCACTATGGGGCTTCAACATGGCTGCTGAGGTCCTCCAGTGCTGACCGATTTGGGCTACACTGCAAACGCAAAGAGGTCAGGAGCCCCAGGATGTGCAGCTGCTGTGCCCCAGGAGAGTTTTAAATGCAGAGCATCTAGTTGTCCTCTCCCAGTGGAGCTATTCTTCTCACAGTAACAATGTGTGATAATACACATGCAATATTCCCAGCCAGGGAAGCACCTCCAAGCCTTGGTGTCCAGAATTTTTATTGGTCATGTAGACGTGGCTGACTGCCTGTGTGGCTGGCCTTCATGTCCAACCCCCTCCTGAGGTTGAGCTGACAATGCATGGTTCAGAGCCCCTACCATATATCACATAGTTAGCATAGACCATCTGGCATGGCCCAAGGCCCCCAGGTAAACAAAGAACATTCCAAGAGTTTAGAGATTACCTCCCAGAAAGTGAGAGTAAAGGCCAGATACTTCTTGGGGCAAGGTTAATCCTTTTGTTGCACAGGCATGAATACCAGGAGGTGAGGATCACTGGGTGCTACCTTTCAGGTTTCCTACCACACTCACCATTTAGAAAACTCCCCAACCTGAGCTTCTGATTAGCTTTTAAGTGCCTCATTCTTATTTTTAAATTATTTTATTTTATTACTTTTTTTTAGAGACAGGATCTCGCTCTGTCGCTGGAATGCAGTGGTGCAATCATAGCTTGCTGCAGCCTCCAACTCCTGAGCTCAAGCGATCCTCCCACCTCAGTCTCTCAAGTAGCTAGAACTACAGGCATGCACCACTATGTCCAGCTTTGGTGCCTCATTCTTAAATATGGTTGGATGACCACCCATTTTAGGAAAGTCTCCAATATAAGAGAGAGGCCAAAACAAACCATGAGGGAAAAGGAACTTAAAAGGAAACAGACAATTGAGAAAATAAAACTAAACTAAAAAACTAACCAACCAACAAACAAAATAAGACAACCCCTACAATATTGCTGGAGAGATCGAATATTGGATCCATAAGACAAAGAACAGGCTAATGTAGAAAAGATAACAAGAAAGGGCCCTTAGAGGCTAAAACATGATAAATGAACTAAAAATTAATAGCTTGACTACATTTTGGGAAACCGGGAAGGGGAAATGTTTGTGTATTGATGTGTGTTGCAAGGGCTACGATCTAAGTTAGCTAAACCCTCATCATCCAAAGTAGTTAGTAAATCAAGGGTGGATTCAGGGCTTATGGGGCCGGGGGCATACATGATTTGGAGGATGCTTTTAAGATAATTTTTTTTTTTTTGAGACGGAGTCTCGCTCTGTCTCCCAAGCTGGAGTGCAGTGGCCTGATCTTGGCTCACTGCAACCTCTGCCTCCTGGGTTCAAGCAATTCTCCTGCCTCAGCTTCCTGAGTAGCTGGGACTACAAGCGCGTGCCACCACGCTTGGCTAATTTTTTGTATTTTTAGTAAAGACTGGGTTTTACCATGTTAGCCAGGATGGTCTTGATCTCCTGATCTCATGATCCACCTGCCTCAGCCTCCCAGAGTGTTGGGATTACAGGTGTGAGCCACTGTGCCCGGCCAAATTTTTTAAAAAAATTATTTTTTAAGACAGAGTCTCACTCTGTCACCCAGGTTGGAGTGCAATGGCATAATTCTCCTGCCTCAGCCTCCTGAGCTGGGACCACAGACACACACCACCATGCCTGGCTAATATTTTTTTATTTTTATTTTTAGTAGAGACAGGGCTCTCAATATATTCCCCAAGCTGGTCTTGAATTCCTGGGCTAAAGGGATCCTCCTGCCTTGGCCTCTCAAAGTGCTGGGATTGCAGGCATGAGCCACAGCACCAGCTGAATGCTCCGTAAGAAAATAAAATTCCAAATTCAATGGCTAAGAATAGGGCCTTGGAGAGGGCCCATGAAAATGAGGGACTCTGAAACTTAACCTTTATTAGCTTCACAATAAATCTCCCTCTCTAGCCAACAGAAAACATCTAAAATTGAAAAATCAGGAAATAAGAGTTTCAAAACTTTGTTTAGAAATACAAAGCAAGTTCCAAAAGAAAAATCTGAATGAGTTGAATGTTAGGGGTTCTGGGAATTGTGGTAGAATGTGATAGGCCAAAGAATTGCTCTTTCTTTTTCTTTTTCTTTTTTTTTTTTTTTTTAAATTTGAGATGGAGTCTTGCTCTGTTGCCCAGGCTGGAGTGCAGTGGTGCAATCTTGGCTCACTGCAAGCTCTGCCTCCCAGGTTCACACCATTCTCCTACCTCAGCCTCCCAAGTAGCTGGGACTACAGGCACCCGCCACCACACCCAGATAATTTTTTGTATTTTTAATAGAGACGGGATTTCACTGTGTTAGCCAGGATGGTCTTGATCTCCTGACCTCGTGATCCGCCCACCTCGGCCTCCCAAAGTGCTGGGATTACAGGCGTGAGCCACTGCATCTGGCCAGAATTGCTCTTTCTTATAATAAGCCCTGAACACTATTTGACTTTTTGCCCTGTGCAAGGGCACTCCTGTTTAATTCATTTATTCATTTATTCTCTTTTAACCCATGCCCCAGTCCTTTGTTATAGCACTGTTGTAATGTGTTTAACGGTATTTAAAAAAAAATTTTTTTTTAACTTTTTGTAGAGACCAGATCTTGCTATATTGCTCAGGCTAGTTTTGAACTCCTGGCCTCACGCAATTCTCCTGTCTCCGCCTCCCAAATTGTGTTGGGATTGCAGGCCTGAGCCACTAAGCCCAGTCTTAACGGCATTTTTTGATGAATATGGTGAAAGAGATTGACTGCTGACTCCTTCCCCTAAGTTCAAACTTAAAGAAACTACAGGAATCCAGGAAATAACAAGCAAACTGTAAGAAGCTCCTGGATAGATAAAGGATTGTTTTGAACTAGTGTGTACGTGCATACTGGGGGAATTGAGGTGGTAGTGGTTGCATCCTAGGACAGAGAGCATTGTCTAGGCTATGAGAGGGCAACTTGGACAAAAAGCTTTCTTTCCTCTCACCTGTGCAGCTCCCTGGCTTGGGAACAATCATCACCAGTTTGTTTTTTTGTTTTTTGAGACAGAGTCTTGCTTTGTTGCCCAGGCTGGAGTGCAGTGGCGTGATCTTGGCTCAATGCAACCTCTGTCTTCCAGGGTTCAAGCAATTTTCATGCCTCAGCCTCCCGAGTAGCAGGGGTTACAGGCATGTGCCACCATGCCCGGCTACTTTTTGTATCTTTAGTGGAGATGTGGTTTTACCATGTTGGCCAGGCTCGTCTCGAACTCCTCATCACCGGCTTTTACAACAGAAATTTCTACTGTCCAGATGGGGTACCTTCAACTTACAATGTCTCAACATTTTATGAGGATAACATCATCAGGTAATCATGTAATAAATAAATACATATATTTTCCTACATCACTTGGACTGTGCAGATGTCAATAAATACAGTTTTAGGAAAAAGAATGCATGGCCATGTCATGAGGACTTAAGGAACTGATGCCTTAAGAAGACATACTGCTTTCTAACAAGTTAAAAGAAGATGACTAGATTACTCCTGAATAGCAGAGAAAGTGAAGTTGAAGTTGGACAAAATGAATCTGCCCTGAAGTGGGTCTGAGGAGGAACCATGAAACGACAGGAATGATTGACTTATGAAGAAGAAACTATTATTTAGGTAAGAATTCTACACAAAGAATTCTTAGAATTAATTACAAATAGCAGGGCGCAGTGGCTCACGCCTGTAATCCCAGCACTTTGGGAGGCCGAGGTGGGTGGATCGCCTAAGGTCAGGAGTTCGAGACCAGCCTGGCCAACATGGTGAAGCCCTGTCTCTACTAAAAATACAAAAACTAGCCAGGTTTGGTGGCGGGTGCCTGTAATCCCCAGCTACTTGGAAGGCTGAACCAGGGAGAATTGCTTGAGCCCAGAAGGTGGAGGTTGCAGTGAGCTGAGATCGCGCCACTGCACTCCAGCATGGGCGACAGAGAGAGACTCCATCCCCTCCCCCTGAAAAAAAGAATGAATTACAAATATTCTAAGTAAATAAGGATGTGTATGAAATTAAAACACAAAGTATATTCATAATATTGAAATATTAGAAATAACCTAATGTCTTTTAGAGGGAATGTTTAAGGCTTAGAACGAGCTTTGAGGAGAGTAATGTTAGCAACATGGTCTATTAGAAGTCCCTAGCACTCATCTTCCTCACAAAGACAGCCAGAACAACTAATAAGCAACTATATTTTCACAAAAATAACAGGGAGAGTTCTAGAGTGTATCAGAGGACTAATAGAAACCCTGGTGAGCACAGAAACTCGGGATGCCACTTAGAGAACAGAGAATGAGAGGAAATGCCAGGCCTCCACCACTGTATCCCCCAGCCGGCATCAAATAGGAAGGAGAACTTCCCCTTATGGTGAGGTGGTAAGTAAGGGGATTCCAGCAACCCCCATCAACACCTTGGACAGGTACAGGCCTCACCACTGGGGCCCCTGCAGTCCTCATAGGCACTAAACCCAGCTGAGGGAGCTGCCTGGAATCCACATAGCTGTGCTCCCCCCAGAGAAGGATCCAATACTGTGCCCCACTCACTGTTGCCCACATGAGGTACAGTTTCAGCCAAGGTCCTACATGATAATGGAATTAGAACTACTGCTGGAGTGTTTCTTGCTTCAGGGGTAAGCAGCCACTTCTCCCCATCATCTCTGAGGCTAAGCCACCACAAAACCACCCCAGCCTAGTGATCTGACAAGGTGGTGACTAGATCTTTCCACTGAGCAGGTATATCTCCTTGTAATCATTAAGTAATCTGTGGGTTAATACTTTGAGACCATGTGAATATCTTGTTCCCCATTAACCTTTCACTCAATGATTTTAGCGTAAATTAATGGCCCTTGCTAAAATCAACTTTCACATTGGGGTTGTAAAATGGCAATCTTCCTAATTCTCTCATTTCTTTTTACATATTAGTTAGCATTTTTCTATAAGAGGTGTTTAGCCTTTCTTCTTTTCTCTATGCTCTTTAACTTTTTCAGTTTTGATGTCCCCTCCAAAGCAAACTCTGCACAAGAAACCTGGGCGTGGGTAGGTTATGTGGGAGATGATACCAGAAAACACAGAGTTAGCAGGGCGAGTGACACAGGGCAGGGAGAAAAGCCAATAAGGGATATATTGTATATTGAACATTTTGCTGTTGGCAACTGGGACTCATTCTCAATGAAGCCGCGCTGAGAAACCACATGAAATGGTTCCGAATCTTCCCGATTCCATCATCCCTTGGTTGACTGCTTCTCCCAGGGATACCTATCCTCCAGCTTTCAAACTATGTCACCCAGCAGCCATGCACTGTAGGTGGTTCTTGAGAAAGACCCCAGACAGAGGAGAGAAACATAGGCCTTCAGGTCTGGGTGTTAGTAACTGTTGACAACTGCAAGAGAATTCAGGTAGGCTGAGGGGATGTGGAGTAGGGCCTCACAACATCTGCTTCTCTCTCCTTTTGATATTACTATGAAATCATGGAATTAAAAGTTTTAAAAAGCAAGTGTGTCATAATCCTTTACCATCATTATGCATTTTGATCCTCATATTGACCTTTGACCCTGGCTCCTTTGTCCTTTCGCTATGTTCCCAAGAGTCTTTAACACTTCCTTGTTTTCTGGCACAACCAAACATTCCAGGCTCACCTTGTACTTTTTCTACCCCTGATCTGGACTCACCTATTCCTCTAAAGAGTTCTGATTCTACAGCTCTGTTTTCCATGGTGATGAGATGTCACCTCCCCATATTGTACGATCCCTTCTTACAGGATGAGGGATTGGGTATGCTGCCAGCATTGGGCAAAGAAAATGAGGTGGCTTAATGTTGCTGTGTTTCAGCAGCTGAATGTTTTTATTATTTAGCTGTGTCCTTTTTGGTGTGATTTTTTCAGGGGGTGGGAGGTAGGTATTTGGTACCATGTAGTGTTCTCTCTTCTCCCAAAAGGATGTGTATGTAACTTTTTTTCTTTTTAGATGAAGTCTTACTCTGTTGACCAGGCTGCAATATAGTGGTGTGATCTCGGCTCACTGCAACCTCTGCCTCCCAGGTTCAAGTGATTCTCCTGCCTCAGCCTCCTGAGTGGCTGGGATTACAGTTCCCTGCTGCAATGCCCGGCTAATTTTTGTATTTTTAGTAGAGATGAGATTTCCCCGCGTTGGCCAGGCTGGTCTCAAACTCCTGACCTCAGGTGATCCACCAGCCTCGGCCTCCCAAAGTGCTGGGATTACAGGCATGAGCCACCATGCCTGGCCAAGGATGTGTATATAACTTAAGAAAAGAAAAATGTAAAGTGTTGTAAATAAGATGGCTCATGAAGGTACAGTGAGACTGACCCCATCCTATATGCAGGGCTAGGCCATCCCTTTCTGCATGGTGAAGAGACATACATTTATTTATTTATTTATTTATTTATTTATTTAGAGATGCAGTCTCACTCTTTCGTCCAGGCTGGGGTGCACAGTGGCGCAATCTTAGCTTACTGCAACCTCTGCTTCCCGGGTTCAAGTGATTCTCCTGCCTCAGCTTCCCAAGTAGCTGGGATTACAGGCATGCTCCAGCATGCCCAGCTAATTTTTTTTTTTGTATTTTTAGTAGAGACAGGGTTTTATCATGTTGACCAGGCTGGTTTCGATCTTCTGACCTCGTGATCCGCCCACCTCGGCCTCCCAAAGTGCTGGGATTACAGGCATGAGCCACCACGCCTGGCCAGAGAGACATTTTTATACTGTAATGCCATGTAGGGCTAACGCCTTCCTGACCCCCAGCGGGGAATTGTCACCCAGATCGAATATATTTTATTATTAAATCTTGTGGCTTGACACATCTACTGATTAAAATGGATATCTTAATCTAGACTATTATTTTTGTCATATGGAATTAAATAAAATGCAAGATGTACTATTTTTTTTTTTAAAGACAGTTCTGGTTCTTTAGAGTGAAGAATGGTATTTATTGTAGAAATTATTCTGGATTGTCCTTGCTTGTAGGCCTTTTTAGTGGGCAAAACTGGTTAACACACTTAAAAAACAAAACGAAACAAAAAGCATGAATTAACACTGACGCCTCCAATTCAAATCCAACATCACAAGGCCTTTCCTGACTTCCCCCATTCGATATTTGTATTTTCTGTCTCCCACAAAATCCTAGCTCTCGGTATCAATCATTTGTTCTTTGATGTATCACACATGCAAAAGAATTTCAGAGTTGCAACACCGAAATCATTACCAGCAACCAATCTAAGTAACATTTTAACATTTCACTGTAGTTATTTTTGTCTTCAAATCCTATTTCCCTAAATGTGTACAGTGAAAACCTGTGCTCGAAGTTATTGAATTAATTCTTTTTCTCTCTGAGGTTATATTATCTAATATACAGCTAAGTTTATTTATTTTTTCAAGACGGAGTCTCACTCTGTCACCCAGGCTAGAGTGCAATGGCGCGATCTTGGCTCACTGCAGCCTCTGCCTCCCAGGTTCAAGCGATTCTCCTGTCTCAGCGTCTTGAGTAGCTGGGACTACAGGCACCCGCCATCATGCCTGGCTAATTTTTGTATTTTTGTAGAGATGGGGTTTCACCATGTTGGCCAGGCTGGTCTTGAACCCCTGACCTCAGGTGATCTGCCCCCCTCGGCCTCCCAAAGTGTTGGTATTACAGGCATGAGCCACCGTACTCAGCCTTTTTTTTTTTTTAATTCAAATTTGGGGTACGCTTTTTAAAAATTCACACAATGAAGTATTATGTGGCCATAAAAAACAACAAGGAAGATTTCTAAGTACTGATGAGGAGTGAAAAATCCAAGTTGCAAAATGGTATACATAGCATGCTTCCTTTTGTGTAAGAAAGGAGAAATATAAATATGCACACTTTTTTATTTCCCCTAAAAACCCTCAATACATGCACACAGCAAGGATAAACCAGAAACTAATGAAAAAGGTTATCATAGGGATTGGTGGGAATAAAGTTTAGCAGATAAAGATAGGAGCAAAACATCTCCAAATATACCTTTGTATATTGTTTTGATTTCTGGATCATGTAAATGTTTTTTTTTTGTTCTTTTAGTGTTTTTTGTGTTTTTTTTTGAGACGGGTCTTGCTCTGTTGCCCAGGCTGGAGTGCAGTGGCACAATCTTGGCTCACTGCAACCTCCGCCTCCGAGGTTCAAGAGATTCTCTTGCCTTAGCCTCCCTAGTAGCTGGGATTACAGGCACATGACACCATGCCTGGCTAATTTTTGTATTTTTAGTAGAGACAGGGTTTCCCCATGTTGGCCAGGCTGGTTTCGAACTCCTGACCTCAGGTGATCTGCCAGCCTCAGCCTCCCAAAGTGCTGAAATTACAGGCGTGAGCCACAGTGCCTGGCCATAAATGTTTTATATATTAAAAAAAAAAAATCATAGACTGGGCTTGGTGGCTCATGCCTGTAATCTCAGCAATTTGGAAGGCCAGTGCAGGAGGATTGCTTGAGCCCAGGAGTTTGAGACCACCTTGGGTAATATAGAAAAACCCTATCTCTAGAAAACATTAAAAAATTAGCCAGGTTTGGTGGCTCATGCCTGTAGTCCTAGCCACTTGGGAAGCTGAGATGAGGAGATTGCTTGAGCCTAGGAGGTCGAGGCTGCAGTAAGCTGTGATTGCACCACTGCACTCCAGCCTGGGTGACTGAGTGAGACTCTGTCTCAAAAAAAAAAAAATTACAAATAATAAAAATGGTATTGAGACATATCTACTGACTTGGGAAGATATTTATATTAAATGAAAACAGAATGAACATTATGATCCAATTTAAAATATATATATTTAAGGTATATTACATATATGTATATTTGGCAAGTACATACCAAAATGTTAATAGTGGTAATCTTTGGCTGACAGAATCACCCTATTTTAATTTTTATTCTTTTTATTTTTCTGTATGTAATCAGTTCTATGAAAAACATAGTTTATGTGTAACCAGTTTCTCTATAACAAACATATTACACTTATTTATTTTTCTTTCCCGAGACAGAGTCTTGCTCTGTTGCCCAAGCTGGAGTGCAGAGGCACAATCTTGCCTCACTTCAGTCTTTGCCTCCCAGGTGCAGGCAATTCTTCCTGCCTCAGCCTCCTGAGAAGCTGGGATTACCGGCATGCACCACCACACCCGGGTAATTTGGTATTTTTATTTTTATTTATTTTTGAGATGGAGTCTCACTGTGTTGCCCAGGCTGGAGTGCAGTGGCACGATCTCGGCTCATTGCAACCTCCGCCTCCTGGGTTCAAGCGAATCTCCTGACTCAGCCTCCTGAGTAGCTGAGATTACAGACACATGCCACCATGCCAGGCTAATTTTTGTATTTTTAGTAGAGATGGGATTTCGCCATGTTGGCCAGGCCGGTCTCAAACTCCTGACCTCAGGTGATCCACCTGCCTCAGCGTCCAAAAGTGCTGGGATTACAGGTGTGAGCCACCGTGCCTGGCCAATTTGATATTTTTTAATAGAGATGAGGTTTCACCATGTTGGCCAGGCTGTTCTCAAACTCCAGACCTCAGGTGATCTGCCTGCCTTGGCCTCCCAAAATGCTGGGATTACAGGTGTGAGCCACCTTGTCCGGCCTACATATTACACTTATAATCACAATTTTTTATGACATTGTGTAACACAGAATAATATGATTCTCCCAAAAATGTCCGTTAATAAATCCCTGAAACGTGTTCTATTACCTGGCAATGAGGAATTAAGGTTGCAGATGGAATTAAGGAACTGATCAGCTGGACTTAAAATAGGGAAATTCTCTTGGATTATCTGATGGACCCAATGTATTCACAATAATCCTTTAAGTATGGAAGAAGGAGGCAAAAGATCAGAGTCAGAGAGAGATTGGAAGATGCTCTATTACAGGCTTTGAAAATGGAGGTAGGGGCTAGCATCCAAGGAATGCAGGTGGCTTCTAGAAGCTGGAAAAGCTAAGAAAATGGATTCTCCCCTAGAGCCTACAAAAAGAATACAGCTCTGCTGACATCTTGATTTTAGCCAAGTGAGACCCATTTCAGACTTTTGACCTCTAGAACTATAAGATAACACATTTTTATTGTTTTGAGACCCTGTTTGTGGTCATTTGTTACAACAGTAATAGGAAACTGATAGAGACATATACTGGAAGCAGTAAATAGATGTATAATATCATGTTATTTGAGATACACACTAAGATTTTAGAAGATTTTTAAGAAAAATCAAGCCAGATGCGGTGGCTCATGCCTGTAATCCCAGCACTTTTGGAGGCCAAGACGGGAGAATAGCTTGAGCTCAGGAGTTTGAGATCAGCCTGGGCAACATGGCGAAACCCCGTCTTTACTAAAAATACAAAAATTAGCCAGGCATGTTGGTGTGTGCCTGTAGTCCCAGCTCCTCAGAGGCTGAGGTGGGAAAATCACTTCAGCCCGGGAGGCAGAGGTTGCAATGAGTCATGATCGTGCTACTGCACTCTAGCCTGGGCAACAGAGCAAAACCCTGTCTCAAAATAAATAAATAAATAAAAATAAATCAAAACAGCAAAAATTTGGGAGTTATTCCTATGTTACTAAGAAAACTCAGTTACCAAAATATACTTCACAAGCCCTCTAATGAACAAAGTTTCTGCTTAACTATATTTTAAGACAGCAAGTATAGTAATTTTTAAAAATTACTTCCTTAATTTTTATTTCATTATGTTGTGATTTTTGGATTCCATGTTTTGATGTTCTTGATTTTCTATCCTTCTCCACAAAATGTCCCATAGCAAAGACAATTCAATTTATTTACTAAACCAGTTCATTTTCCTCCTGCACAGGTAGAAAGACTACATTTCCCAGTGACTCTTTCAGCTAGGTGGGGTCATGTGACTAGTTTTGCCCTATGGAATTCAGGTAGAAGTGCTAAATAATCCTTCACACACAAGCCTATTAATCTGTCTCCCCCTTCTCTGGGGTCTTGGAGGACAAATGTTGATGGCTGCAATATGAAACCAGGTGAATGTACTCCTACTTCCTGCCTTCCTGTCCTGCACTGTACTGAGATATGAAAGAGGAGAGATGCATATTTTTTGAGTTGGGCTATTGAGATTTGGGGATTGTTTTTTACAACAGTTGGTTATAATCTATATTCAACCATGCTAATCTATATTCTAGTATTATTTTAAATTCTTTAAAAAATATACCATACACATGTAACATTGATTTATAATTTCTATATTAGTCAAAACTTCATTTAACTGAAAGTTACCAGAAAATTTTTTAAATGAGAAAGAGGTTGATTTGTTTGGTATGTCCAGCTGTAAATAGTTCACAGCTGGTATTGGGAGTTTAAATTTTGTCCTCAAAGACCCAGGTTCCTTCTACTTTCCTGCCTTGCTTTCTTGCTAATGGATGCCACACATCAAATATTTTATACATTCCAAGCCATCAGGAGGAAAAGGAAGAGGCAACAGCAGCTGACTTCCAATTAAGTCTCATTAAGACAGAATTGAGTCACATGGTCACACTTAGCTACAGGAGAGTCTGGGAACATACTTCTCTATGTTAGAGTAAAGCAAGCAAAAAAGGGTTTGGAATGAAGGCTGAGTGAGCCAATCTACTGTATCTGCCATTATTTATGCAAACAGACAAGAATTTAAAGAGCTAGCAATAACATTTTTCCAAGTTGTTAAAGTAGTTGTAATAAAATCAGCCTATTTAGGAAGTAGAAGTCAGATAAGAAGAAAATTTGATATACTATATTTACTAGACAATGGATATCTATTAAAATTATTGTGTGACGTGTCTCTAATCTTATAAAAATTGATCAACATCTCTCTAGCTATATAGTTATCTATCTGCTTCATGCTTCAATTTATAACTACTAATATTGATGTCAATTAGAGCTGTTTTTCTCCCTTGAGCATGTTAAAAACATGGTATACATAAATGACTGCATGCCCTGGTTTTCCTAGGACAATCCCAGTGTAATTATTAATAGTATCCCCTTTCCTTCTGAACTGTTTTGGTTTAGATAATACATTATATGGTTTTCCTCCATATAAAGAACAAGGGCAGATGAACTGGTCCAGGTAGAGCTGTTATTTATGGTCTGAAAGGCTAGGTGTAGTGGCTCACACCTATAATCCCAGCACTTTGGGAGGCCAAGGGGGAGAATCACTTGAGGCCAGGAGTTCAAGAACAGCCTGGTCAACATAGTGACACCCTCATCTCTAAAAAAAAAAAATTTTTTTTAAATTATGACTTGAAATGGTTTAATAGTCTATTCTCCCAAAATGAATAAATCATACTTGCATTTCATCTGGAGCCCACAAGGATGCCTCTTGTGCATTACAGAAGATCAGGAGGAATTCTTCTGCTTGGGCAATCCTTATAGCCACAAAAAAAAGTCAAAATTTCTGGGGACTGAGAAATCTCAATTCCTCTCTTTGCTTTCCTTCTTCCCATTCAACTTTGATACTACTTTCTTTTGTACTTGTTAAGAATAGTTAACTGAGGCCAGGCACGGTGGCTCATGCCTGTAATCCCAGCACTTTGGGAGGCCGAGGCAGGCGGATCACTTGAGGTCAGGAGTTCGAGACCAGCCTGACTAACATGGCGAAATCCTGTCTCTACTAAAAATACAAAAATTAGCTGGGCATGGTAGCACACCCCTCTAATCCCAGCTACTAGGGAGGCTGAAGCAAGAGAATTGCTTGAACCTAGGGGGCGGAGGTTGCAGTGAGCCGAGATTGCACCACTGTTCTCCAGCCTGGGCAACAGAGTGAGACTCTGTCTCAAAAAAAAAAAAAAGAATAGCTAACCAAATTTCCTGCAGCTGAGGCATAGTTGGGGGTGGAAGTGGGTGTTGAGGGCAGTGGATGACCTTCTAACAATATAGGCATTAAACAGGCAATCTTAGAACCCCCATAAATGTGGAAGGCATAATTAATCCACTGTATACTTGAATCATATACATTATTTAACAATACTCAACAAAAGTTTTCATCTTTGGGAATTTGCCCAATTATTTCCTTATTTTTGTATTTTTTGGTAAAGACAGGGTTTCACCATGTTTGCCAGACTGGTCTCGAACTTCTGACCTCAAGTAATCTGCCCTCCTCAGCCTCCCAAAGTGCTGAGATTACAGGCATGAGCTACTGCGCCCGGCCTATTTATTTTCTTAAATTAAACAAATACACCATTAATTTTGTATGCATAATGCCAATTTGTTGTCCCTCTTATAGAATATGGAACTACATGTTTTCTCACATCTTCTACAACAATAAATAATGTTATCTTCTTTGATCATCTGATCTGTGACACATGACAGCCCTTTTTATTTGCATAGTTTTTTTTGTTACTAGTGCATTTTAAACATTCTAAATATATTTAATGGTCATTTATTTTTCTTCTTCTGCATTTGGTTAGTCACACTCTTTGTCCGTTTTATATTGAATGCTGTTTTTCTCCTTGGCTTTTTAAGGAGTTCTTTCTATACTAGTGTAACCAGTATGATCTGCTCCACAAACTTAAGGAACAAATGTGGTCAGTTACAGCTGTTAACTTTCTCTATTATAGTTTAAGCCTCCCACATACCCTAATCAGAAGTCATTTTTCCCACTTGTGTTTCGCCCGCCTCTCCTCTGAATGTCCAAGAATCCTAGTTGTAGGGGGTGGGGCTGGGGCTTACTCAGCCACAGACTTCTCTTCTAAATGCAGAGAGAACTAAAACTGGTGTCTCCTCAGTCCTCCTTTGCCACTGGGCCTTAAAGATAAGGTAAAGTCTCCTTCTTAACTTCAGAACTGGGTGAGCAGAAACTGGGGTCTTGGTCCCCTTTATCCTATAAGATTGAGCCTCCTGAGGCAAATGATCCACCTCCTCTCTGGTGACTAACTAGACCAAAGGATGAGGCAGTTTTTGCTAATCAAGAGAGAAACACTCGGTTGGGTATGGTGGTTCATGCCTATAATCCCAGCACTTTGGGAGATCGGTTGAGGTGGGAGGATTGCTTAAGGGCAGGAGTTCGAGACCAGGCTGGACAACAAAGCAAGACTGCCCTCCTGCCACCAATTCTTAAAAAAAAAAAAAAAAAAATTAGCCAACTGTGGCAGCGCATGCCTGTAGTCCCAGCTACCACCTGGGAGGATAAGGCGGGAGAATCACTTGAGTCCAGGAGTTTGAGGCTGCAGTGAGCTATGATCATGCCACTGCACTCCAGCCTGGGCAACAGAGCGACACCCCAACTCTAAAAAAGAAAGAGAAACACACACATTCCGCAAAAGGTTTTATTATTATAGAATCTTCTTGCTAGGTTTGGTGAAGTGGATAGTCATGGAGAAGTATGATTGGATTGAAAAAGTATGACCTAATAATAAACTGGAGAGAAGTTACTGAGGTCTGTTTTGCTCAGATTCTTTTCTGTGTCCCTGTGTTTTCAGAGATAAGGATGTTCCTTTTTTCCAGGAATAGGGAGAGCACCTCTTAAATGAGGTTCTTATGAGCTGCTTCAGGGGAGAATGAAGAAGCAAGAGTGACCTACCTGCTTTTGCTGTTTTCTCAAATGCTAAGGTGCTGTATTTGGGGGGTATCATGGCCGGAATCCCATTACTTTCAAATTATTCATTTATTTTTATCAGCTTGGACTCTTTGTTTCCTGTTTTATTCACTGGGTTATAATCCATTAGAATCACTATTTATTTTGATACTCAAATTGTTCCAGGTTTGGCTAATGGGAATCCATTCAAGCTGACTTCTCTGACCTTTTAACTTGTTGTTATCATTCTATAAGGACTACCTTACCTTCTGTCACAACAAGATATCCCAGGCTCATCTTGCATTTTCCTTGCTCCAGACTTGGGATCAGTTATTTAAGCAAAGGGTTCTTTTTAAAGGAGGATAATATTTAAAAGCCAAGATCTGGGTACTGGTGTATTTGTTGCTATTGGGATATTGTTGCCCCTAAGCCTCTCAGTGGACAAGCCTAAGGAATATATGTATTTACATACATACAAACATACACATACATATGTTTACATCTATATTATTTCTATAACTATCTATCTATATATTGACAGCCATGAGGACACAGAGTTACCACAATTCCAATCCAGCACTGCAAGGTTCATTCTTTTTTTTTTTATTTCTGAGGCAGAGTTTCACTCTGTCTCCCAGACTGGAGTGCAGTGGCACAATCTCGGCTCACTGCAACCTCCGCCTCCTGGGTTCAAGCGATTCTCCTGTCTCAGACTCCTGAGTAGCTGGGATTACAGGCACCCACCACCATGCCCAGCTAATTTTTGTATTTTTAGTAGAGATGGGTTTTTGCCATGTTGGCCAGGCTAGTCTAGAACTCCTGACCTCAGTTGATCCGCCCGCTTCGGCCTCCCAAAGTGCTGGGATTACAGGCATGAGCCACTGCGCCCGGCCTTAAGGTTCACTCTAATTTTCTCTTTCTACATTTGTACTTAAGAAGAATTTTTGTTTGTTTGTTTTGTTTTGTTTTTGAGACAGAGTCTTGCTCTTGTCACCCAGGCTGGAGTACAATGGCTCGATCTCAGCTCACTGCAACCTCTGCCTCCCAGGTTCAAGTGATTCTCCTGCCTCAGTCTCCCAAGTAGCTATGATTACAGGCACCTGCCACCACGCCTGGCTAATTTTTTGTATTTTTAGTACAGATGGGTTTTCACCATGTTGGCAAGGCTGGTCTCGAACTCCTGACCTCAGGTGATCCACCCGCCTCAGCCTCCCAAAGTGCTGGGATTACAGGCGTGAGCCACCATGCCCGGCCAGGAGAATATTTTTTTTAAATCATTTGTTTATTTGATCAATCTGCCTGTGTGTAAACAATCCCCCCTTGTTGCTGCCACATCTCTCCCTTTGTGGATGTCCTTCTCATTGTACTGGGATTCTGATGTGTAATGAAAGGTCACACCTCCGCACTGATGACCTACTTGACCTTCTTGGGCTATCCGTGCTGGGTAAACCTTTCCCATGAAAGGCTGTTCCACTGGGCATCTTCCTTATCCTGTTCTGGTTCCAACACCCTGGAGGCAGTGATATTCTTCCCCTTAACCAAGGCTAATCTACTCATCTGTGTTCTACAACCCATTTTCTCCCAGATTCCTAGGGAGTCTGCTTTGTTAAAAGTTTCCTTTCTTTATTTTCAAACTCTGTATCATTGTTGGTTCTTTTTCTTAAGCAGAAACATGGTCAAATCTTTCCTGTCTTTTAAACAAAATAAACTCTCTTCAGAGGACTTGCACAATGAGTACAGAAAACATTTAATATGTGCAAACTCTTTTATCCACTTTAAAGAGTCTTTATTGTGGCTTGGCATAGTGGCTCATGCCTGTAATCCTAGCACTTTGGGAGGCTGAGGCAGGCAGATTGCTTGAGCCCAGGAGCTCAAGACCAGCCTGGGCAACATAGGAAGACCTCGCCTCTACAAAAAATACAAAAAACTAGCTGGACATAGTGGAGTGTACCTGTAGTCCCAGCTACTCGGGAGGCTGAGGTGGGAGGATCACCTGAGCCTGGGGAGGTCAAGGCTGTAGTGAGCTGTGATCTCACCACTACACTCCAGCCTTGGCAACAGAGTAAGACCCCATCTCAAAAAAAAGAATCATTTATTAATTTTTTGAATATTTAATAAGCACCTATGTGCCCAGCACTGTGAATTTTATTCGCAGTAGAAGTAGATATCATCTCTGCTTTCATGGTGAGAGAGACAACTATAAATCAGATAATAACACTTATGAATGCATTATTACAAATCTAGACATTAATGATAAAAGAAAATATTATGTGCTTCTATGTGTAAGGCCTTGTTCTAAATACTTTCCATGTACTAATTTAATCATTAAACAGCTTATTATATATACTATGAATATAGTTGGTAACTATTATATACACTTTATAGATGATGAAACTGAGGCAGAAAGAGTTTACGTTTTCCAAGGTCATGAAGCCAGTAGGTAACAGAGCTGGAATTTAAACTTAGACAGTCTGGCTCCTGCTCTTAACCACTAAACTCTACTGCTTCTCACAAATAGCTCTGAAGGAGACAAATGGGGATCTATGAAAACATCTAACAAAGAAAACTGATTTAGACAGGAGCTTTTCTGAAGGAGTACTACTTGAACTGAGACTCAAAGTTTGAGCAGGCATTAATTCTGTAACGTGGGTGATGAGGAGGGGGAAGGGGTGGAGAAATGATCATTCCAGCTAGAGGACAGTATGTGCAAAAGGCCCAAGGGAAGAGGGAACATAGCACAGTGAAGAAACTGAAGGCCAGTGTATCCAGAATGTAGAAAGCAAGTGGACAGTAGGGCATGGTGTGGTTGAAGAGGCAGTCCAGGTAAGATAATAAAGTCATAAAGCCTTAAGGATTTTGTTCTTCGTCCTAAGAGCAATGGGAAGACATGGGAATGGCGGTTGGGGGAGGAGGGATCAGGGAGTCACAGTGCACTCAAAGATAAAGGGGTGGTATTTTGAGGGTGTTAAGTTGACATAGGGTGGTGATAGTGGACATGGAGACAAATGGAGAGATTTGGACAAATATTTAGGAAGTCAAATTGACAGGACTGGGTAATAGATTAGATACAAGGGGTCAGAAGTTGTAGGTTTCAAAGATGACCCATCCTATATCCAATCTGCCAACCTATATCCAAAAATCCAGTTGATTTTTTTTTTTTTTTGAGACAGTCTCACTCTGTTGCCCAGGCTGGAGTGCAGTGGCATGATCTTGGCTCACTGCAACCTCTGCCTCCTAGGTTCAAGTCATTCTCCTGGCTCAGCTTCCCACGTAGCTGGGATTACAGGCATGCACCACCATGCCTGGCTAATTTTTGTATTTTAGTAGAGATGGGGTTTTGCCATGTTGGCCAGGCTGGTCTCAAACTCCTGACCTCAGGTGATCCACCCGCCTCAGCCTCCCAAAGTGGCATAAGCCACCATGCCCAGCCCAGTTGATATGTTTTCTAAATATCTTTATTTCTAGTGCTGCTAAGAGAATGTAATACCATCCACTGAGATAGGGAATGTGGAAAAAGATCAGGAGGTTTGGGGGAAGATTATTGAGTCTTGGACATGCTGAGTTTGAGATGCCTTTAAGACATCCACATGGAAACATTAAATAGGCAGTTGTCAAGATGGGCCTGGACCTCAAAGAACAGCCCTGGGCTGAAGATATACACTTGGGAGTTTTCATTGCATAGATGGTAAATGAACCTGTGGCATGGATAAGTTTGCCAGCGAAAGAAAATTGATTAAGAGAAGCGAATCTAGAGTTGAGAAAGCCCAACATGTAATAAGTTTATGCTCAGGAAAGGGTTAACTGGATTGCTCAAACCTTGCACATTCCAAAGAAAGGTTTGTCTTTAGAACTGCCTTTGACTAACTCCTGGGAAATAACTTCCAAGTCCTTGGAATACTCAGTCTAATGAGTATTTTTGTATGCCTGAGGCCTTGGGTCACACCGTATCAGTTTGACCTCTGAGGCATGGAGTCTGAGTAGCTGAGGTGAATGAATCATGTGGGTGTGGCAAGCATATGTGACTGACCCCTAATACAAAAACTCTGGACACTAGGGCTTAGGTAAGTTTCCCTGGCTGACAACACTTCATGCATGTAGTCACATGTCTTTTTTTTTTTTTTTTGGAGACAGAGTCTTGCTCTGTCGCCCAGGTTGGAGTGCAGTGGCATGATCTTGGCTCACTGCAAGCTCTGCCTCCCAGGTTCACGCCATTCTCCGGCCTCAGCCTCCCAAGTAGCTGGGACTACAGGCACCCTCCACCACGCTTGGCTAATTTTTTGTATTTTTAGTAGAGACGGGGTTTCACTGCGTTAGTAGTAGATCGGGGTCTTGATCTCCTGACCTTGTGATCCGCCTGCCTCGACCTCCCAAAGTGCTGGGATTACAGGTGTGAGCCACCACGCCCGGCCGTCACACTTCTAATTAATGAGAATTAATGCTCATAGAGCTCTAATGGGAAGGGACATTTGAGTTTGTTTTCTCCTGGATTTTGCTTCATGGGCTTTTTCCCTTTGTTGATTTTAATCTGTATCCTCATACTTTAATAAACATAAGCACAGCAGATTTTCTGAGTCCTGGGAGTTCTTCTAGAAAACCATTGAACCCAAGTGTGGTCTTGGCAACACTGACAGTGCGTAAAAGAGAAATAGCAGTCCAAGGGACAGGAGGAAAACCAGGAGACAGTGGTGTCATGAGAACCAAGGAAGTGATTCCAGAAGGGGGAGTGGCCAACAGTGTTAAATCTCCCAAGAAAACAAGTAAGGTTAGGGATAAAATATGTTCACTGGAGGCCAGGAGCGGTGGCTCACACTTGTAATCCCACCACTTTGGGAGGCCTAGGCAGGTGGATCACCTGAGGTCAGGAGTTCAAGACCAGCCTGGCCAAAATGGCGAAACCCCATCTCTACTAAAAATACAAAAATTAGCCAGGTGAGGTGGCGGGCGCCTGTAATCCCAGATACTCAGGAGGCTGAGGCAGGAGAATCACCTGAACCCAGGAGCCAGAGGTTGCAGTTAGCCAAGATCGTGCTACCGCACTCCAGCCTGGGGGACAGGGCGAGATTCGACTATTAAAAAAAAATAATGTTCACTGGATATAAAATTATGGAAGTAATTAGTGGCCTTAGCAAAAGCTGTTTTGGTAAAGTGATGGGAGTGGAAGCCAGGCCAGAGTGGACTGAGGGATGAATGGGATGTGAGGAAATAGAGATTTTTATTTTATTATTACTTTTAGAGACAGGGTCTCAGTCTGTCACCCAGGTTGGAGTACATTGGCACAATCACAGCTCACTGCAGGCTCAAACTCTTGGGCTCAAGAGATCCTCCTACCTCAACCTCCCAAGTAGCTAGGACTACAGATAAGACATCACACCTGTCTAATTTTTAAAACTTTTTTTTGTAGAGATGGGGGTCTTGTTATATTGCCCAGGCTGGTTGCAACCTCCTGGTCTCAAGTAACCCTTTAGCCTTGGCCTCCCAAAGCACCGGGATTACAGGCATGAGCCACAGCGCCTGGTCATGGAAATAGGGATCTTTAGGAAAAAAAAAAAAAAAAGGAAAAAAATTGCATGTTAATTTCACTTTTTTATTTATAGTAGCAAAATACATCAAAACAATTTAATAATCCATATGGAATACTTTAAATTTACATATTAAAAACTTTTACAATGGGCATATTCTTTGAATCAGCAATTCTTTTAGGAATATTCAGAAGAAATAATTATAGATATGCAAATAATTATGCATCACAATGCTTTTCACAGTATTGTTTATAATAGTAAAAAATTGAAAACCTTATTGTCTATGAATAGATAATACATTACAGTACATTCACATAAGGAAGTCTATTTATTGTTGAGCTATATTTTACTGGTTGCAAAAATTAAGAGATGTGTGTGAAAGCACTTTGTCAACTGTAAACTGCTGTTCAAATGTGGTGTTTATTACTAGAATTACAACGTGCCCCTGAAAGGCCTTAGAGACACAGAAAAGCCAATAGATAGTAATTAGACTCAGAACTCTGCTATCTGTCCTGCTTTTCTTGGTACTAATAGTTCTCACTCAGACAACAGAGTACCTAGAAGTCAAAGTGTACTTGGTACACCATGGAATGATGAGAACTAAACTTTACATTATTTTTAAAATTTGTATTAATAAATTTTTTTTGTAGAGATGGGGGTCTTGCTATGTCGCCCAGGCTGGTCTTGAACTACTGGCCTCCAGTGATCCTCCTGTTTTCCTCCAAAGTGCTGGTATTACAGGTGTAAGGCACCACACCCAGTTGAGAAGTGAACTTTAAAAGATAAAATGTCACCTTTAGATCCTCTGGCCTCACCCATTGGTGAGTGCAAGTATTGTACATTTACAGAAATATCCCAGATTTCAGCTGCAGCTCAGCATCCTTCTGCCGGTTCTCATGTACTCTTCTGTTCCTGCTGTTCAGCATGGCTGCTCTGTCCAGAAGGTGCAGACCAGCCTTTGCAAATCTTCACGCTACCCTTGGGCTACTGCCTTGCTTTTGCCAACCTCCTGTGCCCAGATGATGGACACATCGTGTTCTCACCATTGCTTACCTACCTGGGTCACTCACCTCCAATGCCCTTTCTCTTTCCTAGACAACTGGAAAACTCCTTCCACTATTGTTTACCAGCAACTTAGAGGAGTTTTCTTCATAGCAGAACTGCTATGAACCTCCTAAGAGCTCTTTCCTTTATTTCAGAACTGGTTTTTTCTGATAATGCTCAAACCAGAGGAACAAGGGATAGTAGCCTAGGTCAGGAAAATGGCTGGACACAGCCTCTACCTCTACCTGCTGCTCAGTTTGGGCCACAGCATGATTCCTCTTCTTGAAATTTTCTCTCAGTGGCATGTGTTTCTCCTGCCAGTTCTGTTTCCTTCAGGGAACTTTGGGTCTACTTTAACATCCATGTTCACCATGTGCTGGGTGCTGTTATTAACGTTTTACAAATATTGTTTGTGAGGCAACCTTGAGGTAGGTCCTACCCGTAGCAAACACCCTTTCATGACTGAGGGAACTGAGGCAACCTAAGTAAGTTTCCCTAAATCACATAGCTAGTAGGTGATGGAACCAGATTCAAACCAAGCATTTTGTCCCAGGGCATAATGAACCCCATGCTATGCAGTCTATTAGACAGGTTTGTGCATTATCGTATCTCAGCCTCATCTGTGGACTTATTTCATAGTTTCTCCTGCAAGATTTCTGGGCTCCCACAGAAAATCAAGGATGTAACTGGGTCTGTTTCAATGATCCTAAATATTTCATGAGTTATACTCCAGGCACTGCCTTCTCAGAGCACACAGTGAACTTCATGGGGGCTGTTTCCATCCTATACAAATTATATAGTTTTCAAAAACAACACTTTTATTCTAGATTTTAATAAAGGCAAATGTAGCAGGCATCAAAAGGTTAAGAAAACTCATGGAAGCAAAACTTTTGGTTGAGAAATTCAGTTCATTAGCTTATTTTTTTGAAGTGAATTTGAGAAGAAGTGTTTATGATTTATACTCCATATTTTTCACCACCTTTACAGATTCTAACCTGATCCAACCAACCGAGTTATTACCCTATTAGCCCCTTAACTGGTCTTCCTTATTCCACTGACCATTTACAGGTGATTCCTCTAGGAAGCAGCCACAGTGACTCTTTTCACAATTCTGCTTTGAGTCTTTGCTCAAAACCCATCCAAGCCTTCCTATCTGACTCAGTGGTCCTAAGGCTAGGGTATGAGTACTCCTGGGGTACTTCAGTGAAGGAAAATTTTCCAAGGGGTACATAAAAAAGTAAGGGTAGTTTTAAGGGAATTACTCCATCATATATGTGAGTGTGTAGATACATACATGTATACATATATAGTTTTTAATGCAGTAAAGACTGTGGCAATGAAAAATGGAGTTGATACAGGACCTTATCTCATTCTAGCAATGTTATATGCATTCATGCCTACTCGAAATAATTAGGGGAAGGGGGAAGACTCCCAGCCATATCATTAAAACATTCCCAATACTTTTCCATGTTTAAAAAATATAACATTTTAATATACTTTAAAAAATGGATAGTATTAAGCCACTTTAGTGTTTACTTCCCTATTAGATTAAAAATAATTTTTAAATGTCAGTATTACAGAATGTCACAAATTAAACTCTGCAACTATTTAAACTTCTGAAAAAATTTAGTCAACTTACAATGTTTGAGGAAAGAAAACAGCCTTCCAAAATTCTTTCAAAGGGCACAAAAGTTAAAAAAAAAATTGAAGACCATTTCTGTACATGACCTGGCTCCCTTAATAACTCTCTTATCTCATGTCCTACTATTCTCTCCCTTGTTCAAGCCACTCCAGCCACACTGACTCCTCCTCTAACAAGCCAAGAATCCGTTTCCCTCAGGCCCTTTGCACTTGTTATGTGTTCCTCTCCTGCTCTTCTCCAAGACAGGTTCCTTCATCTGATCAACAGGGGCCTTCTTCAATCACCTCTAACCCCTTTTACCCCACTTATTCTTTTCTTCACAGCACTTACCACTCCCTGGCATGTATCTATTCTCAATCTTTTTCTCTATTAGATTGTAAACCCCTTGAATGCAGGGAGCTCCTCTGTTTTGTAATCCCAGTGTATCTCTAAAACACTATGACAATAAAGAGGTCAGGAAACATTTTTGAATAAATTTTAAAAAGTTTTCAGGAGGCTGGGCGCAGTGGCTCATGCCTGTAATGCTAGCATTTCCAGCGGCTGAGGCGGGCCAATCGCTCGGGCCCAGGAGTTTCAGCCTGGGCAACATGGTGAGACCCCAGCCTCTTCGAGGCAAAGGGAAAAAAAAGATCAGCTAAGTCATGGTGGCGTGCATCTACGGTCCCAGGTAATTGCGAGGAGCACGGCTTGAGCCTGGGAAGTCGAGGCTGCAATGAAATGTGATGACGCCACTGCACTCCAGCCAGGGCGACAGAACGAGGAGGTCTCAAAAAAAAAAAAAGTTTTCACGTGGTTTAAGGACTTACAGCACCTTTCTTGGGAACACTAACAGGAGACCAAAGCATTTCATGATCTTAACACTAAAACAGTTGTTGCACTACATAAAATCCTCCAAATACCTTTTTTTTTTTTTCAAATAAAAAGGCAACTTTCTGAAAGCTTTTCTTTTTTTTTTGAGACGGAGTTTCGCTCTGTCGCCCAGGCTGGAGTGTAGTGGCGCTATCTCGGCTCACTGCAGCCTCCGCCTCCTGCCGGGTTCAAGCCATTCTCCTGCCTCAGCCTCCTGAGTAGCTCGGATTACAGGCGCACGCCATTACACCCGGCTAATTTTTATATTTTTAGTAGAGACGGGGTTTCACCATATTGGCCAGGCTGCCCACGAACTCCTGACCTGACCTCAAGTGATCTGCCCGCCTCGGCCTCCCAAAGTGCTGGGATTACAGGCGTGAGCCACTGCGCTTGGCCTGAAAGCTTCTACTACCATTGTTGTAAGGGCATTTGTCACCCAGCTCAACCCAGGACACTTAAAGTGGGACCTCAGAAGGACGCAGTATTGGTTATATCCGTGGCTCTCCAAACTGACATACATAAGAATCAGCTGAAGGGACTTTTCCCCCTCCGTCGGCTCTCTCCCTCACTTCCTGATTCAGGTCTGGGGACTGGCCCTGGCATCTCTGCTTTGAAAAACTCCTCCGTTGATTCTGATACGTAGCAACTCCTGAGAATCACCTTAAGATGCCAAAAATAGCTGTTAAAGAGTTTCTTCCTCACTCGGTCTTTTCAGCCTATTTCTGATAGATCCTCAGTTCAAAAACAAAAAGCAAAAAAAAAACAAAAAAAAAAACCAAAACCAAACAAACAATAAGCCCCGCTTTAGTGCTCCACGGCCACCCAAAGGAACGCGGCTGGTCTACGCACAGCAGAGACCCAGGAGGTCCCGGCGATCGAGCGGCGCGGCAGGTGAAACTTCCGCGGAGACGCCCGGGACACGCTCGCAGGGACCGGAACCGTCCCGGCTACCACCCTTCCGTATGCACCACCGCTGTGTCGGAGTTCATAACCAACCCCAGCCAAAGGCTACCCAGCGTCAACGGCCTCTGGCTTTAAAAAAAAAATCTCCCTTCGGGTTAAAGAGCCGCGGCACTGACGCAAGGAACTGGCTTCGAGGGTCCGGGACCGCTCCGCGCCCGCGAACCGAGTTCCCGCCTCCCTCGGGAGGACGTCCGTGCGTACGTGCGCGTGCCGCAACCGCCCTCCTTCAAACGCGCGACGCGAGGGCGGGGGCGCCGCGTGCGCGCGCGCTCTCGTTGGTTCGCTCTCTCGCTAGCTCTCGGCTGCCGCTCTTGCTGCGGCTGCGGCTGGGGCTGGGGGCGGCGGCGGCGGCGACGCGGGCGGCGGGCGGCGCGGGGCGGTCCGGCGGGTTCAAAGAGGAAAACATGGCGGAAAACAAAGGCGGCGGCGAGGCTGAGAGCGGCGGCGGGGGCAGCGGCAGCGCGCCGGTAACTGCCGGGGCCGCCGGGCCCGCCGCGCAGGAGGCGGAGCCGCCTCTCACCGCGGTGCTGGTGGAGGAGGAGGAGGAGGAAGGCGGCAGGGCCGGCGCTGAGGGCGGCGCGGCCGGGCCCGACGACGGGGGGGTGGCCGCGGCCTCCTCGGGCTCGGCCCAGGCTGCTTCATCTCCTGCGGCCTCAGTGGGCACTGGAGTTGCCGGGGGCGCAGTATCGACGCCGGCTCCAGCTCCAGCCTCGGCTCCCGCTCCGGGTCCCTCGGCAGGGCCGCCTCCTGGACCGCCAGCCTCGCTCCTGGACACCTGCGCCGTGTGTCAGCAGAGCTTGCAGAGCCGGCGTGAGGCGGAGCCCAAGCTGCTGCCCTGTCTTCACTCCTTCTGCCTGCGCTGCCTGCCCGAGCCGGAGCGCCAGCTCAGCGTGCCCATCCCGGGGGGCAGCAACGGCGACATCCAGCAAGGTGAGCCGGAGGCCCTGCCTGGCATCTGGGCCGCAAGGGATTTGCGCAACCCTAGAGGAGCTGGGGACGGAGGTGCTGGGGCCTGGGGCTGCTCGGACGGGCGCCATCCCGAGGGGTCTCTAAGGTGAAAGACTCGCCCCTGGGACACTTTCCAGAGAAGCTGGACCGCAAGAGATAAGGGGAGCATGAAGGGAGGGGTGCCGGCTGCGAGAGGCTGGGGGAGGGGACACTGGCTCCGAGGGAGGGTTTGTGATGTGCGGAACCCGGCCGAGCGCTGGTTCTGGAGCTGGCAGACCCGTACAGTGAGAGAAGGGGGATTTGGGAAACACGTTGTGAGGAAGCGTTTTGGCTGAAAGGGCCCGGGCCAGCGAGGTGTTGAGGGAGTAGGTAAGAGGTAAGGGCAGTGAAGATGGATTGCTTTGGAGGGAGGGGACTTGGCGTGTTCACAGATAGGAGAGAGGAGGACTATGGATTAAATGGAGGTGGAGAGAATATGTTGGAGAGCAAGGGGTCCAGAGAAGGCGCCTGGAAGAAAATTGTAAGATGACATGGGGAAAGAGAAACTCGGAAAGTGGACTGCATGGTTAGGGAAAATCCTAAGGTTTGGGGATGAAGGAGAAATGAACTTTGAAGGAAATTGAGAGTTAGGGAAAGCTGGGCATGAATTTGTTTTAGCTAATTGGCCGTTAATGAGCCCCTAGTGTTGGGGCACTGTGCTAGGATTGAATAAAGTACTCAATGAAGACTTCATTCACAGTCTAACAGGAGAAACATATAACTTGCAGCAGTGGAGGTGAGTCCTCAGTACAATGGTTGTGGCACAATAGAGGAAAGGTCAGGGAAATTTCACAGGAAAGGAAATCCATGAACAGGTTTCTTGAAGAATGAGTACCTCACTGGGTTGGAGGGTATTCAGGGCACAGGACACCCTTCTACATCCCTGGAACTAAAGACTGTGTAGGGTGATTGGTGGAAATTAGATTGGATTGATGGGCTGAAAAGATAAAGGTTTCACAGTCTCTTAAACTCTTGGGATCCAGGTGTAAGGACTTCAGAATATTTTGGGATTTTTCTTTTTTCTGGCAAGGTCTGTTATGTGAGACTTTTATCAGGGTCTGAGTTAACTCTATCAAACACGTTAATGTTTCTACATTGAAACACGTGAATGTCACGCTAATGGGATAGACGATAAATAACCTCCCAGCATTCACAGTGGGTTCTGTTGCAAACCAATGAAAAAAATTAAAATTTCAAAGCTTTTGAATTTCGGGACTGTAGGTAAGCGATTGTGGAGCTGCACTAAAGGGCTTGGAATTCATCCTGTAGAGTGTATCCTCGACATTGTGGACTGAAGGATGTTCCTGGAGGGCTTTCATATCAAGAGGATAAAAGGATCAGATTTCTGATCCAGAAAGATCACTTAGGGCACTTGAGGGATGAGGGAAGGCAAGGCTGGAGACAAGGAGACCAGTTAGGAGAATCCTGGCGGTTATCTAGGAAAGAAATCAACATTTGGAATGGGTAGTAAAGGAATGATATATCAGGTATTACAGAATGAAGCATTTTGGTTTGGGGGAACGGTAGGGTTTGGAAATCTACTTTGCCATCTCCTACTTACGACTTGGGCAGATGACCTTTTCTTAGCTTCAGTTTTCTCATTTGTGAAATGGGAAAAAAGTATATAACCTCATAGGGTTATTGAGAGAATGAAGTAAGATAAAATGTGTAAAGTGATTAGTACGTGGTAGTTACTAATGAAATGGTAGCTAGTATATTAATAGTAGTAACTAATAGTGGCTATGGGAATGGAGGGATGGGGGGAGTGTATTGAGATTGGTGTGAGGGAGACAAACGTAGAATTCCACATTTTTTGTTTGGTGGATGGCAATGCTATTAATACATATTCAGACACTGAAGCAGGGCTGGGGTGAGGGTGAGGGCTGGGGTGTAGGGAGGATAAAATGTTTTCAGATTGGGATGTTTTGGGTTTCTAGCATTATTGGTACATGTAGGTAAGAATGTTAAGAGTAAGGCTTTGGTTGTTGGAGAAGCTACTAATTGTTAGTAGGTGTTCAGAGAATAACTGCTGGTGGTCTGTGCACCCATGACCATAGTAAGACACATAGGATTCAGTGTTCTTGTGGGAACCTGGGTTAGGTAAGAGATTTAGAGGGAACCCAGAAATACAGATTGTGTTTGACTGATGTGGCTGAGGGACTGAGGTTATGAAATTGGCTCTCTGAAATTTATGAAGGAGAGAGAATAATATGTAAATCCCCTCTTCATTTCTTTATCCTTTCTTTTTGAAGGAGGGGGAGTAAGTGGAAGGGACTAACCAAATGCTGTCAATCTTAAGTAATATTTCTCTCTAACCAATATCTAAAACAAATTGAGTCTGGAATCCACCATGTTTTTGATTAAAAAAAATTTTTTTTTGAGACAGTCTCGCTCTGTTGCTCAGGCTGGAGTGCAGTGGCTCGATCTCGGCTTACTGCAGCCTCTGCCTCCCAGGTTCAAGCGATTCTTGTGCCTCAGCCACCCAAGTAGCTGAGATTGCAGGCGCATATCACCACGCCTGGCTAATTTTTCTGTTTTTAGTAGAGACGGGGTTTTGCCATACTGGTCAGACTGGTCTTGAACTCCTGGCTTCAAATGATCTGCCTGCCTCAGCCTCCCAAAGTCCTGGGATTACAGGCATGAGCCACTGTGTCTAGCCATCCACCGTGTTTTTAGATAGTCTAGAAAATAATTTGTCAGTATTAACTCCTATATACCATTCTGCTTTGCTCTTTAAAAAGATCAAGCTGTGCTGGAAAGAGCACTAGATTGGGTGTTAGGGGACATAGTTCAGCTCTTTAGCTATTTTACGCTAAAGGAAGTTCATACTGTTTTTGTCCTTCAGTTTCCCTTTAAAATGTAGCTGATAGTCGTTTACTTATATCTCACCAAGGCAAATAATAAATGTGAAAATGCTTTGTAACTGAGAAATGCTTCAACAATACAGGATATTATTGATCAACCTCAGATATCATCTCTGGTCTGGAGATCATAGCTAGTGGTTTTAACTCACCATCTTTTTCAAGTGATTTTGAAACAATGATGAGTATAATGCCCTCCTGCCTAACTGGCCTTTTCCTGTTTCTCTTAATACATTTATTCACACCCTCTGGCTGTTCTTTCTAGATCAACAGTTCTCAGAGTGTGGTTCCTGGATCAACAGCATCAGCATCATCTGTGACATTGTTAGGAATACAGATTCTTGGGCCGCATTCCGGACCTCCTGTCCAGTAGTCTCGTTTAACAAGCTCTCCAGGTGATTCTGATTCACGCTTAAGTTTGAGAACCACTGTCTTGAATGAAGGGCTCTCACTTCAAATGTCTCCTCAGACTTTGACTTCTCATTTTAAAGTAGTCCTCCAGGTCGCTCTCTGATAGATCATCTTATTTTCTTTGTAGCACAGCTAAAATCCAAAATGTTTATTTTTGTTTACTTGCCCGTCTCACTTTGCACTAGGATATTGTAGACTGTTCAATAAATAAGTTTTGTGTAAATAAGAATCACTAGAGAGCTTATTAAAATGCTAACTTGGGAGTTTCTTCAGAGACTGGTTTAGTTGATTTGGTGATGACTCCATGTGCCTGCATTTTTAACAGGTGCCCTGTGATTTTGATGCTGGTGGTACCACCACACTTTGAGGAACACAGATTTAAATATTTTGAGGAGAAAGTACAATCTGTTTACCGTTGGAGTATTTGCAAAATCAAAATAGATAAATTAGTTAATATTGAATCTCAATAGTGAGCTTTTTAAAGTGTTTTTGTGATTTTTTGGGGGGTGCTTTTTCAGGTTGAGGCAGAACAGCTATCAGTAGTGGGTATATATACATTTATACTTTATCAATAAAAATACAGATTTGCTACTCAGGAGGCTGAGGCGGGAGGATAACTTGAGGCCAAGAGTTCAAGATCAGCCTGAGTAACATAGCAAGACCCTGTCTCTCAAAAAATCTTTTTTTAAATAGGAATCATATTGATGCATCTGAACAAACTCTCAGATGAACTCTTGAAGGAGATGAGGCTACCTCTGAGATGGCACAATGATGTGGCTGAAGAAATGAATTGGTATTAAGTTGCATTGGGTTCTGCTATTTTTTTTTTTTTTTTTTTGAGACAGTTTTTTACTCTTGTCACCCAGGCTGGAGTGCAATGGTGCGATCTCGGCTCACTGCAACCTCCACCTCCTGGGTTCAAGTGATTCTCCTGCCTCAGCCTCCCCAGTAGCTGATATTATAGGCACCCGCCACCATGCCCACCTAATTTTTTGTATTTTTAGTAGAGACAGGGTCTTGTCATGTAGGCTAGGCTGGTCTCGAACTCCTGACCTCATGTGATCCACCTGCCTTGGCCTCCCAAAGTGCTGGGATTATAGGCGTGAGGCACCACCTGGCCTCGGTTCTGCTGTTAGTTAGCTACGTAACCCTTGGGCAAGGAACCTAGGAAGTCTCTCCAGGTCTTGCAATACGAAGAGGCTGAGTTCCTATCCCGTTAGGTTATATGATTCTATTGTCTTTTATGCTAACATTCTGTATGTACATACGTTTAATGTCCTTATAGTTTGTGGGGAGGAATAGTGGAATCACCATGGAAAAATCATTCTGTTACTGAATTCTTCAACTTACTGTGGACTGGGCACAGTGGCTCATGCCTGTGATCCCAGCACTTTGGGAGGCCGAGGCGGGCAGATCGCTTGAGGTCAGGAGTTCGAGATCAGCCTGGCCAACATGGCGAAACCCTGTCTCTACAAAAAATACAAAAATTTGCCAGGCGTGGTGGCAGGCACCTGTAATCCCAGCTACTCGGGAGGCCGAGGTAGGAGAATCACTTGAGTCTTGGAGGCGGAGGTTGCAGTGAGCTGAGATCACGCCACTGCACTCCAGCCTGGGGGACAGAGTGAGAATCCGTCTCAAAAACAAAACAAAACGAAACAAAAAAACTTACTATGAAAAGTCTGAGATGGCAACAATCATGTGTAAGTGGGAGGGAAAACCTCTGAGTGTAGTGTGAAGAGCACTTCCTCATAGTGTTTCTGTCTGTTTATCACAGACCATGCTGAGCCACTCTGAGGAGTCTTCTGTTTGAGCCCTCGGAATTTCTTGTCCCTGGAGTGTGTATACTATATGACAGTTCTGGCCTCAGTGTGACTTAACTGGTTTGGGGACTTTTTAGGCTCTACTTTTTCTGACTCTCCTCTTCAACAGAAACAAGCTTGAGTGTTTGAATGATCATGTGGTACTCCACCAACAACCAGTCATTAACGATGTGTCCAAGATTGCTGAAATACTTCTCACAACTTCTGTCTAGCATTGTGGTCAAACTACCTGAATTCATTTTTGAGCTCTACCATTTACTACTGGAATGACCATGGATAAGTTACTTAACATCTGTAAATTGGGAGTAATAATTACACCTACATCATAGAGTTTTTGTGAGAATTAAGAGAGTTAATGTGTTGCAAGGTACATTTATTGGGAGCTTACATGGGAAGCCCCCAATAAATTGTAGTAGTGTTATTTCGGTAATTTTTCATTTGTCCCCCCGTTGTCTTTGTGACTGTATCTCACAGCAAACAGAAAGAAGAGGCAGGGGGGTAAATTGTGGTTTTAAAGGCTTTTCTGATGTCTACTGATATGTACAGCATGCATGATAAATCATTTGAGTTCCAAATCTTCTAGTTACCTAGATCTTGTAAAAACTTATAAACTAATGTCCTAAATCCTAAGTCTTTATAATGTCTAGTATTTGTACATCAAAAGCCCTAGTTAGGGGACTTTAATTACTTTTACTTTTCTCATGGATTCTGCTGTCAGTGGGTCCTAAATGAGAATACCTTAAAGCAGTGATTCTCAAAGTGTGGGCCACAGAATGCTGGGGTGGGGGTGATGGTAGTGACCGTGTCACTGAGACCCTTTTAGAGGTGCACAAGTTTAAAACTATTTTCATAATTACACTAATTTGATATTCTCCTTATTCACTGCGCTGACATTTATATTAATGGTGCAAAAGCAATGATGGATAAAACTGCCATCACCTCTGCGTGAATTAAGATGGTGAGTGACTCCATTTGGGAGGCCGAGGTGGGTGGATTGCTTGAGTCCAGGAGTAGGGGACTAGTCTAGGTAACATGATGAAACCCTGTGTCTACAAAAAATACAAAAAAATTAAATAGGCATGGTAGTGCGTGTCTGTAGTCGCAGCTACTCAGGAGACTGAAGTGGGAGAATTGCCTGAGGCACGGAGTGTCGAGGCTGCAGTGAGCCATGATTGTGCCATTGTACTCCAGCCTTGGCAATGGCGTGAGACCCTGTCTTTAAAAAAATAAAAAAAATAAAAAAATAAAAAAAAAGGATAATGGCTCCAAGCCATACTATAAAAGTCATTGCATATTTACTTTCACACACTTAGAGAAAGAACAAAAATAAACCTATGTCATTGTCACTTAATATCCTTTATGAAACAGTAACAATTACTATATTACATTTTGATCTTTAAAGCTCTGTGTGATGAAGTGGGAAATGTGCCTAAAATGCTTCTGCTGCGGAAGAAAGTGGAAGAAGAGTACTTGTGCAGTTTTTTGAGTTCCAAGCTGAATTTGCTTTTTTTCATAGAAAACTATTTTACTTGAAACTATGGTTTTACTTAAAAACTATGGTTTTTAGGCATGGGTATTTGGCAGCCATTTTCTCAGAAGTGAATGAATTGAGCCTGTCATTTCCAGGAAAACAACTGACATATGTTGCCAGTGATAAAAATTGAGATTTTAAATGAAAATTAGAATTTTGGAAAATTGGTATTTGCTGCCATGAGCTGGTCAGTTTCTCAGTATTTAAAGACTTTCCTGAAGAGATTGGTGGTGATATTAATGAACGTGAATTTTTTTGATATTGTGTAATGTCAACATTTCAAAGATCTGCGTAGCTTATTGCAATATATTCTAAATGAGAAATGCATGATGTTAAGTGCAAAACAGAGCAATAATAAATAGATTGTATTTTATTTTATTATTTTTATTTTTTGAGATGGAGTCTTGCTTTGTCACCCACACTGGAGTGCAGTGGCGCAATCTTGGCTCACCGCGACCTCCGCCTCCTGGGTTTAAGCAGTTCTGCCTCAGCCTCCCAAGTAGCTGGGATTACAGGCACACGCTACCATGCCTGGCTAATTTTTGTATTTTTAGTAGAGATGGGGTTTTGCCATGTTGGCCAGGCTGGTCTTGAACTCCTGACCTCAGTTGATCTGCCCACCTCAGCCTCCCAAAGTGTTGGTATTACAGGCATGAACCACCACTCCCAGCCAATAAATAGATTTTAACGCGAGAGAGTAGTCAAGTTTATTTTTAAGGTTTGAGATGCCACATTGCAACTGATGTTTAAAAAATAAATATTCTTCTTAAGTTTTTGTGTTATATCAAAGAAAAATATCCACACAATGATCTGAAAAGGGTATTAAAATCTGCTTTTCCCTTTTCTTAGATACTTAGCTGTATGAAGCCAGATTTTCTTTATATTCTTCAAAGAAACAACATATTGAAACATTAAATGCAGAAGCATATATCCAGCCATATTCTATTAAACCACATGTTAAAGAGATCTTTAAAATGTATCACAATGACACTCTTTATTAATTTTTTTTTGTTTTAGGAAATACAGTTATTTCTGATTTTTAAAAGTGTTGTTTAAACCTGTCGTGCCGGACATGGTGGCTCATGCCTATAATCCCAGCACTTTCGAAGGCTGAGGTGGGAGGATCACTTGAGCCCAGGAGTTCAAGACCAGCCTGGGGAATATAGTGAGACTCCGACTCCAGAAAAAATAAAAAAATTATCCGAGTGTGGTGGTGTGCGCCTGTAGTTCCAGCTACTCAGGATGCTGAGGTGGGAGGATCACTTGAGGCTGGGAGGTTGAGGCTACAGTGAACTGCGATCATGCCGTTGCACTCCAGTCTGAGTGACAGTGAGACTGTCTGAGAAAACAAACAAAACTAGTAATAAAGTAAACGTCATTTTAACATTTTAAAATTTAAGATTCATTTTTAATTCATCTTGTAATGAATTAAAATATATTTAAAACATCCATTTTTATTATACATTTGATGGTCATACCCCATCTAAACAAAAGCTCTTTGTGTTCCTCAGTAACTAAGACTGTAAGAGAGGTCCTGAGACCAGGAAGTTTGAGCCCTGCTCTGTTAAAGGACATTAAGAACATGATAATGTCTCAGAGTCTTTGGGCCAGTAGGAAGAATGTCAGATCATAAGATAGTAGGTGGCAGATTTATACATTTATAGTTCTTCATTTTGGAGTACCCATAACAGTTCAGAAAAAGCCTCCCTTTAGTAAAATGTAAAAATGAAGAAAGTACTTATTAACTGAAGTTAAACTTCTAAAAATAGGTCACTATAGATCTACTGATTTTTTTCATGTTTATGACAGTCTATCTAAGCCAACTTCAGAGATTGGGCTCAGGATGGTAGATAAATTAACCTCTGTCTCTTCTTTGGCCACAAATTGCACATCTATCCCTAGCCATTTGACTCAAGGGGAAGTGGGAAAAAGAACAAGGATGGATAAACATAAATATACCATTTTTAGAAAAATATTTAAAGCCTATGCCCCAGTGATGAGTAAATAGCATGCACTATATGGTACTAATGAGTACATTTGAATGCTTATATGCTATTTATGTTCCTTTTGTGAATTATTTGTCCATGTGTTTTATGTTTTTCTTTAGATTGCTTACATTTTTTGTTTTGATTTACAAGAATTCTTGACAAATTCTGTATACTGATCCTTTGTTGATGATGTAGGTTGAAGATTTATTCTGAGCCTATGGCTTGGTGTGGTAGCCAGCCTCTAAGATGGCCCCTTGTTCCTTTTCTCCTGTTATTCACACCGTTGTATGGTTGCTGTCCAGTTGCTCAAGGCTGGTCTCCGTGACCAAGAGAATATAATAGAATTAATAGTGACTTTATTAAAAAGTCATTAAAGCCATATATACAGTTTTTTCCTTGCTCTTTGAATCCCTTGTTCTGGGTGAAAAACAGCTGTCATTCTGTGAAAGATACTCTAGTAGTCCTTTAAAGAGGCCATATGGAGAAAAATTGAGGTCTTCTGCAAAGACCCAGCACCAACTTGCCAGCTATGTGAAAGAGCCGCTTTTGAGGTAGATTCTCTATCCTAATCAAGCTTTCAGATGACTGCAGTCCTTCCTGGCTGACATCTTGACTGCAGCCTTCTTAGAGGCACTAAGCCAGAACTGCCTGCCAAGTCCCTCCCAAATTCTTTTTTTTTTTTTTTTTTTTTTTGAGACGGAGTCTCGCTCTGTCGCCCAGGCTGGAGTGCAGTGGCGGGATCTCGGCTCACTGCAAGCTCCGCCTCCCGGGTTCACGCCATTCTCCTGCCTCAGCCTCCCAAGTAGCTGGGACTACAGGCGCCCGCCACTACGCCCGGCTAATTTTTTGTATTTTTAGTAGAGACGGGGTTTTACCGTGTTAGCCGGGATGGTCTCGATCTCCTGACCTCGTGATCCGCCCGCCTCGGCCTCCCAAAGTGCTGGGATTACAGGCGTGAGCCACCGCGCCCGGCCCCAAATTCTTGTTTCAAGAAAGCTGTGAGAAATAATTATTGTTGTTTTAAGTCATTAATTTTTGAGGTAATTTGTTACATAGCAATAGATAACTGATACACTTTTTAGAGAGCTGTCTTTTCATGTTTTTATATTAAAATAGTTTTTCCTCCTTTTTTTTTTGCTGTTCTTAGTAGCTTTATAATAATAAGCAGTAAGTTTTGTTCATTAAGGTAATTTCACTGCCCTCTCTACGTATACCTTGGTCATCTTCAAGATTATCTCGACTGATCTTGACCTTTTGCTCCTTTTTTTTTTTTTAATTAAAAAATTTCTTTTTCCAAGACAAACCTTGGCCATTCACCTTTTGCTCACTCTTATACTAAAATGTATTATCTTGTGAAAGTTCATTTTAAAAACTTATTAAGCTGTGTGTGGTGGTACATACCTGTAGTCCCAGCTACTCAGGAGGCTGAGGCAGGAGGATGGCTTGAGCTTAGGAGTTTGAAGCTGTAATGTGCTATGATTGCACTTGGGAATAGCAACTGTACTCCAGCCTGGGCAACACAGAGAGACGCCGCCATCTCTTTAAAAAAGAACAGAAAAACAACGACAACAAAAAACCTGTCAGTGTTTTTGTTGGAATTGCTTTGAATATGTAAATCAGTTTGGGAGAAAATGTCTTTATTGTGTCTGCCTATTTATACACATGGTATGCCTCCACATTTTCTTAAGTCCAAAAATGTTTTTGAGTGTATATTTTGAGACAGAGTCTCACTTTGTTGCCCAGGCTGGAGTGCAATGGCACGATCTCTGCTCACTGCAACGTCCGACTCCCAGGTTCAAGCAATTCTCCTGCCTCAGCCTCCCAAGTAGCTGGGATTAGAGGCGCCCGCCACCATGTCTGGCTCATTTTTGAATTTTTAGTAGAGACAGGATTTCACCATGTTGGCCAGGCTGGTCTTGAACTTCTGATTCTGAGCTCAAGTGATCTGCCTGCCTGGGCCTCCCAAAGTGCTGGGATTACAGGTGTGAGCCACTGTGCCCGACCTATTTTTTAAATGTCTCAGGTATACTGATTTCATATTTATATTTGATAATTCCATTATCTGATGTTCTTGATGTCTTATTTTACTGCTTGCTTCTGCCTGCTCATTTGTTGTGGGTGGTGTCCTCCTGTGTTTTATAGTTTTAGACAGTGAGCCTGTTCACTAGGGCTTTATGAAATCTGCCAGACTGGTTTTAGGGAACAAGCCTCCAGAGGGTATTTTGCATTTGCTTCTGTCAGGTGCCACCAACACAGAAATTACTGAAGCAGACTTTTAGTTTACTATATCTTAGTATTGTCAGATGTTGATTTAGTGTTTACCTTATAGGCTGGCTTGTATTTAGAAATTCTCAGAATTATACACAATGTGGGTGTGGGGAAAAAAAAAAGGGAATTCTCAGGAGAAAACTTTTTTCCTTACCCCGAACCCAGACAGTGACAGATTTCTTCATTTCCATGCTGTTGGTCAGATTTTTTTTTTTTTAATTTCACTGTTCTTTGCTTATGCACCCTAATAACTGAGGTTGTAATCGTTCAAGTCAGTTTTAGGAAGATGAGTCTTGATCTAATTAATACTTTACACAGGCCCTAGGCTCCCATGTCTTCCCCATTCTTTGTTTACGCCCTTGTTTGTACATCCTAAAGAAGAGTCACTAAGAGTATAATTTCTGAGCCTTTGAATTTTTGAAGTTTTCTTTATTCTACTCCCTTCTTAAATGATAGCTTGGCTGGATATGAAATTCTGGGTTAAAACTTTTTTCCTCAGAACTTTTAAGGCATCTCTTCCAGTGTCTTAAATCAGTGTTGCTGATGCTACTCTGATTTTACTCCTTTGTACAACCCCAGTTGGGTTTCATTTGTTTATTTACCTCTTCTTGAGATCTTTTTATCTTTTTATGTCTTGGATCTCTTCATCTATTTATCAGTTGTTTTGAAATATAGTGATATGCTTCTATTTTTTTTTCTAAAAGTTTCTAAAAGTTCATTATGCTTTTTCATTTAGTCTTGTAATCTTCATTTATAGTAAGAGAACTTTACATTTTTTTCAGAAGGTCCTTCCCCACCTCCCACTCTTATTGAACTATTACTATTTGGATGTTGGCTCTCCTAGGTTCATATTCTCCGCTGTCTTTTTCTAGTTTCCTTCCCTTTGTTTTCTTGCTCCACTGACATTCTGAAAGATCTTCTTGTCCTTGTCTCTAACCCTTTTATCCAATTTATTAATTACATTGTACATTTCTTTTTTTTTTGAGATGGAGTCTCATTCTGTCACCCAGACTGGATGGCTCACTACAACCTCTGCCTCCCTGGGTCAAGCGATTCTTCTACCTCAGCCTGCTGAGGAGCTGGAACTACAGGCGCATGCCACCACACCTGGCTAATTTTTTTGTATTTTTAGTAGAGACGAGTTTCACCATGTTGGCCAGGCTGGTCTTGAACTCCTGACCTCAGGTGATCCACCTGCCTTGGCCTCCCAAAGTGCTGGGATTACAGGCGTGAGCCACCGCACCTGGCCTACATGGTACATTTCTAAGAGCTTCCTTGCTTAGGTTGTATTTTTATAAGATTCTGTTCTTTTTCTGTGGACTTAATATCTTCTTTCTCTGAGGATACAAATGTTTTTCTTCCCCAGGCAAAATATGTATTTTACTTTATTTTTCATTTGACTTTTTACTTTTGAAACATTTCAGGTATACTGATTCCTTATTTATATTTGGTAATTCCATTATATAACTTTTTTTTTTTTTTTTTTTTGAGACAGAGTCTCAGTCTGTCGCCCAGGCTGGAGTGCAGTGGTGCGATCTCAGCTCATTGCAACCTCCGCTCTTGGATTCAAGTGATTCTCCTGCCTCAGCCTCTGGAGTAGCTGGAATTATAGACGTGTACCACTGTGCCCAGCTATCATTATATAACATTTTTGACATCTTATTTTACTGTTTGCTTCTGCCTACTCTTGTTTATCTTCTATTCCCTTTATTATCTGTTTTACTTTTTTTTTTTTCTTTTGATCTTTGTGTTTCATAGGCTTCCTCGAGCAATAGATGATCCTTGGTTGTCTCCCCACTTGAATGAGGCAATACAGTTCTGATGGAAGATTCTGTGCTTCTGTGTGGGGCCTGTTAATTGTTGGGCATTGCTTTAGATCAGGGATTGGCAAACTGGCCCATGAACTAAATACAGTCAACTGTATGGTTTTGTATGACCTGTGAGCCAAGAATGATTTTTATATTTTAAATAGTTGGGAAAAAAGAATATTTTGTGACACATGAAAATTATTAGAGGCCAGGCAGGGTGGCTTACGCCTGTAATCCCAGCACTTTGGAAGGCCAAAGTGGACAGATCACCTGAGGTCAGGAGTTGGAGACAAGCCTCGCCAATGTGGTGAAACCTCATCTCTACTAAAAATACAAAAAAAAATTCGCTGGGTGTGGTGACAGGTGCCTGTAATCTCAGCTACTTGGGAGGCTGAGGCAGGAAAATCTCTTGAACCCGGGAGGCAGAGGTTACAGTGAGCCGAGATTGCGCTGTTGCACTCCAGCCTGGGCAATAAGAGCGAAAACTCCATCTCAAAGAAAAAAAAATTTTAAGTGTAAATTTGTGTTTAGAAATTTTTATTTGAACACAGCCACGCACATTCATTTATGTATTGTCTTTGACTACTTTCATGCTATAATGGGAAAATTGAGTAGTTGTGACAAATACTGTGTACTGCTTTTTGGTACATTACAAATTGCAGTGATGCAGCTATAACTTGATAGGGATGTGTATGGCTGTAGCACAACATTTAAAATTTAAAAAATTGTCCAAAATATTGCATACCTATCATTTCAAAGAAGAGTGAGTGGATTTTAAATGTCATGCTTTTACAGCAGAGTACATTTTGTTTTGAGTTAGATGGCAAAGCATGGTGTTTATTATGTACTTACACTATAGCTGTGCTGAAAGAGTACAGTGTTTTGTTGACAACTCCAGAGTAAGCACTGATTACATTATTCCCAACTCACAGGAAAGTAAAAATCAGAAATAAGAAAGTTTAAAATGGAATATCTGATCACAGCAGAATTTCTTAAAAATAAAAAATGAAAATGAGGCTCTTCAAACATGGGAAGTTTTTGAGTGGCTCATTCATTAGCCAAACAGGGATAGCTCTTCACCTGTGGTGAGTTAATTAAAATTTTCCCAATTAAATGAGAATTTTATTCTTCTCATTGGTAGACCTGTATTACAAAAAAAATTACTCAATTATTATATTTTGAATTTGTAGATAAAAATTGTGGAAATTTTTCTTTCATTATGTAAATACCTACATACTATCCTTGATACTTTTTTCCTAAACAACCTAAGTTATTTACTATGCCTTGTGATGCCACATCCCATGTTTTCATTTGATGGGACATGTTAGGTGTTGGTTATGAATCAGATTTCAGGCAGTGTTGTGTGTACAGCCTGACCTGTTGTCCACAATAGATTTGGAAGAATGAGAATTTACAGGGTTCTACTTCTAACATCACAAATGACTGCCAGAATGAATTCCACAAATGAATTTTGGACCAGTCTGGCCTGTCATCCATGTGTGGTTTATTAATAGAATGCTAAAATTCAAATTACACAACTCATTTCTTTTCCCATCACTGAGGGTTGGCTTAAATACTATCCCTCACAAAGTAAATACTTAAGCAAAAAGCTAATGTCAGTCAAAAGATCCCCATCAGTTTTTTGTCTGCCGTAGGGCAGATATGAGGGTAAGGTATTGAGAATCATTTCACTGTATTACTGTGCTTATGAATCTGAAGTATTGAAAGTAATAAGAGCACTGCATTTCAGCTGTCCTTCGTATATTACATTTTCTGCTTTGTGTTGAACATTACCTTCATTTGTTGTGAGGCATATAAAAGGGATGTATGTAATGAACCTTGGACCCACTGAATCTCGCTGGAGAGGTAAGAGATTATATTAAAGAACAGTATAATACATTTTATAATAAATTAGTAATAAATTTGATTTCAGTAAACCAGATATTTGTTGAAATATGGTTCAAAAGAATTAGTCATAGCTGAAATTTACTATTTCTGCTCTTAATGTTGGTTTGGAGGTGATTCCCTCTTTTTCATTTGTGTATTATATGATTTTAGTCCTTATGCTTTTGGCTGTAATCTAGGCTGCTCTTGACATCCATCCAATTTTCTCTTCTCTGTTTTCCTTCCTCAATTTATGTTGAATGCTTTCAAAGTAGATTATCTGAATTAATAATGGCAGGAAAGAACTAGCTGTGGATAAGTTTATTTGAATCTGTCTAGACTTCTGTTCCTTGTCTGTAAAATAACATATTTTGTTATGTTTTATCTTACGTTAAAGATAAAACTTTTTCGTGTTATCTTATTTGCCTATAAAAATCCTCTCAGAGGGAAGACTCATTCTATTTTGCGGAATGAAGTTTTGCCCAATTAAAAAGAATTATTTCAGGGTGATAATATTATCCTTGTTTCTTTTTTAAACAAATGAGGCCACCGAGGTAATGTGGTAAAATTATACCTAAATGTGGCCTTTCCATGTTAAGCTGATAGCACAAACTCAGATGCCTTCAGGAACTAGGAAAGTAACTAGTATAAGACATTGAGAGTAGTGAAACTTGCCTAGCCTTCTTGCATTTAAAAAATACTCTATTTTGGCAGGCATGGGGGCTCACACCTGTAATCCCAGCACTTTGGGCGGCCGAGATGAGCGAACCACTTGAGGTCAGGAGTTCAAGACCAGCCTGGCCAACATGGTGAAATCCCATCTCTACCTAAAAATACAAAAATTAGCCAGGTGTGGTGGCACATGCCTGTAATCCCAGCTACCCGGGAGGCTGAGTCACGATAATCGCTTGAACCTGGGAGGTGGAGGTTGCAGTGAGCCGAGATGGTGCCATTGCACTCCAGCCTGGGCAAGAGAGTGAGACTGCCTAACAATAACAACAACAACAACAACTACTCTATTCTGGCCAAATAATACCAGTTAGGCTGCCAATTTTCTGTTTTTGTCCTGACTTGGTAGAATCTGATTAGTCATTTTTAAGGTGGATGTAATTAATTTATAGTTAGTTTGATTTCATAATTTTTAAAAGTTTATTTAAGTACTTAAGTAAACTAGCATTATAGTTTAATTTGCAGATCTGTGAGAACCGGTAAAGTCCAACATCTTTTAGTACGGCTGTTGGCCTTTGAATATCATTTTTTGTAGTTGCCTGTTCGGGTTGTGCTTACCTTTTCCCCTGTGGTTTGTCTACCTTTTTTCCCAGTGCTTTTGTAGGATTCTTTATATATTCCAATCATGACTCTTTTGTCAGGTATATATCCTATTTTATGGCTTGCCTAGCAGTTGTGTTTTAAAATGTTAAATTTATTTTAGCTTTTGAGTAAACAGTACTTTCCCACTGGTTGAAAAGTTAAATAAGTATACGAAGCTGGATATTGAGAAGCCTCCCTCCCACTCCTTATCCTCATCCAGTTCCTGTCTCCCCCAACACATAACCTGTGTTAATACTTTATCTGTCCTTCCAGTATATCCAAGTGATACTGGACAATGGTGCCAGATCCATTCAGTGGCAGAAATATTGGTATCTTCAAAAAATGACATTGGGCCAGGCATGGTGGTTCATACCTGTAATCCCAGCACTTTGGGAGCCTGAGGCAGGAGGATCACTTGAGCCTGAAGTTCAAGACTCGCTTGGGCAACATAGTGAGGCCCTGTCTCTAAATAAAATTAAAAAAAAAAATGGCGGGGTGCAGTGGCTCACACTTATAATCCCAACACTTTGGGAGGCCAAGGTGGGCAGATCACGAGGTCAGGAGATCGAGACCATCCTGGCCAACCTGGTGAAACCCCATCTCTACTAAAAATAGAAAAATGAGCTGGGCGTGGTGGTGCATGCTTGTAATCCCGCTACTTGGGAGGCTGAGGCAGGAGAATCGCTTGAATCAGGAGGCGGAGGTTGCAGTGAGCCGAGATCGTGCCACTGCACTCCAGCCTGGCAACAGAGCGAGACTCCATCTCAAAAAAGAAAAGCCAGATGTGGTTCACGTCTGTGGTCCCTGGTAGGTACTTGGGAGGTTGAGGCAGGATTGTTTGAACCTGGGGAGGTTGAGGCTGCATTGACCTGTGATTGTGTCACTGCACTGCAGTGCACTGACAGAGCAAGACCGTGTCTCAAAACAAAAAAAGGATGTTGGTACAACTGGATTTTCACATGCAAAGGAATGAAGTCATACCCCTACTTCACACCATATGCAAAAGTTAACTCAAAATATATCAACAGGCTGGGCATGGTGGCTTACGCATGTAATCATAGCACTTTGGTAGGCTGAGGTGGGAGCATTGCTTGGGGCCAGGATTTTGAGATCAGCTTGGGCAACATAGTGAGATCCTGTCTCTACAAAAACAAAACAAAGACAAGTAACAACCTAAATAAAGCATGAGCAACTAAAGAAAAAATAGTAAGTCGGACTTGATCAAAATGTAAAACTTTTGTACATTGAAGGCCATTATTCAGAAAGTGAAAAGAAAACCTGCAGAATGGGAGAAAGTATTTGTAAGTCATGTATTGGATGATAGTGAAATATATAAAGAACTCTCACAGCCTGATAATAAAGACAACCCAATTAAAAATGGGCAAAAGATCTGAATAGACAGTTCCCCAAAGAAGATATGTATATATGGCCAATAAGCAAATGAAATGATACACTAGATCGTTTGTTATTAAGAGAAATGTAAACAAAACCACAAGGAGATACCACTTCACACCTGCTAGGGTGGCTCTAGTTAAAAAACAACAAAGTGTTGGCAAGGATGTGGAGAAATTAGAGTCCTATATTGCTGGTGGAATGTAAAATGGTGCTGCCACTGTGGGAAACAGTTTGGTGGTTCCTCAGAAAGTTAAACATAAAATTAGCATGTGACCTAGCAAATCCATTCTTACATATCTGTGACCCAAAAGAATTGAACACTGGGACTCAAACAGATACTTGCCAGTATTAATTGCAGCATTATTCACAGTAGCCAAAAGGTGGAAATAATGTTAAGTGTTCAACAGATGAATTGATAAAATGTATATACATGTAATGGGATATTATTTGGTCCTGAAAAGGAATGAATTTCCGATACATGCTGCAATATGAGTAAACCTTGCAAACATAAGTGAAATAAGACAGACATAAGAGGGCAAATATAAGATTATACTTACATGAAATGTCCAGAATAGGCACATTCATAGAGACAGAAAGTAGACTAGAGGTTACCAAGGGCTTGCAGGGAGAATAGGGAGGGAATAGAGAGTTGTTTAGGATGGGAGTGGGGGAGGAATGGGCGATTGTTGCTTAATGGATATAGTTTCTGTTTGGGATGATAAAAGGTTTTGAAAATTATGGTGATGGTTGGATGGTTGCACAACATGTTGAATGTAGTTAATGCCATATAACATACCTGATAGTTGTATACTTGTATACATAATATACATACATAATAGTTCAAATGGCAAATTTTATGTTATATGTATATACCACAATAAAAATGTTAAAATATGTTAAAAATGTTTTTCCTTCTAGAAATTTTAAAATCATGTGTTTTAAAGTACGTTTTATTGTATGTTAAAAATTGATTCTCATTCATGGATTCTGTGTTTTAGAATTCACCTACATGCTAAAATTTATTTGTAACCCCAGTATTAATAATAGCAGTGCCTTCACAGTCATCCCTACACATGGGCAGAGCAGCAAAAAATTTGACTCGCCCAATTCACATATTCCCAGCTGAGGTGAAACTGGGAGATGCTTTGCCTTCTTTCAGCACTCATAGCATAAATATGTGTCCTTGTTGTGGCCATGTTCTCATTGTGCTTTTTGTTGACTTCACTGCTTCAAATGGCCCTAAATGTAATAAAGCTGAAGTGCCCCGTAGTGTTGCTAAGTGCATGAAGGATGTTTGTGCTTTATGGAGAAAACACGTGTAAGGTAAGCTTCATTCATGTATGAGTTACAGTGTTTTGGCTTTGAATTCAGTGTTAATGAACCAGCGATATATTTTATTTATTTATTTATTTTGAGACAGGGTCTTGCTCTATCACCCAGGCTGGAATGCAGTGGCCCAGTTACGGCTTACTGCAACCTTTGCCTCCTGGTCTCAAGTGATCCTTTCACCTCAGCCTCCTGAGTAGCTGAGACTACAGGCCCATGCTACCACACCCAGCTAATTTTTTACATTTTTTGTAAAGACTGGGTTTCACCATGTTGCCCAGGCTGGTCTTGAACTCTGGACTCAAGCTTTATCTACCTACTTTAGCCTCCCAAAGTGCTGGGATTATAGACTTGAGCCACTGCATCCAGCCCTCAGCAATATGTTTTAAAGTGACTTTAAATATAAATGCATATAAAAATGTTATGTATTGACTGGTTGATGAAAATTTTGTGACCGGAGGCTTGCAGGAACCTAATCCTGCATTTCCTCTAGGAGCAATAGTTTAGTTAATTTGTTAATTTATTGTTTGCAGCAACTGTATAGAATATAACTACTATAAATGATGAGAATCGACCCTAGGTCAATGCAAATAAAATTATTTCTTTTATATAAATGGCAACACCTCAAGATCTTTCTCTGAAAAGTACATAGTTTCCTTTGATTTTTGTTCTGAAGTCTATTTGATCTTATATTAATATAGCCACTCATTAAAACTTAATTCACAAACGATATGTTAATCACACATTTGAAGTGTATGGTTCAGTAGTTTTTAGTATATTCTGAGTTGTGTAACCATCACCATAATCAATTTTAGAGCATTTTTATTACTCCCAAAAGAAACCCTCTACCAATTAGCAGTTATTACTCACTTACCCCCAAACCATTCCCCCCAGACTTAGGCAGCCATTAATCTACTTTATTGTCTCTATAGATTTGCCTATTCTGGACATTTCTTACAAATCGAAATATACGATGTGTGGTCTTATGTGGCTGACCTTCGCCTTCATCTGTGCTGTAGCATGTATCAGTGCTTCATTCTTTTTTTAAATACTTTTTAAAAAAACTAGTCAAGTGCAGTAGTGATATGAGGAGAGAGTAGAGCAAAGACTTAGATCTGTAACTGACTGAACAATCTGTTGAGATAACTCACTACCTTCAAGTCAGCCAGTACTTCACTATTTTTAGGCCTGAATAATATACTCTTTTATGGCTATACCACATTTTGTTTAACCATTCATTAGTAAATGGACACTTGAATTGTTTCTCTTTTTTGGCTATTATGAACAGTGCTGCTATGAACATTTGTGGATAAGTTTTTATGTGAACATATGTTTTCATTTCTCTTGGGTGTATACTTGAGAGTGCAATTGCTGGGTTGTGTGGTAACTTATATTTAATCTTTTGAGGATCTGCCAACTGTTATCTGAAGTGGCTTTAGCATTTTTCTTTACCATCAGCAATATGTATGAGGGTTCCAGTTTCTCTATAATGTTGCCAACAATTGTTATCTTTTTTATTGTAGCTATCCTGGTGGGTGTGACATAGTATTTCATTGTGGTTTTGATTTGCATTTCTTTTGTGGCTAATGACGTTGAGCATTTTCTTTTGCACTTATTGACCATTAGTATATCTTCTCTGATGAAATGTCTGTTCAGACTTTTGTCCATTATTTAATTAGGTTATTTGACATTTTAAAGTTGTCAGTTCTTTATGATAGTCTGGATGTTCTACCCTTTTTCTTAATTTTTTTTTTCTTGTCTTTCTTTTTTCTTTCCTTTCCTTTTCTTTTTTTTTTTTTTTTTTTTGAGACGGAGTCTCGCTCTGTTGCCCAGGCTGGTCTTGAACTTCTGGGCCCTAACAATCTTCCTGCCTCGGCCTCCTAAAGTGCTGGGATTACAGGTGTGAGCCACCATGGCCAGCCCTGACGTGCTGCACCCTTATATCTGATTTAGCGCTATCTTCTATTTGTGGGTTGTCTTTTACTTTCTGTCTGGGATTATTTGCAGCACAAAAGTTTTTTGTGTGTGGAAAAATAACATGTAACAAAATTTAACCATTTTACCCACTGTTAAGTGTGTTCATTGGCTTTAGTTATATTCACAGTGTTGGCAGCACATGTTTTTTTTATTTATTTATTTATTTTTTGAGACAGGGTCTTGCTCTGTTCCCCAGGCTGGAGTGCAGTGGTGCAATCACAGCTCACTGCAGCCTCAACCTTGTGGGCTCAGGTAATCCTCCCACCCCAGCCTCCCAAGTAGCTGGGACTACAGGTGCACCACTGCACCCAGCTAATGTTTTTATTTTTTTTTGTAGAGACAGGATTTTGCTGTGTTGCCCAGGCTGGTCTCAAACTCCTGGGTCCAAGCGATCCTCTTGCTTCAGCCCCGTAAAGTGCTTGGATTAGAGGTGTGAGCCACTGCACTTGGCCACAAAAGTTTTTAAGTTTGATGAGGTCCAATTTATATTTTGTGCTTTTGTTTTTCGCACCATATCTGAAAAATCATTTCGTAATCCAAGGTCATGAAGATGTATTCTTATGTTTTCTTTTAAGAGCTTTACAGTTTTAGGTTTTAGATTCAGATTCTCTGATAAAGTTGAGTTAATTTTTGTATGTGAAATTTGTTTGTGAGGTAAAGATCTAGTTTCATTCTTTTGCACAAGGATATCCATTGTCCCTGTATCATTTAGTGAAAAGACTACTCTGTCCTCCATTTAATTGTCTTAGCAACCTGTCTAAAATTAGTTGACTGGGTAAATGTGAGGGTGTTTTCCTGGACTTAATTTCATTCCATTGATCTGTATGTCTGTCTTTATGCCAATAACAAAATTAAACAACAACAAAAACAGGGTCTCACTCTGTCACCCAGGCTGTAGTGCAGTGGTGCACTCAGGGCTTACTGCAGCTTCCACCTCCTGGGCTCAGGTGATCCTCCCACCTCACCTTCCCCAGCTGAGACTACAGATGCGTGTCTCACACCACTACAGATGTGTGGCTACACCACACCCAGCAATTTTTTTATTTTTTGTAGAGATGGGTTCTTGCTATGTTGCTGGGGTGGGTTGTTCTTTTTCAAGATCGTTTTGGTTCTTCTGGATCCCTTGAATTTTTTTTGGTTTTTGTTTTTTAAAGGACAGATCTTGCTCTGTTGCCCAGGTTGGAGTGCAGTGATGCGATCATAGCTCACTGCAGTCTTGACCTCCTGGGCTGAAGCAGTTCTTTCACCTCAGACTCCTAGTAGCTGGGACTGCAGCCGCATGCCACCACGCCTGGCTAATTTTTTAATTTTTTGTAGAGATGGGGTCTTGTATTGTTGCCCAGGCTGGTCTTGAACTTCTGGGCTGAAGCGGTCCTCCCGCCTCAGCCTCTCAAAGTGCTAGGATTACAGGTGTGAGCCACTGTGCCTGGCCTCCATCTTCTTTTAATGTACTTACATTATTGTGTTTGAAGCTTCTTGTATTAATAGATAGCATTACTGTTAGATTATGGTTTAAGTTTATTCACTCTTCTGGTCTTTATTTAGTTCATGTGTTTAGGAGTATTTAAGGTATGTAGGTATATTTAAGGTAATTATTGATGTGTTATGGCTTAAATATGTTATTGTTTTCTGTTTGTTTCCTTTGTTTCTCTTGACTTCGTTTGAGTTACCTAAAGTTCTTTTTAAGATTCCGTCTTTATTTATGGTGGTTTTGTGTAGTTTATAGTTTTTGGAGTGCTTTGAATAGCGTCTTAGATATCGCAACGTTTATTTGTAACTTAAAGTCTTTGTATTGACATTTTACCATTTGGAGTGAAGTATAGACGTTTTACTTCTAGTTAGGTCCCTTTACTCTTCCTAGTTTTAAAATGATTATCTTTAATTTTCTGTCTATATAGATGACCAGATAATATATGATCTTTTTTATAAGCTCTCACATGATTTAAGAAATCCATGAGAAGAAATCTATTATATTTACTCTCATTTTTTTTTTTTTTTTTTTTTTTTTTTGAGACGGAGTCTCGCTCTGTCGCCCAGGCCGGACTGCGGACTGCAGTGGCGCAATCTCGGCTCATTGCAAGCTCCGCTTCCCGGGTTCACGCCATTCTCCTGCCTCAGCCTCCCGAGTAGCTGGGACTACAGGCGCCCGCCACCGCGCCCGGCTAATTTTTTGTATTTTTAGTAGAGACGGGGTTTCACCTTGTTAGCCAGGATGGTCTCGATCTCCTGACCTCATGATCCACCCGCCTCGGCCTCCCAAAGTGCTGGGATTACAGGCGTGAGCCACCGCGCCCGGCCTATTTACTCTCATTTTTATCATTCCAGTGTTCTTTTCCAAAGATTCAAGGTTCCTTCTGTTAACATTTTTTTTTTCTGTTACGGCAAGTTTTCTTTAACCATACATGCTTTTAGGGGTATTAGTGACAAATTTTTATATATTTTTTCATCTGAGAATATCTTTAGTTGTCCTTCATTCCTGAAGGGTATTTGTTGAATATAGAATTTGCATTTCTGAGTTACTTTCTTTCAGCCTTTGAATGATGTTGAGCCAGGTTGTTTTTTTTTTTTTTTTTTGGCCTGCATGGTTTTACATGAGAGATCCACTGTCATTTGAATAGATGTTCCTCTGCAAGTAAAGTGGTCATTGTCTGCTTTCAAGATTTTTTTCTTTATCTTTCAGAACTTTTATGATGTATCTTGGTGTGGATTTATTTGGGTTTTTCTTATTTGGCATTAACTCAGTTTTTTTATATGTAGGTTTATGTATTTTGTCAAATTTGGGACATTTTCAGTCATTATTTGTTCAAGTAATTTTTTTTTTTTTTTTGAGACAGAGTCTTGCTCTGTTGCCCAGGCTGGTGTGCAATGGCGTGATCTTGGCTCACTGCAGTCTCCATTTCCTGGGTTCAAGTGATTCGCCTGCTTCAGCCTCCCAAGTAACTGGTACTACAAGCGTACGCCACCATACCTGGCTAATTTTTGTATTTTTAGTAGAGATAGGGTTTCACTATTTTGGCCAGGCTGGTCTTAAACTCCTGACCTCAAGTGATCCACCTGCCTTGGCCTCCCAAAGTGCTGGGTTACAGGTGTGAGCCACTGCACCCGGCCTGTTCAAGTAATTTTTAAATTTTATGTACTCCTCTCCTTCTGGAACTCTGCAGCTCTGGTGACAGCAATGCTAGCTAGCTAGTTTTTTATTGTTCCACAGGTTCTTGAGACTGTGTTCTGTTTTTCTTTTCTTTTCTTTTGGTCTCTTGATTTTGCCTGAAGGTCAGTTATTCTGTTGCCTGTTATCTTCTCTTGTCTATTGAGCCCATTTATTGAGTTTTAAATTTTTGGTTTTTGGGTTTTTTTTTTTTTTTTTTTTGAGATAGGGTCCCACTGTGTTGCCCAGGCTGGAGTGCAGTGGTGTGATCTTGGTGCCACGACACCGGCTAATTTTTGTATATTTTTTGTTAGAAACGGAGTTTCTCCATGTTGGTCAGGCTGGTCTTGACCTCCTGACCTCAAGTTATCTGCCCGTCTCCATTTCCAAAGTGTATTTTTTAATCCTATAATTTCCATTGGTCTTTTTTTTCTATAACTTTCATTTCTTTTCTATTTTCCATTTGTTTTAAGGACATTCGTATTGCCGTTTTAAGATGAGGTCTTACTCTGTCGCCCAGGCTGGGGTTCAGTGTTGCGATCTCAGCTCATTGCAACCTCTTCCTCCCGGGTTCAAGCAATTCTCCTGCCTCAGCCTACCAAATAGCTGGGACTACAGGTGTGTGCCACCATGCCTGGCTAGTTTTTGTATTTTTAGTAGAGATGGGGGTTTCACCGTGTTGGCCAGGCTGGTCTCGAACTTCTGACCTCAAGTGATCTGCCTGCCTCAGCTTCCTAAAGTGCTGGGATTACAGGTGTGAGCCACTGTGCCTGGCTTATATTGCTTTTTGAAGCATTTTCATAATGGTTCCCTTAAAGACTTTGTCAGATGTTTCTAATATGTGATATCTGATCATCTTGGTTTGGGCATGTACTGATTGTCTTTTGTCAGTTATGATTTTCCTGGTGTTTGACAAATAATTTTTTGAGTATATTGCAAATATTTTGGATATCACATTCTGAGACTTGCGATTCTATTTAATCTTCATTTTTTTCCAGCAGTCTTTCTACTGAGGTATAACATAAAGGCCAGGTAGGGTGTATGTTCACCTTCCCCTTGGGCCTCCTGACACCACCCTGGCAAAAGTGGAGTGCTGACTTTCTCTGCCATGTTGCAGATAGGTGAGATGAAAGTTCAATTTCTCCCTTGGTCCTTCCTGATGAAGTGGGGTACCAACTCATACCACCTTGTCACCTCTGATTTAGGGTTTAAGTTCAGTTCCACTGAGCCCTTGTGATACCAGGGAGGGAGGAAATGTAGGGCTAACTCATTCCACTGGATTGCTACATAATAGGGGTGGAGTCTCAGCTTTCCACTTGGATTTTATCATACCAGGCAAAGGGATAAGAAGTGATGATTTGCCTGGTCTCTTACCCCCTTATTCCTTATTATTGCCAGGTGGGAGTAGAAGTTCAGCTTCCTGCTATTCCCTACTGATATTGAGGAGTAGGAGATTTTTTTTTTCAGTATTTTTAGTTTTAAAAAAAAAATGGGGGCTTCAATTAAAGTCGCCTTTATTTAAGATCCCAGCAGTGGAAATACTGAGTTCTTTTGGTCCTAACATTTTACAGATTATAGTCGTGAGATTATGGAATCATGACTCACTAAATTCATGCTTTTAATTCCTATTCTCTGCAAGGCAGTGTTAGATTATCTCTGCTCTTGGGAGTTTGGAGTTTTGGAGACTTTAATAAACACGTACTTTTTTTTTTTTTAAAAGACAGAGTCTCACTCTGTCTCCCAGGCGGGAGTGCAGTGGTGTGATCTCGGCTCACTGCAACCTCCGCCTCCCAGGTTCAAGTGATTTTCGTGTCTCAGCCTCCCGAGTAGGTGGGATTACAGGCATGTGCCACCACGCCTGGCTATTTTTTTGTGCATTTTTGTATTTCTTATTTTTATTTTTGGAGGTGTAGTCTCACTCTGTCATCCAGGCTGGAGTGCAGTGGTGCGATGTGGGCTCACTGCAACCTCCACCTCCTGGGATCAAGCAATTGTCCTGCCTCAGCCTCCTGAGTAACTGGGACTACTGGTGCACACTGCCATGCCTGGCTAATTTTTCTTTATTTTTAGTAGAGACAGGGTTTCACTGTGTTGCCCAGGCTGGTTTCGAACTCCTGAGCTCAGGCAATCTGTCTGCCTCGGCCTCCCAAAGTGCTAGGATTACAGGAGTGAGCTACCATGCCCAGCCTAATTTTTGTATTTTTAATAGAGATGGGGTTTCACCATGTTGACCAGGCTGGTCTCGAACTCCTGACCTCAGGTGATCCACCCGCCTCAGCCTCCCAAAGTACTGGGATTACAGGTGTGAGCCACCATGCCCAGCCTAAACACACATTTTTAAAGATGAAAAGGATGACCAGTATAATTCTTGCAAATGAAACAATTTGCAGGTCAGAGTCTTGATGGTTAGTTAGCCAAGTTTTTTTTATTTTTTTACCAGTTCAATTAAAAAATTATTTAGAAAAAGTAAAACGTGGGCATGGTTAGAGTTTCAAACAGTATAAAAGAATATAAAATAACTCATTTAAGTCTGTAAGTTTCCAAAGTATGAAATGCTGACTATCTCATCTTTATTATAAAATTTGAAACAACACACTAACAAGCTCTTAAGAGCTCCTTGAATTTTGTCTGGCAGACCATTATTTCAAAATAAAACATCTTTTTGCAAACTCAGTTATGTACATTTTTATTTAGCACAACTGCCTGCTTAACATCTTTTCTTGAGTGACCCAGATGTGTCTCAAATTTACTGTCTCTAAACTTGAACTAATTGTAGTTTCCAAACCTCCACTTACAAACTGTAACAGTCATCTCATTGTTCCGGTTTCCTAAACCAGAAATTTGGGCATCGTTTTCATCTCCTCTTCTAATACTCCTCTACTCCTCAGTCTGTAGTTTTCTAGTAATATTTTATCTGTGATGTCTTTGTCTTATGTCTTTGGTAACAGGGTGATATTGGCCTCTTGAAATATGTTTTTTCTTCTCTATTTTCTAAAGAGTTTGTTTGAGGTTTGTATTATTTCTTCCTTGAGAGAATTCACCATTAAAACCAACTGGGGCCGGGCACGGTGGCTCACACTGTAATCCCAGCACTTTGGGAGGCTGAGGCGGGTGGATTGCCTGAGCTCAGGAGTTTGAAACCAGCCTGGGCAACATGGCGAAACCCCGTCTCTACTAAAAATACAAAAAATTAGCTGAGCGTGGTGGTGGGTGCCTGTAGTTGCAGCTACTCGGGAGGCTGAGGCAGGAGAATCACTTGAACCCAGGAGGCAGAGGTTGCAGTGAGATCATGCCACTGCACTCCAGCCTGGGCCACAGACAGAGACTCCATCTCAAAAAGAAAAAAAAAAAACCCAACTGGGTCTGGACTTTCCTTTTTGTAGATTTTAAATTACTGATCTAGTATTCAGATTGAGTTTTTCTATGTCTTCTTGAGTCAGTTTGGTAAAAATTTTTTTTTTCAAGACAGGGTCTTGCTTTGTAGCCCAGGCTGGGGTGCAGTGGTGTGATCGCAGCTCTCTGCAGCCTTCATCTCATAGGCTCAAGCAGTCCTCTTGCCTCAGCTTCCTGAGTAGCTGGGACTACAAGTGTGCACCATCGCACCTAGCTAATTAAAAAATTATTTTTGTAGAGACAGGGTCCCACTGTGTTACCCAGGCTGGTCTCGAACACCTGGTCTCAAGTGATCCTCCCATCTCAGCCTCCCAAAGTGCTGGGATTACCTAGCTGGTAATTTGTATTTTTAAAGAATTTGACCCATTTTGTTTTAGTGGTCTAACTTGGCATAAGAGGTTCATAGTTCTATTAGTCCATTCTGACACTGCTATAAAGACATACCTGAGACTAGGTAATTTACAAACAAAAGAGGTTTCTCTGGTTCTTCCTGCTGTGCAGGCTTCTGCTTCTGGGGAGGCCTTAAGAAACAATCATGGCAGAAAGTGAAAGGGAAGTTAAGCACATCTTCATACGGCTGACAGGAGGAAGAGAGAGTGAAGGGGGAAGTGCTGCAGACTTTCAAACAACCAGATCTCATGAGAACTCAGTTACTATAATGAGAACAGCAAAGGGGAAATCTGCCCCCGTGATCCAATCACCTCCCACCGGGGCCCTCCTCCAACATTGGAGATTACAATTCAACATGAGATTTGGGTGGGGACACAAATCCAAACCATATCAGTAACATTTTGGCAGGATCTCTTGTTAAGTCTTATATTTCATTTTTGGTTTTGGCACAATGTGCTCTCTTTTCTTTTTAGATCAATACCAATCTGTCTTCTCTATCTCCCCCCATCTCCCTCCCTGCACTCATTTTCCCATCTAGGTAATTGTTTATCAGTTGTTTTCAAAGAACCAGCTTTGAGTTTCGTTCCCCTTTCTTCCCTATTCATAGCTACTCTGATCTTTATTTCGTCCTATGTAATGTTTTCATTTGGTCTTCTTTTTCGAGCTTAATGAGGGGCATGTTGAGATGATTGCTTTTAGATGTTTTTTTCCTTTCTAATATATGTCTTTGAAGCTATACATTTCTCTCTAAGTTCATGGTGTTAAATGTGGTACCTAATGGCCATATGTGACAAAATTAAGCGTAAATGAAATTGATGATTTACTTCCTTAGTCACTGTTGTCACATTTCAGGTATTCAGTAATCATGTGTGGCTGATGGCTGCCATATTAGACAGTGCAGATATAGAACATTTTGTCATGGCAGAAAGTTTTGTTGGACTAATGGCCTGTAATCCCAGCTCTTTGGGAGGCCGAGGTGGGCAGATCACCTGAAGTCAGGAGTTCAAGACCAGCCGCGCCAACATGGTGAAACCCCATCTCTACTAAAAATACAAAAATATTAGCTGGGCATGGTGGCGCACATCTGTAACCTCAGCTACTAGGGGGCTGAGGCAGGAGAATCACTTGAACTGGGTAGGCGGAGGTTGCAGTGAGGTGCGATCACGCCACTGCCCTCCAGCCTGGGCGATAGAGTGAGACTCCATCTCAAAAGAAAAAATAAATGTTTAAGCACTCTTTCAGCTGTATCCCATGGGGAGGAAAAAACCAATATAAAAAAATATATATATACACACATATATATATATATACACACATATATATACACACACACACACACACACACATATATATATAGTTTTTTTTCTTTTTTTTTGTTTTTCTTGGGTTTTTTTTCGGACAGTGTCTCACTCTGTTGCCCAGGCTGGAGTGCAGTGGCGCAATCTCAGCTCACTGCAACCTCTGCCACCCAGATTCAGGCGATTCTCCTGGCTCAGCCTCCTGAGTAGCTGGGATTATAGGCGTGTGCCACCGCACCCAACTAATTTTTATAGTTTTAGTAGAGATGGGGTTTCACCATCTTGGCCAGGCTGGTCTTGAACCCCTGACCTCGTGATCCACCACCTTGGCTTCCCAAAGTGCTAGGATTACAGGCGTGAGCCACCACATCTGGCCTATGGTTTTAATTTTGTGTTTGGTTCATTTACATTTATAATTGTTACATGTATCTGATGTATTGATTCTTTAACATATAAAATGCTTCATTTTACTTAGTAATATGCTTTGAGAATCTTTTTTTCTTCTTTCTTTTTTGGAGACAGAGTCTTACTCTGTTGCCCAGGCTGCAGTGCAGTGGCGTGATCTTGGCTCATTGCAACCTCCGTCTCCTGGGGTTCAAGCTATTCTCCTGTCTCAGCCTCCCGAGTAGCTGGGATTACAGGCATGCGCCACCACACCTGGCTAATTTTTGTATTTTTAGTAGAGACAGGGTTTCACCATGTTGGCCAGACTGGTCTCAAACTCCGGACTCCAAGAATCTTTTTTTTTCTGATGTTAGTGTGACTACTCCAGCTGTCTTATGGCAACAGCTTTCATGATTTTATCTTCTCCTCTCCTTTTACTTTATCCCTATTTATTCATGATTTTATCTTCTCCTCTCCTTTTACTTTATCCCTATTTATGTATTTGAATCTAAAAATGTTTCTTTCAGAGGATATATAGTTGGATTTTACTTTTTATCCAGTTTGACAATCTCTTCTTTTCATTGGAGTGTTTACTCAGTGATATAGTTGGATTTAGGTATGCCATTTTGCTAGTTGTTTTCCGTGTGTCATTTTTGTTCTTTTCCTTCTTTACTGAGACTTCTATGTTTACCAATATTTTTAGTGTACCTTAAAATTTTCTTTTAGTTTTTGTTTTAGTTTTAACTCTTGCAATTATGATATCTCTCTTTTTTTTTTTTTTTAAGGCGGGGCAGGGCCTTTTCACTTCTTTTTTTTTTTTTTTTTTTAAATTGATCATTCTTGGGTGTTTCTCGCAGAGGGGGATTTGGCAGGGTCATAGGACAATAGTGGAGGAAGGTCAGCAGATAAACAAGTGAACAAAGGTCTCTGGTTTTCCTAGGCAGAGGACCCTGCGGCCTTCCGAAGTGTTTGTGTCCCTGGGTACTTGAGATCAGGGAGTGGTGATGACTCTTAAGGAGCATACTGCCTTCAAGCATCTGTTTAACAAAGCACATCTTGCACCGCCCTTAATCCATTTAACCCTGAGTGGACACAGCACATGTTTCAGAGAGCACAGGGTTGGGGGCAAGGTCATAGATCAACAGCATCCCAAGGCAGAAGAATCTTTCTTAGTACAGAACAAAAATGGAGTCTCCTATGTCTACTTCTTTCTACACAGACACAGCAACGATCTGATTTCTCTATCTTTCCCCACATTTCCCCCTTTTCTATTCCACAAAACCGCCATCATCATCATGGCCTGTTCTCAATGAGCTGTTGGGTACACCTCCCAGACGGGGTGGCGGCCGGGCAGAGGGGCTCCTCACTTCCCAGCAGGGGCGGCCGGGCAGAGGCGCCCCCACCTTCCGGATGGGGCGGCGGCCGGGTGGAGGCGCCCCCTTCCTCCCTCCCGGACGGGGCAGCTGGCCGGGCGGGGGCTGCCCCCCACCTCCCTGCTGGATGGGGCGGCTAATTATGATATATCTTTAACACCACAATTCACTTCAGGACAATACTACCTTCATTTTGTTAAAATATAGCAACTTTGTTCCACTGTAGCTCCATTTCTATCTTTTGTATTGTTATAGTCATGATTGTTACATTTATATAGTCTGGTTTTATTTCCTGTCATCCTGACAGACTTCCTTTAGATTTTTTGTGGTACAAATATGCTAAGTGTGACTTTCTCTCAAATTTTGTTTACCTGTGGCTGTTTTTATTTTGCCTTCATTTTTGAAGGATATTTTTGTTGCATATACAATTCTTGGTTTATAATTTGTAGTTTGAATATGTCATTTTATTGCTTCCTGGCCTCCATATTTTTAATGAAAAGTCAGATGTTGATGGATTGGTTTCCTTGATGAATTATTTTTCTCCTGGTTTTCAGCAGTTTGACTGTGATGTGTTTGGTTTGATTCATTTCGTGTTTATTTTGTTTGTGGTTCTCTCCCCTTTTTGAATCTGCAGATTAATGTGTTTCATCAGGTTTTGACATTTTCCACCATTATTTCTTCAAACATTTTTTCTATTTCTTTGCTCTTATGTCCTGTGACTTTTATTACATTTATGTTGGGAGCTTGACATTGTTCTACTGGTTTCTGAGGATCTGTTCTTTTCTCGTCAGTCTTTTTTCCTCTCTGATTTTTTTGATTGGATTGAAATTAAATTTTAATTTATCCATCTACAAGTTCACTCAGATCTTTTTTTGTTTTTTGAGATAGAGTTTCACTCTTGTTGCCCAGGCTGGAGTGCAATGGTGCAACCTTGGCTCACTGCAAACCTCTGCCTCCTGGGTTTCAGCAATTCTCCTGCCTCAGCCTCTGGAGTAGCTGGAATTACAGGTGCCCACAACCACGCCTGGCTAATTTTTTGTGTTTTTAGTAGAGGCAGAGTTTCACATGTTGGCCAGGCTGGTCTCGAACTCCTGACCTCAGGCGATCCACCTACCTTGGCCTCCCAAAGTGCTGGGATTACAGGAGTGAGCCACCACGCCTGGCCTGAAGTGTATTATTGAAGCCCAGATATGTAGTGAATTTTTTATTTTGCATGTACTTTTAATCTGTGTGGCTTCTTTTTATAGTTCGCTCTTAAGACTTCTTATTTGTTGAGGCTTTGCCATATTATTTTATTATTTGAACACTGGTTCCTTTTTATTCTTTTAAAATATTTATAATAGTTGCTTTGAAATCTTTGTTTTTATTCTCACTTGGCCTTTAGTTTTTTCAGGGCTTTCTTGTGTCTCCCTTTGGTATGTGCAGTGTCCCAATTAGCCATGTCTGTATAGAGAGTTGATCTTAGCCCTTCCGTGACTCTCTCATTTCAAGTTTCTTTGTATTAATGTGGTTGATCTGCTGCTTGCTGTGTGACCCCCAACCCAGGTATAGCAAAACCTGTTCTTTCCAGACAGATACTAATTTATACCTGGCAAATCTCATGTTTTCGCATTCACCTCTCTCCCCAATTGATTCTACCGTGTGTGACAGCAAAGCTGCTGTTTTTATGGTCAGCCCCATTCTAGTAAAACTACTGATTTTTCAGACCAGACTTTAGGACTAAATGGGGACCATGGGAGCATCCTCAAGCAAGAGGGCCAGTGCCTTTCATTGCTTTTACCTGAAACTTTAGCAGTCTTTGTAGAATAAGTGTGTCTCATTTTGCATGACAGTAGTTGATTCCCTGTGGTCTGAATTCGTTGTTTGCTTTTTTTCTTTGTGACAGTTTTGTACAGTTTTATACTTTGTCTTTGAAGAGAGGATTTGCTTTCCCTTGTGCCATTATTGAAAGTGGTCCAGCTGTTAATTTTTTTTGTACCTTCATTTTGTTGTAAACTTATCTTTTAAATTTTAGTAGTCTTAAAAAATAAGTGACATCTCAGGTATCCTGTGTTTTCTAGAACTGCAGTGTCCTGTACCATAGCAACTAGTCACTGGTGGTGATTTAATTTTTAGTTATCTAAAATGAAATTTTAAAATTTAGTTTGTTGGTTCCACTAGCCATTTTGCAAGTGCTCAGTGGCCAGTGTTGTATTGAGTACTGCATTGAACAGTGCACATACAGCACGTATCCATTATTGCAGAAAATTCTGTTACACAGTGATGCTCTAAAATCTTTGAGATGAATAGTAACTTGTAATAATAGCTTACATTTTGTGAGCACTTAGTGTGTGTCACATTTTATATGTATAAACATGTAGTCTTCCCAACAACCTTTGAGGTAGGTACTGTTATCCCTGTTTTGCAAAGGGGAAACTAAGACTCAAAGATTAAGGAATTAACAGCTCTGAAGGGGTTGAGATTTAAATCTGTGTAGTCTGGCTCCAGAATCTGTTCCATTAATAATTTTGTATATTGCCTCTTTGGTAAATGACATGCCTGGTTTCTGACTTGAATAGAGAAGTGTTTTTGTTTTTTTTTTTTCCTTTAAGGTTTTGCTAGCTTTAAATGCTATTTAATATTTTGGTAAATGATTCTTTCATATTTAGGTTGTTTGCTTCTCTTTTTTAGTGTTCTTACTAAAAATGTCTGAATTTTATCATATGCCACTTTAACATCTGTTTATATAACCATATAGTTTTCTTCTTCAGTTGTTTTGATATGATTATTTTGTTAAATTTCTTTCCGTTGAATAATCCTTGAATTCTTGGTAAACCTTACTGATCATAATATTCTTTTGACAGATTGACAGAATGTTTGCTAATATTTCATTTAGAAATGTAGAGTCAATACGCTGGAGTGGTCTGCAGTTTTCTTCTTTTGCATTGCCTTTGGTAGGTTTTAATAGTAAAACAATGTCGGGCTCTATAAAATGAATTCGGATTTTCACTCTTTTGTTCTAGATTGGTTCAAATAATAATGGAATGCTGGTTTATTCTTTAAGCATTACTCTCCTGTATAACTATCTGGATTTTGTATTTTTTTTAAAATGGCAACGTCTTCTAATCTTTGTATGCTTACATGTCTCTTCAAGTTTAATTCTTGTTTTGCTTTTGATGAATCATATTTTACTAGAAAATTGGCCATTTATGCTAGATTTTAATATTGCTTGCTTTAGAGTTACATGGAGTATTTTCTGATATAGGCTTAGTAATCTTTTAAAATTGTTTTGCTTTGTCTGTTTCCATTCTGACTTCTCTATGTTTTTTTCTCTTCATTAGATTCCTAAAGATTTTACTTTTTTCTCAAAAAATTTTTAGGTTATCAATTTTGTTTTCAGTAATGTATATATTTCAGCTTTTATATTTAATTCTGTTCTCATACTTCTGTTTTTTTAAAAAATTTGTCAAGGAAAGAACTAAGTTTTATTAGTTTTGTTTTTAAACATTTAAGTCTACAGATGGAAATAATAGAGTTGAGTATGAACTGTTTCTGCTGCATTTTTTTCTAGATAGCTTGTAATTTAGGTTTGATTTCCAGATGGAGTCCATTTTTATTTTGGGTTGTGTGTAGTGATGTTTTTATTTACTTTCACTTTGTAAAGTTTTAAACTTTTATAGGATGTGGACTGTAAAATTCAGTATCTTTTTAATTGAAAGGTTTTTTTTTTTCTTATTTGTTTTTGGTAGCTGAATACAAGATCAAATTTTTTAAATATTACACAGACATACCCAAAAATGTATATATTCTATTCTAGGAATATATAATAAATAGCTCTGAAATTATTTCATCCATTCTTTTATGTTTTGGTTTTTTATATCTCACTTGAAAACTGTACTTCTATGTTTTCATGATCTCCTTTATTTTAATAATTTTTCCGTATTATTATTTTGAGACAGAGCCTTTCTCTGTCACCCTGGCTGGAGTGCAGTGGTGTGAACATGGCTAACTGCAGCCTCCACCTCCCGGGCTCAAGCAATCCTGCCTCAGCCTTGCATGTAGCTGGGACCACAGATGCACACCTACACGCTGAGCTAGTTTTTAAAGTTTTTCTAGAGATGGGGTCTTGCTTTGTTGCCTAGGCTGGATCCTTTTATTTATTTAGTTGTTGTTTTTGTTGATAGATTTCTTTTGAAATTTTCATGCTGTTTTTTCTTGGTCATACTAAGTGGCATTCTCTTTTGCTTTGTTAAACATTTATTTTTATTTTGAGATGGAGTCTTACTCTGTTGCCCAGGCTGGAGTGCAGTGGCGCCATCTCGGCTCACTGCAAGTCCTGCCTCCAGGTTCACGCCATTATCCTGCCTCAGCCTCCCGAGTAGCTGGGACTACAGGTGCCCGTCACCACGCCTGGCTAATTTTTTTTGTATTTTTAGTACAGACAGCGTTTCACCGTGTTTGCCAGGATGGTCTCGATCTCCTGACCTCATGATCCTCTTGCCTTGGCCTCCCAAAGTGCTGGGATTACAGGCATGGGCCACCGCGCCTAGCCTAAGACTTATCCTTTATTACTGTTTTTTAGCAGTTTGATTATGATGTGCTTTGCATGGTTTTATTTAGAAGTGCTATCTTCAGAGATTATTGTGGTTCTTCATCTTTGGCTTATAGTTTTTATTAAAGTTGGAAAACTTGATCATTAGTTCTTAAAGTATATTTCTCATTGTTTTTATTTCTTCTTCTGGGAATTCAGTTACACATATATTAGACCACTTGATAATTGTCCCACAGGTAGTGAGCCTCTCTTTTGTTTTGTGGGGGGTCATATTTTGTTCATCTTCATGTTCATTTCTGTTTGTCTCCCTTCAGTTTTGCCAGATTTTTCTTCATGTGTTTTGAAGCTGTCTTGTTATGTACACATATGCATATAACTATATCTTCCTGAGAATGGATATCTTTATTATTATACAAATTTTGCTCTTGTCTCTAATGATTATTTTTGTGTAAGGGTCTATTTTATCTGATATTAGAATAGCCACTCCTGCTTGTTTTTTTTTTTTTGAGATAGAGTTTTCGCTTCTGTTGCCCAGGCTGGAGTACAGTGGTGGGATCTCGGCTCACCACAACCTCCACCTCCTGGGTTCGAGCAATTCTCCTGCCTCAGCCTCCTGAGTAGCTGGGATTACAGGCATGCGCCACCACACCCAGCTAATTCTTATATTTTTAGTAGAGACAGGGTTTCTCCATGTTGGTCAGGCTTGTCTTGAACTCCCTACCTCAGGTGATCTGCCTGCCTTGGCCTCTTGGCCTCCCAAAGTGCTGGGATTACAGGCATGAGCCACTGCCCCTGGCCTTTTTTTTTTTTTTTTTTTTTTTAAATAGAGACAAGGTCTTGCTCAGTCACCCAGGCTACGGTAGAGTGGCATGATCCTAGCTCACTGCAGCCTTGAACTCCTGGGCTCAAGCAGTCCTCCTGCTTCAGCCTCTTAAGTAACTGGGCCTGCAGGCAAATACCACCACACCTGGCTTAATTTTTTTTTTTTTTAATTTGTAGAAATGGGGCCTTGCTGTGTCACCCAGGCTGGCTTTGAACTCCTGGCCTCAAGTGATCCTCCCACCTCAGCCCAAAGTGCTGGGATTACAGGTGTGAGCCACCGCACCAAGACTCCAGCTCTTATGTAATTACTGTTTCCATGATTTGACTTACTTTTTTCTTTCATCCTGTATTTGTCTTTGATTTACGGTGTGTTTCTGGGCTGGGGGCAGTGACTTATGCCTGTAATCCCAGCACTTTGGGAGGTTGAAGCGGGAGGATTGCTTGAGGCTGGGAGATTGAGACCCGCCTGGGTGATATAGTGAGACCCTATCTCTACAAAAAATTTAAGCAAACTAACCGAGTGTGATGGTGTATGCCCGTAGTCCTAACTACTTGGGAGGCTGATGCAGGAGGACTGCTTAAGCCCAGGAGGTTGAGGCTGCAGTGAGCGCCACTGCACTCCAGTCTGGGCTACAGAGACTATATCTGGAAAAATTAAAGTGTGTCTCTGGTAAACAGTATATAGCAGTATATAGTTAATTTTATCTGCTCTTTATTTTCATTGGGGTATTTAATTCATTCTCATTTACTATCATTATTGTTATGGTTAGATCTACGTTGATTGCTTTGCTCTTTGTTTTCTGTATAGCTCATGTATTTATTGTTGTTCATTGGTTCCTCCTTATGTTAGATATGAGTTCTAAATTTCTCTTCAAAGAATCAATGTCAGTGTGTTCAATTCTTTGCCTTCTACTTCTAAACTTCCTCATAAAGCAATCTTTTTCGATCACATGCTCCACCCTGACTCATTCCAATTACCTGCTCCACACTGACTCATTCCGATTACCTGCTCTGCCCTGACTCATTCTCCACCCTGATTCATTCCGATTTCCTGCTCTGCCATAACCATTTTTCCTGCCAAACCACTCACCCCGTCACTCTCTTTAAAGTAGCCAATCGGAATTAGTTTAGCCTGTGTGGTCTAACCCTCACCAATAGGGGAACAACACAGCAGCAGGGGCCATGTGCGTCAGGAATAAGAACCCCTTCCCCTCCCTTGTCCAGGTGTGCGTTCACCATTGCTCCATCTGTGAGGGCGCATCCTTCTATAAAAATAAATTGCCTTGCTGAGGAAAAAAAATGAATTTTTTTTTTTTTTTTTGAGACAGAGTCTCGCTCTGGCACCCAGGCTGGAGTATAGTGGCATGATCTCGGCTCACTGCAAGCTCCGCCTCCCGAGTTCACACCATTCTCCTGCCTCAGCCTCCTGAGTAGCTGGGACTACAGGCGCCTGAAACCACACCCAGCCAATTTTTTTGTATTTTTAGTAGAGACGGGGTTTCACCATGTTAGCCAGGATGGTCTCTATCTCTTGACCTCATGATTTGCCCGCCTCGGCCTCCAAAAAAAGAACATTTTATATTTGAGTGCTATTTCTTTTGCGGCACCAAAACTTTATAACACACTGCCTTCTGAATTTTTTTTTTTGTTTCTGCTCAGCTCATTGTTAATCATATTGTTCCCATGTATGTCATGAGTTATTTTTCTCCTAGTCTTTTCAAAATTTTCTTGTCTTTGACTTTTAACAGTTTAATTGTAACAGTGTATATCTTTAAAGTTAAATTCATGCTTGTGAATTTTTATAAGAGCCACAAAGGCCTTCCTCTGTGTTTTGTTTTTGTTTTTGTTTTTGTTTTCATTTTTGAGACAGGCTCTCACTGTCCCCCAGTGGCCCAATCACTGCTCACTGCAGCTTGACCTCACACCCTCAGGTGATCCTCCCACCTCAGCCTCCTGAGTAGCTGGGATTACAGGCAGGTACCACCATGCCTGGCTAATTTTTATTTTTGTAGAGACAGGGTCTTGCCATGTTGCCCAGGCTGATCTCAAACTCCTAGACTGAAGCGATCTGCCCGCCTCTGGCTCCCAAAATGTTGGGATTACAGGCGTGAGCCACAGCATCTGGCCACTTCTGTATTTTGTTTTCAATCACTTTATTATGAAATGAGATACACTGTTATAAAGTATTTTCTATTTTGATAATTCTTAAAAATTCCACTTGAAAAATTTTCTGCTTGAATCACAGTATTGTTCCTTAATTAGCAATTATTTCACTTTGGGGAACTGGTCATTTTTAAAATTTTATTTCTTAGAGTTATTTGGATTATGCTCATATATGTTGTCATTAAAATATTTAATTTTGGAATTTAAGAAAATTGCAGCCAGGTTACATGATTAATGTGGACATAGGAAAACAAAATATTTATGTTTCTAAGTTTAAAAATTTTATTCATATATTCAGTGTTTGGGATGCATAAGTGTTCACATTTTAGGAAGGCAAGATGGTACTTAAATTTCCAGCATGGTCTGTGGTCGTACCCTATAATCAAATGCCTTAATATTTCTGCAGCAGTATTTACACTAAATAGCGTAACTAAAGATATATATAGCTTTATGACAGTTCAGGTCAGGTTTTTTTCACTAAATGTGTTTTGTAGCTAAACATACAATAATTTTCTGTATTTCAAAAACTGGATAAGGAAATGTGAGCTTGACAACCATTCAATTTTTTATAAAATAACATGTTTTCCATTTTTGTTTTACCTTTTGTTTGTGGCTACTATCCTGCATAAATTGCATAATTTGTTTTGACAATTTGTGGACTGTGTCCTTCATTGTTGTACAGTATTCCCACTATTCCTATTTAATGCTTTTTTAACTTTTACTTAGGTTTATCTAATGCTAATATTCTTCCTGTTTGTTTTTGTTTTACCTTTTTGTTTTGTTTTGTTTTTTGCAGTTGCTGCTGTATGTTTGTTTATCCTTTTCTTTTTCAATAGGTATGTCTTGAAGTTTCATTAGTAGCAGACTACTAATTTGCTTCTCAGGATTGCCATTTTTCAGGTCTTCTAATTTTTTAATATGGAAATTGTGTTTATTTAAATTTAGCAGGGCACTTCTTTTTTTTTTTTTTTGAGACAGAATCTTGCTTGCTCTGTCGCCAGGCTGGAGTGCAGTGGCATGATCTTGGCTCACTGCAGTCTCCGCCTCCTGGGTTCAAGCAGTTCTCCTGCCTCAGCCTCCCGAGTAGCTGGGACTAGAGGTGCACGCCACCACACCCAGCTAACTTTTGTATTTTTAGTAGAGTTTGACCATATTGGCCAGGATGGTCTTGATCTCTTGACTTCGCCATCCGCCCACCTCGGCCTTCCAAATCGCTGGAATTACAGGTGGGAGCCACCATGCCCAGTCTGATTTGCTTTCTTATCATTCATATGCTCACTGGACTGTCACTTTTAATTTCCTTCAAGAACTTTGCAGGCCAGGCGCAGTGGCTCATGTCTGTAGTCCCAACACTTTGAGAGGCCTATGCGGGAGGATTGCTTGGGCCCAGGAGTTCGAGACCAGCCTGGACAACAATATGAGACCCTGTCTTTACAAAAAATCAAAAAATTAGTTGGGCATGGTGGCATGAGCCTGTGGTCCCCACTGCATGGGAGGCTGAGGTAGGAATCACTTGAGCCCAGGAAGTCGAAGCTTCAGCGAGCAGTGTTCATGCCATTGCACTCCAGCCTGGGCCATAGAGCAAGACCCTATCTCAAACAAAACAAAACACAAAACTTTTCCTTTGCATTCACAACTAGGCTAACTGGCGCAAGAGGCCTAGCATTGGCCTGTCTTGGCTTTTGATATGCCTTCTCACTAAGCTTAACAATTTCTAGCTTTTTAAAATTTAATGTAGGAGATGTTTGACTTGTTGTTGTTGTTGTTGTTGTTGTTATTGACCAAGTCATGCTGAATCGATTCTTCTTTTCAGTTGGACACTTTGAGGCCATTGCAGGGTTATTTATTGGCCTAATTTCAATATTGTTTGGTCTCAGGCATTAGGGTGGCCTGAGAAAGGGAGAGAGACAGGGAGTGGCCAGTCAGTGAAGCAGTCAGAATACATTTATTGATTAAGTTTGCTGTTTTCATTGGGCGCAGTTTGTGGGGCCTCAAAACAATTACAGTAGTAACATGAAAGATCAGAACTCACAGGTCACCATAATAGATAAATAATAATTTATAAGTTAGGAATATTGCAAAAATTAACAAAATGTAACAGAAAGACGCACAGTGAGCACACATTGTGGGAAAAATGGCGTCTACTAATTTGGTTAATGCAGGGTTGCCACAAACCTTCAATTTATAAAAGCTCAGCATCTGTGAAGCAGTATAAAGCTAAATGCAGTAAAACAAGATATTCCTGTATAACTTCAAGAATATAAGAAGCCCTAAGAATACCAACAAGCTTTATGATAATAGATATTAGTTATACTTAGTTTATTATAAGATATTAGTGTTCTTCGTATATGATTGTATGTGCACATATGTGGCCATATATGACTATGACTTCACCTTAAGCCAGCTTCATTCTTAAGTGATAAAATTAACTTTGGAAATACTTACTGACATTATCTAAATATATGTTACTCTATGATATTATTTTATAGGATTTAAGCCATTTTTATTATAAATTATTTCAGTTACTTTCTGTATCATATCTCCAAGTTTTCCCTGTATAAAGCAGCATTCTTCTTTATTCTCCCTCTATTGACAGGTCATTTTGTCTCTTTTCTTCATTGCCAAGTTTTTTGTAAGAGTGGGCAACATATTCAGCATTTCACATCTTCAGTTCCCCACGCTCATGCTAATGTCTGTCTGCCGCTACCTCCATTGCTATAAAATTTCTTTAGTAAAGATCAGTGACCTGTTGCTCCAGAACATAATTATTGTTTTTTTGCCATCATTCCTTTTTGGCAAATACATATTGCTTTCTAGGTCTCTATTTTTTAAATTTGATTTTCTTGCTCTGTTATAAGAACTAAATTATCTTACAGATGCCAGTGAACAATTTTGAAAAACACTTCCTTACCCCATATCACATCTCTCTGACAGAGAGAGAAGAGGCCATGATTATGTCAACAGTTTGAACAGCGGCATCTTGCAAGAATTTCAGACCAACTGACCACTCATCAAAGAACTTGGCAGCTTTTTAATCTTGTTTTTTTAATACAACAGTATATCCATTCTGATGACAAACCTGTCCCGCCAAATCTCCACAACACACGTTGTAAAATCAGTGATTAGCAAATTAGTCAGCTTTGGCACGGAGCTGTGCTTGCTTGCCCATGACAGTCTGGAAACTGGTTTTGTACTTGCAACAGATTATCAACAATAAGTTGCTCACTGTAAGAAGTAGAGTTGAGTCTCTTCTGCAGGTGTGTGTCCAGTGATCAGCATGTGTGAAAAGTATTCCTTAATATATCTTCTGAAGACTTTTTCTGTTTCTGTTGGAATCTTCTTTGATTACAAATTGGTTATTACCATCTATAGAACCACTTGTACCCAGTTCAGCCAACAAAAATGCAAGATGTTTGGGCTGATGATGTAATAGTTTACAAATATCTGTAAAGTTGACAAAATAAGTTTTCTTGGTTCCTACTCAAATGACCTGTAGAGGTTTGATGACAGATTTCCTTTTCAGCAACCACATCTGGATTCTTTTCCCTCGTGATGTTGCACACTCGCTTCAGTAGCTCCTTATGTGTATTTGAGACTGCCCTAGCAGGGCCTGTATGATTATTGAATGAGATACTGTCATCTTTTTTGCTGTCTTCATCTTCTAGAACTTTGTCTTTCTCTAGTATTTCATCCTCATCTGGGAACTTGACATTCTTCTTTTTCTTCTTTTTATTGCCAAGCATAATATTAAGGTCATACTCTGGTTCAGCTGGTTCTTGAATATTTTTTCAATCTTAAGATCCTTTACACCTTCTTCAGCTTCATCAGTATCAAACATCTTTTTTGTTTTTTTCTTTTCTTTTCTTTTGATTAAAGAAGTTCAAGTCATCTAGATCATCAGAAGCACCTTTTTCCCTACTGTTCTCTTCATCAGCTTCCAATTCTTTGTCCCCAGTTGGCTCTGGCGCCACTTGTTTTGTTTCTAAGGGCTGGGTCTCCTCTGTTTGGGTATCCCCTTCCTCCTCTAACTAAAGGACTGCTGCTGCTGATTTTACTTCTTGGTCATAGTAGGATCAAAAATCATCTCATCCCCAGACATGGCTGCAGCTCGAATGGGCTAGGCACAGACAGGAAGTCAGACAAATCAGCCCTAGCCCCCAGCAGCAGCGCTGCTCCTGCTGTTACCTCTCACACCACTGCACTCTCTAGCCCCTTATTAATGTGTGCACATAGGGTGGGAATAGAGATGAATAAGAGATAGGTGCATGGTGGAGAGAGGAACTAGACTTAGGCATGGTTATACTTCTCCAGTTTGAGGTTTCTGGCACGACTTGACAATCTTTTTCCATCCAGCTTCTTTTTCCTATTCTTTGGATAATTCATTCCAGTCTTTCAACACTTAACTCACAGGACTCTCTTATCATTTGGACTGGGCTCTGACTTAAGTAATTAGAGGCTGTAGGTATAAATTCTCTCAACTCCCCTCTCTATCTGAAAATATATCTGTAATTTTTCATTATTTTCTAAGGGAAAGGAGAGTGGTGTTGATGACCAAAGCTTTGGTGTGACTGCTTGAGAATATTGGAAAGAGAAGCTAGGGCTAAATGAAAAGATTGTTAGGTCATGCTAAGAGTCAGCTGACTTTAAGCGCATTATGTAATTTTAAAAGTAAATTGGTACAGTGGTAACAAGTTAATCATAAATGGTTAATGGAAAAGTAGTTGATCCTTGTTTGACTTGTGTTTGTTTCAGTTACACAGACAGGTATGTATTTGTGTCCTGGCCTTTGATGTAAAGTGTACTTCCTGTGGTTTGCAGTTGAAAATGTTTGAAAGCTGTCTCCTAAATTTGAGAGCTCTGTTTCTTCTGCTTGACTTGTAAATATTGGTGTAACAAGGGTTATTGTCCTTGATAATATTCTTCCTCAGCAGTCATAACTACATTTCACATTTGAGTTATTTACATGCTGGTAGCTCCCTCCACACCCTTCAGCTCCAGAAATATGCTAGTTAAACACCATCTATCCAAAACTTACTCATTACATTTCTGGCTAAAACACTTTTTCCTCATTTTGAGTAGTTATGTAATTATCTATGCATTACCCACACCAGGAACTTGGGAATCATCTAGAATTTCTAATTTGTTTCCTCATTGTAACTCTTAGTACTCCTTCATCATACAGTCATTTATTAAGTCCAATTGATACTCTGATTTATCCTCTACATTTCCTTTAATACTGCCTTAGTTTAGTCTCTTTTGTTACTGATAGACCAGCGTTTTAATTAGAGAAATAGTTTAGCATAGTTCTTAAGAGCATGAGCTGTAGACACAGACATGTTAGTTGAATTCAGATCTTGGCATTTACGTCACCACATGACCTTCAGAATGTTTCTTAATCTCTCCGAACCTCAATTTTTTCACCTTTAATGTGGGGATAGTAATAGAACCTACTTTACAGGGCTGCTATGAGGACTAAATACACTTATACATATAAACTTCTTGAAGAGTTAACTGATCTGGCGGGGTGCGGTGGCTCACGCCTGTAATCCGAGCAGTTTGGGAGGCCAAGGCGAGCAGATCGGTCACCTGAGGTCAGGAGTTCGACGCCAGCCTGACTAACATGGAGAAACCCTAATTTAGTTGAAAGATACAGATTAAAATCAGCAAAGAGAAAAGGTGCATGGTGCAAAGCCCAAGAGAAAGCAGACCCATGCTTTCAGATGTCCCCAGCAACAATGTGGGACAATACACTGGGAGTATTGCCAAGTAGGGAATCTCACCTGAGCCTTGGTGTCTAAGTTTTGGAGATCAGTCTCATTGCCACGCAGCCCCCACAGGACTGGTAATCAGCTACTTGGACACCAGTGCACCCAGAGGTCAAACACGGTATGGCTTAAAGCCTCAGGTATACAAAAGTACTCTTACCAGGCAGAATTTTCCACGGGCTCAGAGGTCATCTCCCAGGAACGTGTAAAGGGCCAGTCCTGAAGATAGGCCTTTCTTAAGAAGGAATGTGCAGCATTTGAGCAACCCAGGCCTGCCAAATAAACCCTTTCTTGCACACTAGTATAGTCACGTTCATTCTTCAAGACCCTATTAGAAGTGTTATCTTTTTGGTGAAAATTTAACTGATTTACTCTAAGAAGAGTTAGTTGCTCTCATATCTTTGTCTCTACAGTTACTTATACTTATCTTCTTTGTAGTTTTATATAATACACTTTCTCAAGAGGTTTTTAAGTCATGCTTTCCCAAATGTGAAAATATTTTTCCTTTTCCCCTTTCTCTTCACTTTACTATTTCTCCCTTTGGTTTGAAAAATTGTTTTTGTGTGTTTCCTTTTACCAAGATCTTTTTATTTATTTATTTTTTTTTTTGAGACCGAGTCTCTCTGTCGCCCAAGCTGGAGTGCAGTGGCGCGATCTCAGCTCACTGCAACCCCCACCTCCCGGGTTCAAGCGATTCTCCTATCTCGCCCTCCTGAGTAGCTGGGAATACAGGCGCGTGCCACCACACCCGGCTGACTTTTTTTTAATTTTTAGTAGAGACGGGGTTTCACCATGTTAGCCAGGATAGTCTCCATCTCCTGACCTCGTGATCCGCCCGCCTCGGCCTCCCAAAGTGCTGGGATTACAGGCGTGAGCCACCGCGCCCGGCTCTTTTTATTTATTTTTATACCATGTTTTTGGTAAAATAAAGAGGAAATATTAATAAGAACAGTATTTTGTTTTAAATATATAACAGTAGTTATTTTTTAATTTTAATTATTTTATTTTAAAATTAGAGATGGCGTCTCACTATGTTGTCCAGGCTGGCCTCAAACTCCTGGGCTCAAGTGATCATTCCACTCCCAAAGTGTTGGGATTACAGGCATGAGCCACCTCACCCTTCTTTTAGAGTGATAAGTTTTATTTATGTTTTCATTTTCCATCAGAATGACTATATATGGTACTACAGTTTGTGTACTACACAACTCATGGGGACTTGGTTTATATCCCAGTCTTTGGTGCTTTCTGTAATTGTGTACATTATAAACTATAAAAATTACATACTAATCTAGAATCCTTCTTGAAGGTGTGGATTGTGTCATTTATGCTGTATCCTCTATTTCATGGCTGACATGTAGTCAGTTTGTTGTGTTGACTCTGGTGCTATTTTCAGTTATTTAGCCTCTATGTGTTACCTCAACAGTTTATCCATTCTGATAAGTCCTGGAACACTAGCAGGTGAAGGGACAGATGATCTTTCTTCTCATATTAGCATGTATTCAAGTATCTCTAACCAAGTCAGAATTTATAAGATGATAGATTGTATATTAGTTTTCTGTTGCTGCTGTAACAAAATTACCACAAACTTAGTGTCTTAAAACAGCACCTGTCTTACTGTTTTACCATTATGGAGGCCAGCAGTTTGAAATCCCTTTCACTGGGCTAAAGTCAAAAGTGGTGGCAGGACTGGTCCTTCTGGTGGCTCTGGGAGAAAATCCATTTCCTTGTCTCTTTCAGCTTCTAGTGGTTGCCTGTCTTTCTTTTCTCCGGCTTCTTCCTTCATCTATAAAGTGCATCACTCTACTCCCTGCGTCCATTGTTATTATAATTGCCTTCCACTCTTCTGTAGTCTTACCTTCCTCTTCCTCCCCCTGATAAGGTCACTTGATCACGTTTAGGACCCGCTGGACAAACCATCTCCAGAGCCTTAATCGCATCTGTAAAGTCCCTTTTACCATGTAAATTAATATTCATAGTTTCCGAAGATCAGGATCTGGATTTCTTTTGGGGCAATTATTCAGCTAACCACATATTATAATGAGGAAGCACTTCTTGGGAGGCATCATAATGCTTGTTTTTTCTTTTCCTAAATAGAGTATCACTTTTACCCAAATGGAATAACTCGCTGGGTTATTTTACTGAGCTCTTGATGCTCATTTCTTTGGTCTTCTCTGTGATGAATTAATGTTTCTATATGGACATCATGCACAATTTCTTTATTCCTGAAGAATATTTTAAAATGTTGTTATTTTATGTTGTAGTTGGTGTAATACGGTGCCCAGTATGCCGCCAAGAATGCAGACAGATAGACCTTGTGGATAATTATTTTGTGAAAGACACATCTGAAGCTCCTAGCAGTTCTGATGAAAAATCAGAACAGGTATGCTTCTCAATTTTTCTTTATATTCCTATCTTGATATCAAACTGTAAGTTATAAGAAAAACATGTTTGGATAGTTAAGTCATTTAGGGTGGTTCTGCTATGGATTCCTGTTTCAAATAGAAAGTTAAAGATAGCTTTCTTATATACTCTCAAACTTAGTTAAATGAGACTAAAGCTATTACTTAAAATGTCAAATTTGGGCCAGGCATGGTGGCTCACGCCTGTTGTCGCAGCACTTAGGGAGGCTGAGGTGTGAGGATTGCTTGAGCCCCGGAGTTCGAGACCAGCTTGGGCAACATAGTGAGACTCCATCTCTACAAAAAATAAAAGTACTAGCCGGGCGTGGTGGCATGCGCCTTTAGTCCCAGCTACTTGGGAGGCTGAGGTTGGAGGATTGCTTGAGCCCAGGAAGTTGAGGCTGTAGTGAGCCGTGATTGCACTACTGCTGTCCAGCCTGGGTGACAGAGCGAGAGCCTGTCTCAAAAAAAAAAAAAAAAAAAGTCAAATCTGCACAGACTTCGTGTTCTCAGCCTTAGATTTTTACCTACATGAATGATCTGTAAGGAAAAGGATTTTGTTGAAGATAAATGGATAACAAAATAATTTTATTCTGTGTACAGTGAAATAGTATATTGAAGAACAAGTTTTTTTTTTTTTTTAGATCTAGATTTTATGTATTTAATTTAGATTAGTGCTTATTTCTTCTTTTAGGTATGTACTAGTTGTGAAGACAATGCAAGTGCAGTTGGCTTTTGTGTAGAATGTGGAGAGTGGCTATGTAAGACATGTATCGAAGCACATCAAAGAGTAAAATTTACTAAAGATCACTTGATCAGGAAGAAAGAAGATGTCTCAGGTAAGATAGATGCATTGTAATCATTACAATGATTACAGTTAACCTCCTTCTTTTGCCCCTATAGAATTTTCTACTTATTCTTTATAAACTTTGGATAGCAACATCAATAGGAATTTAGAAAACTAGACAAAAATTTTATGTTTGGTTAAAAAATATTTGTTTTATTTTGCTACAGAGTCTGTTGGAGCATCTGGTCAACGCCCTGTTTTCTGCCCTGTACACAAACAAGAACAGTTGAAACTTTTCTGTGAAACATGTGATAGATTGACATGTAGAGACTGTCAGCTATTGGAACACAAAGAACATAGGTACAGAAATCATAATTGCTTACCAGGAAATACTATAAAAAGTGCTTGTAAAGTCATTCTTCTTCTTAAAGCAAATATTGATTATATGTTTGTGTCTTAATCTTTTAAATCTGTATTTTACATATTTTAATTTCTTGAGCAATATATGTTTTGGTAAATTATTTAAAGATTTCCACATTTAAATCTAATTGTCTTATGAATGTTTGTTAAAATGTATCATTTTGTAGGTTTGGGTTTACAAGAATGGAGTTATATTATGCATTTGTTTGCTACTCCTGTGATTCAAATAAGCTTTTTCTTGGTGTCCTATAGTATTTTTGGCTGTAATCTACAAAAGCAGTATTCTTTTAAACATCAAATCACAAATACACTGATTTCATGTTACATATAAAATTTGTAGAAAAGCTAGGGATTTATGAACAACTAAGCAGAGTTACTGACCCTCTAATACATACCTTTGTATTTTAGCCTTGTACCCTCAGAATTCAGTAGTATTCATTTACTAGGAGTGTGTTTCATATGAACGGTTTGGAAACTGTACAAAAATTTCTAGTCAGTTGTGTAACAATATCCTTCAGTAAATTTCTCCAGCTTCCATGGCATCTGTTTATTACAAGTAAAAAGATGGTGTCACCCATAGTCCAGAATTTTCCAAAGTGTTTTTCAAACAACAGTTTTTATGGCTGGATGGGAATAGATTTTATTAATCTATTGCCAAAAATGTATAAGAGAACTTGGGTTAACCACACTTAAATGTGTTTCTTAACGATATGATTTCTTAGGGTTTTTAATTCATTAGAATTCATTGAAGTTTATTAGAGCCTTCTTAAAGAGGGGATACAGTAATCCCAATTGCCAACCATTATTGCAGCCTTACTTTGTGCCAGGTACTTTTCTGAGTGCTGAATATGTATTTAATTCACACCAACTATCCATGAGGTTTAGGTACTAGTATTATGACGGTTTTAAGTGTAAGAGAGCCTACTCACAAAAGGCTGTAGTAATCTGTACAAAGTCTCATAGTAATTGGTAGTACCAGGATTTGAATACAGGTAGTCAGACTCCAGATCTCTTCTTAACCCATATGCTCATTTTCTTCCATAGGGTATAGAGAATATAGAATGCAGAATGTCTCAAATTTGACTATATAAAGGTGTAGTGCTTTTTGTTCTTTTTCAAGGTATCTCTCACAGCTTTACAGTATATTTATTAAATTTTTGTGCTCTTAATTTGTTCAGAAATGTCTTAACCTATAACTTGGCTGAAATTTTAGATTGTCTGCTAACAGTCTCAGTAAGACATTAGATTACCTTTTTCACAGCTGCAGTCAGATCTTTTTTTGAGTGTTAGATTTCTTATAGCTTTTTAAGTTGATGGTGAGAGGCAAAAAGAAAAGGAAGATGTCATACTTTTCCTCATTAAAGAATAGCTTCAGCGGCATTGCCACCTCAAAGTTTAACCATTATCCTTCCCTTTCTTTTACCATTTTCCTTTACCACTTATATCTAAGTCCTTATTATCTCTTGTATAATTTAAAAAAAATGTTTTTTTTCTCCTCCTATACTCACACAACACAGAGCACTTCTGTGACCATGTGTGTGACCAGTTTCCCCTCATATTGACTGATTCTCGCCAGCTTGGTGTCCAGAAATTCAGTTCAGTTCTGTCGCCGTCTACCTGGAGTTAGAGTCAGGTCCCACAAGTTAAGGGCTCAGTCCTGCAAACTGCCATTCCACTTCAAATACCAGTCGTTAAGTCCCACCTTCTGGTACTTAAAATATATATATATAAAATATAAAATATAATATATAAATATATAATAATAATAAATATATAATATATATAAAATATAAAATATAAATATATGTATATATATATATATATATATTTTTAAAGACAGGTTCTTGCTCTGTCACCCAGGCTGGAATGCAGTGGCATGATCATAGCTCACTGCAGCCTCAAACTCCTGGCCTGAGGCTGTCCTCCCTCCTCAGCCTCCCAAAGTGCTGGGATTACAGATGTGAGCCACTGAGCTTGGCCCCGGCCTCTGGTATTCTGACTGACTTACTATAAATTGGGGGTGGGGCGGGGCGGTTCCCACGACCCCTTCCTTGAGTTTGGTCATTTGCTGGAATGGGTCACAGAACTCAGGGAAGCATTTAACTTACTACTGCCAATTTATTACAAATTACAGCAATTACGACAATTTAAAGATCTTAATTGGTTTTATTTGTGATTTTAGATTTGAGCAATACTTCATTCCATAAAATAAAACAAGTGTTTCAGTGAACTGAGCAGAGGAGCTTGGTTTTATAGAGAGAGAGGGACTGAGGAAAGCAAAAACAAATAATAAAAAGTGGATTGGTCATTTCAAAGTTACTTTCCTAGTAAGGCTGGAGAAGGGCAGAACAATAGAGAAATAATTTATTGGCTAACATCAGGTTACCTCAGGTTACCCTTTGTTGTAAGGATTAAAGACATCAGCACCGTAGGAGAGGTTTACCAAAAAAAAAAAAAAAAAAAAAAAAAAGGTGGCGGGGGGTGTTAAACACAGGGAGCCTCATTATCATGCCAATTGAAACAGGCTTATTTGGGAAATTAGGGTGTTATCTCTCTCCTCATTTCTTGGATGGTCTGATAACTCATTTTCAGCTTGATGAACTCAGCATGAAGGACTCCATTTTGATTTTTTTTTTCTATTTCAACAGTTTCAATGAAAGTTTGTATATAAGATTACTTTATTCCTGCATCTTCTCAATTGTTTCTTCCTTGTATTTTGGCCTTTTCCTTTCTTACTTGGTGAGATTTGACTTTTTGTTCAAGGATCTTTTTGCGGTCTTTGTCCAGTTTTAACCTAGTGATAACCACTATGCTGGCGTGAATGCCTACGTGGACAGTTGTGCCATTAGCCTTTTCCCATGGCACCTGTTCAGTGTTGATGATATATTTCAAACTTCGACTAAATTGCCAGTTTGCTGACCTTTATAGTGTCCTCGCACAATCTGAAATTTATCATCCTTTTGCATGGGCATGGAATGAACGTTGTACTTCTGTCTTAGCTCTTAGGAAAGAGGGGAGGACATAATCTTCCTATGAATGTGGGAAGGTGCATTGAAACACCTTTTGTGGTTCTTGCTTCAGTCAGAAGTTACAAAGGGATTAAACTTTATTTTGGCCACTCTTGCTTCAGCAGTGGCCACAAAAGGGAAGAGAACTATATGCTACTTCTGGTTCTATCTGTATTTTGATTTTTAGTCTGATCTGTTGGGGCCTAGTGCAGGAGCTTAGTCCAGAACAATGTCCTCCTGTAATTTTTGTTTAACTGTATATATATATGGAGAGAGAGAATTTTTCTTATTTTTTGAAGAGACGGGATCTCACTCTGTTGCTCAGGCTGGACTCAAGCTCTTGGGCTCAAGTGGTTCTTCCACTTCAGTGTCCCACATACCTGGGACTAGAGATGTGTACCACTAGACAACATTTTATTTAATTTTTTAAAAGAGGTTAGATCTTGCTATGTCGCCCAGGCTGGATTTAAACTCTTAGGCTCAAATGATCCTCCTGCCACAGCCTCACCAGTAGCTGAGATTACGGGTGCATATCACCATGCCCAGCTCAACAATATTTTAAAGAATACAAATGAACAACTGGATGAAGAGATGCATAGGGTGAAGTATGTGGGAAGGGGTACAGAGTTTCCACAACACTCTGTGGTGGATGCCTTATCCTCCACGTGTTCAGTAACCTGGAAGCTCTCCAACCCTTGCTCTTTCAGGTTTTTATGGAGATTCATTATTTAGGGATGCGTGATTAAATTGTTGATCGTTTGTGATCATCTCAGCCTTCAGCCCTTCCCTTCCTAGGTTAGGAAGTAGGGCTGAAAGTTCCAACTGTTTAATTATCTGGTTGGTTCCCCTGGCAGCCAGCACCCATCCTGATGGGTCTGGGAGTCCCCAGCCATTGGTCATTTTGTTAACATACAAAAATATACTTATTTCAGAGATTCTGAGGGTTTTAGGAATTGTATGCCAGGAATAGGGACAAAGACCAGAACAAATATATACTAAAATATCACACATTTCTTCTCTTTTGTTCATGCTTTCATTTTATTTTCTCTGGATGGACTGTTGCAGAAACCATGTCATTGGACTTAAAAGCCAGCTTCCCATTACTACAACACATTTACAACTATTCTCCCTACTTTGAGTTTAACTCTGTTAAATTCATCCTGTCTATATTGCTGCCAGGGTTATTTTGCTAACGTATAGTTGAGCCCCCATTAAAAAAATACTTAACAGTAACCAAAGTTTAAGTGTTCAGTATGTTATCACCCAGACAGATTCTCCTTTTCTCCCTGTCCAGAAAAAGTCAATACACTGAGACAGCAGGAGGTGTAGCAGAGAAAGAGTTTAATAATTGCAGAGTGGCTGAGCAAGGAGGATGGGAGATATTTGAGAAATATTTCTCAAATTCCAACTCCTTGAGAATTTGGAGATGAGGGTTTTTAAAGGATAGTTTGGTGGGCAGGGGCTAGGGAATGGGTGCTGCTGATTGCTTGGGTCAGGGATGAAATCATAGAGGTGTCAAAACTGTCTTTGTGCAGTGAGTTATGCTGAGTCACTTCCTGAGTAGGGGTCACAGGACCAGTTGAATTAGTCTCTTGGTATGGATCACCAGCCTGGGTGGTAGCAGTTAGTCCAGCAGAATGCAGAGTCTGAAAAATATCTCAAACACTAGTCTTAGATTTCACAATAGTGATCTTATCTATAGGGGAAGTTAGAAATCTTGTGACCACTTGCTAGTGACTCCTGAGCAATAAGCAATTATAAAAAACAAGACAGGGAACAATGGTTGCTGTTTATGCCTAAATCTTAGCAGAATTTAGGCTCCTACTGTAATTCTAACCTTATAGCCTTTCATTAGCTTTACAAAGGTGGTTTCAGTCCCTGAACAAGGAGGGTATTAGTTTCAGGAAGAAACTATTATGCTTGCTTTAAACTATAAAATAAATTCCTCCCATAGTTAGGTTGGCCCACATATGGGAATGAGCAAAGACAGCTTGTGAGGTTAGAAGCAAGGTGGAGTCAGTTGTGTTAGATTTCTCTCACTGTTATAATTTTGCAAAGGCAGTTGCAAGTATAACATACATTATTGAATTTTACCAGTGTCTTTCTTCATTGTCTGTTCAAAGTTACGAAACAGTCCACAAGATCACCATTACTTCTGACACCAACTGCAGAGTTCCGTGAAAACCCAAACATAGGGGAAAATCACATGCCCGCTGAGTTGATTTTTTACCTTCTGTAATCACAGTGGTGGCCCTCCAAACAAGATGCTGTCCATTCACCTTGGAATTGTCCATAAACCAAACTGCTCTTTACTGATTAATAGAAAGTAGTTTATAGTGTAGCACCCATCCGATCACAGGATCAGCAGCTCCTCAGGTAGTTTCAAAGTCAGCCTTAGGGAAAAAGAAGCTACCTGCTTATAAATATAATGAGTACCTCTTTGCATTCTCCTGGTTGTAAATCCTGTGCAAACTATTTCTATTTTATAGGGAACTCTTCTGGACACTGCCTTCCTTATTAGTGTTTCTCCGACATCACCTAAGATATTATGGCTGTTTTGAATTTCAGGATTATTTTATGTCCTTCAGTCATAGATTCAGTCTCAGTTAATGCCTGTAGTAGCTATTTTTTTCTACAGTGTTGTACATTGTACTATGGCATCTGGACATCTTCTGGTCCAAAAATCCTAGTGGTTGCTGCTGGGTGGCACTCATAGGGTTTTGCCCATAAGCTGTAGTCTGCATTAGTATGTGTGGCTGACACTTCCCAAAATCATGGCGGAATGTCCATAGGGCCGGACATGGACAAAATCATGGCGGATCATAGGGCTGGAAAGTATTTAGAGAGACTACTTTCTGCAGTTCAGATACAGCCTGTCTTTGATCAGGCCTCATTGAAATGTAGGCCTCTTTTTGGGAGTTTTATTGATAGGAGCAAGCAGTATTCCCAGATATGGAATATGTGTCCTTCAAAACACGGATATACCCAACCAAACACTGGGCTTCTTATTTAGTGCTGGGGTAGGTGGCTACAGCAGTATATTTTTCTTTCTCTGTTGAGTATCACAGGATGCTTCTACTCTGGTTATTTCTAAGGATTTTTTCACCATTTAGGCATGCCGTTAGACCTTTGCTGGATTTATCATACAGCTCCTGTTGGTCACATGTCATCACTGCTTTTTTCCCCTAATTCCCCAAACTTTTTATCACCATTGCGTTTAAATTAGTCCTGCCTTGGTCTTCAGTTTCTGATAGTATCATGACATCATCAGTATACTATATTATTACATGTGGGGACCCGAATCAACTCTAAATTTCTCCTAATCAAATTATGACAGTAAGCTGGTGAGTGGAAATAACCCTGTGGTGATAGAGTAAGTGCAAATTGGGATCTCTCCCACTCAAAGGCAAATTGTGGTTGGCTCTTTTTGAGGATGGAGGTAAAATAAAAAAAGAAATTCACAAGATTAGTCCCTGAGTACTGTTTTCCTTTGGCCTGCTATATATTTTATATGTTTTTTGTACTGTTGAGACCATATTAGGAACTGCTGATGCTATGGCGGAACTACTTCAGGCTTTCATAGTTCACTGTTAGTCTCCATGAGCCATCTGCTTTTTTCATAGGCCACACAGGATTATTGTACAAAGAATTCATTGGCACCAGCACTCCGTTGTCTAATTCTTCATTAAAATGGTAATTTCTTTTTGTCCAACAGGTAATTTCATCAGGCAGTACCTTACACTGTCCAAAATTAACAACTTCTGAGGGCCTGGGTGGTTCTGGTGGTTCCTAATTAGCATTTCTCATCAACATTGACCTCAAGGTGAACTTACGTGCTTTCTGTTTTCAATATTAGACAGGTGTACTTTTCAGTCAAACATACTGTCTATCCCAATAGTACATTCAGGTAATGAAGACGTAACCACCTCACATAAAGGCAGCTGAGACATTCTAGTTTTAATCTAAATGTTTACCTTAATCCCATTAGCTGTCACCTTTCAATTTAACCTTAACACCTGTTAGGACTTCAACAAGATTTAGAATTATGGTGCCTTGGGCCTCCCTGTCAAGGAGTTTTAGTAAGGTCTCTTATCTACCCCTGGCATTTTTACCCACACGTGTATATTGCCTTAGTTCCCCAGTTGCTGGTTGACCTCTCTGTCTTCATCTTGAGTAATCTGCCAGACTATTGTCCCAGGCAATTTGAGGTCAGGTTGCTTATTGTCATCTTTGTTCCCTGGCTTTTTAAATCTTCCCAAACTGGGGTAAAATACAGCATAGTTAGTTTAAGGCCCTTTAATGTTGGGAACTAGCTGGGGCTCTCATTGGTTTATCCAGTCCCATGGTAATGCTGCATTAAGACCTTTGTTTCAATTCCATCTGTGTTCAATTTATTCATCCCATTTTAAAACAACCATCTGTAGATTTCCATCTTCCTGGGATAAATTCCTTGACCTCTACTCTACTATTTCCCTGTTTTCTTATGACTTAACTCTGATTTTCTTAGCATCTGTTAAGACCTGTAAAGGGAAGCTTAGACAATACTTCTGATAAGGCTTCTCAGATTATTGCTAGATTTTACAGCAGTAAGGTTACATGGGGGTATCCATGCAAAAGGGGCCCCCTCAATCACAGTATTTACCATATACCATAAGGCATACTGAGTCATAGTCATGTCACTCATAGTCATCTCCTGACTATCCCATCATCATGTCAGTCCAGTGTAGCTTGCATAAGAAGCTTATCAGCTGCTTATTCTGGGGAGTTCAATTTGGCATTTATAGGAGGAGGAGGATAGTTGCCCTTTTCAAGGTAAACACACTTTACAGTGGCTTTTATATCTAGTCCACTGGGCTAGCTGTCCCCTTGGGAATAACCTGCTGGTGTGTCTGGATCATGTATAGCCTTCTCTGGTTGTACAGTAGTGAGCTGTGGGTCTCGCTTCAACCTAGACACACTCTTCCATTCTACAGCATTAAAAACCAAAGATCCTGTGCCTCTAAGTCAATCACTGTCACAGTCCATTTTAGTAAAGGTTTTTATTCCAGAAGCTGATAGTGTTGATCAACAAAATGAGACAATTTGTACTATAATCCCTGGTTTCAGTAGTTTCTTGGTTTTGTCTTTCTCATACCTAGACTACCTCCTTGTAACTGGAAGTCACAGACATGCTATCTAATGTTCCAGCATAATTTTTCCTTTTGGAGTGACCCTGAGACTAGTGACTGCAGCCCAGACTGGCTGAAGTCTGAGCTTGGCCCAGTGTCAAGATCTGTCCTAACATTCTCTTGTATTTTCATTTTAGCTAGTACAGGTAGCAGTAACAAAGGAATTGTTTCATTAACTTTTTTTTTTTTTTTTTAGAGGAGTCTTGTGCTATTGCCCAGGCTTCGAGTGCAGTGGCTCACTGAAGGCTTGAATTCCTGGGCTCAAGCAGTTCTCTCACTTCAGACACCTGAGTAGTTGGGACTACAAGCATGTGCCACCACATCTGGCTAATTTTTTATTTTTTTGTAGAGATGAAGACTTCCTATGTTGCCCAGGCTGGTCTTGAACTCCTGGGCTCAAGCAGTCCTTCCTCCAGGACCTCTCAAAGTACTTGGTATATAGGCATGAGCCACCATGCCTGGCCTACTTTTTTTCTTATTAGTTTGCATTTCCTTGTTTATCTGGTGGTTCAACTCCTCTGGAATTGGGTCTACCATTTCTAAATTCCATTGGTAATTTTTACCTCTAGTAACTGCAGCTGCAGTTATACAACCATACCATGACTGGGTACCCATCCAAGAATTAAAGGTTTATCAATTCCCACCTTCTCATCCTCCCTCTTCGCAAACCACCTGTTTTAGTAAGCCAGGGTCATTCAATTGATCCCACTTCTGATGCTAACTATAAAATTAGAGAGTAATCCACGAGACTCCTTTCACTTCTGACACCACTTGTAAGATCAAGATTCCCTAAAACTACACTCAGGTTTGATAATTTGCTAGAATTTACAGAACTCACTGCAAGCTGTTATACTCACAGTTATGTTTATTACAGTGAAAGGATACAGATTAAAATCATCCAAGGGAAAGATGCACAGGGCAGAGTCCAGGAGAGTTCCAAATGTGAAGTTTCCAGTTGTCTTCTCCCAGTGGAGCCATGGACATCATAAACACCTCCTGATAGTGATGTGTGACAGTGTGCACAAAATATTGCCAGCCATGGAATCTCACCTAAACCTTGGTGTCCAGAATTTTTATTGGGTCAGTCTCTGTCACATAGATGTGGTTCACCAGCCACATGGTAGACCTCAGTCTCCAGGACAGCTCCTCCTGAGGTTGATATGAGACTGTGTGACCCAGAGCTCCCACTGTAAATCAGATTGTTGACACAGACTATCTAGCTTGGCTCAAGTCCCCAGGCAAACAAAGATAATTTCATCAGGCAGGACATTTCAGGGGGTTAGAGATTACCTGCCAGGGACTGAAGGCAAAGGCTAGATCTCTCTTTGGGCAAAGTTAACTTTTTTACTAAACAATCTCTTATCTTCCACTTACACTTTAGTAGCAAGAACCCTCTACCTAACCCTCCAACTTTGTACATGCGGTTTCTTAGACCTGTATTTATTAGGAGAGCCATTTAACCTTAAAACGAGTTCACCTCTTTGTATCTTTTTTTTTTTTTTTCCTGAGACAGACTCTCTCTGTTGCCCAGGCTGGAGTGCAGTGGCATGATCTCGGCTCACTGCAACCTCTGCCTCCTGGATTCAAGTGATTCTCATGCCTCAGCTTCCCGAGTAGCTGGGATTACAGGTGGACATCACCACGCCTGGCTAATTTTTGTATTTTTAGTAGAGATGCAGTTTTGCCATGTTGGTCAGGCTGGTCTCAAACTCCTGGCCTTAAGTGATCTGCCCACCTCGGCTTCCCAAAGTGCTGCGATTACAGGCATGAGCCACTGTGCCTATCCACTTCTGTGTGTCTTAACTAACGCTTTCTGCTCCATTCTTTTCCCTCCCTACCAACACCCCCTCTTCCTCGCTCTGGACTTAAGGACTTTTAGGGCGAGTTCTTTAAGAATCTCAATTTCTTATACGCTTATTGAGTCAGTCAGGTCTTCTGTCTCTTCTGGGTTGTTTGTTTTTAGGAGACAGGGTGTCTTGCTCTGTCACCCAGGCTGGAGTGTAGTGGCATGATCATAGCTCATTGTAACCTTGAACCTCCTGGGCTCAAGTGATCCTCCTGCCTCAGCCTTCCAAATTGTTATGACTACAGGTGTATACTACCATCCCTGGCTAATTTTTTTTTTTTTTTTTTTTTTTTTAAGAGATGGGGTCTTGCCATGTTGCCCGGGTCTTGAACTCCTGGCCTCAAGCAGTCCTCCTGCCTTGGCCTCCCAAATTGTTGGGATTACACTTATAAGCCACTGCACCCAGCTCCCATCTCTTCTTGAGTCAACTTTGCAATTGTGATAATTTATATTTTGTTAGAAAATTATTTAGTAGAGGTTAAAAAATGTTGAATTAAACATTAAGATTTTATGAAGATCTGTAGTTATATCTTATGATTGTTTATTATTATTATTACTTTTTTGAGACAGAGTCTCACTCTGTTGCCAGGCTGGAGTGTAGTGGCGTGATCTGGGCTCACTGCAACCTCCGCCTCCCGGTTTCAAGCGATTCTCCTGCCTCAGCCTCCTGAGTAGCTTGGACTACAGGCGCACACCACCACGCCCAGCTACTTTTTGTATTTTTAGTAGAGACGGGGTTTCACCATGTTGGCCAGGATGGTCTCAATCTCTCGACCTCGTGATCCGCCCACCAGTGCTGGGATTACAGGCATGAGCCACCATGCCCAGCCTGTTTATGATGTTTTCTAGCTGAGTTTATTTCCTGTTCTTTATTAGATTGGCCATAAGTTTGTGGTCTTTATTGGTCATTTTAGTGACCCAGTTTTTTAATTCATTTATTCTTTAGAAGTGTTCTGATCCTCACAGTTTTCTTTTATCTTTATTAATTTTTTGCTTAGTTTGATTTTGCTGTATTCTTTTTAGAATCTTATGTGAAACCTCAGTTAATCAAAAAGATGTAAATTTTCCTCTGAATTTAGCTTCATTCCATAATCATCCATTTATACAGTCTAAAACTGTGTTTTGTTTTTTCTTGCCTCTCCCTGCTTTTTAAAATTTTTGTTTAAATTAAAATAATTGCTGCATAGTGAAAAAGATGAGCTATGTTTTGTGTGTATATCTTTTAAGTGAAATATACTGCCAACTTTATAAGGTTGTTGTGAGGATTACAAGCACTGAGAATTGTACCTATAAAGTGCTTAGCATAGTAAGCACTCAATAACAGTTTAGCTATTATTGGCTGTTATTACAGTTGCAGCCCACATGTTTTATTTTTTTCTCTTTATTTAAATTTTTTTTTTAATTGAAGTCTTCGATTTACTTTATGGCTTTAGAAGTTGTTTTGAAAAAGGAAAGCAGCTATAGAACTGCATGAAATTTTGTACCTGAGAACATTACTAGGTTTCTAGATAAACCATGGGGTTTTTCCATCTCCCTCCAAAAATTCTATTCACATTAAAGGAATTAAAAAATCTGTAGACTTACAAAGACTAAGAATGGGAGAAGAGACATCAATGGGGATTTCAGTCCTTTTTTTTTTTTTTTTTTAAAGCAGGGTAATGAATGGAAGATTTGGTGGATCTGATATTTGACCTAATGGGATTGAATGATCTAAGGCCATGCAAAGGAGATATGAAGGAAGCCAATCAATATATTTCTCAGGAACCTGTAATACCTAGTACCTAGAGATGATAGGTGTCACAAAAAATGGACCTATTCTCTGGAGAAATAAAATCAGAGAGGCACTGGACTTGGGGATATTAGGTCCACATGGGGAGGAAGTACCAGGCTGAAATCAGGGAGATTAAGTATAAATCTGTCCATTAAGCTCTGGGGACCTTCAGTCTCCCTGACTTGCTTCCATATTGCTAGTAATGGCGCTTTTTCATTTCACTGTCCCTTCCTACCTCTCTTTTAGGATTTAGAGACCTTTTCACCCTCGGAAGAATATTTAAAAGAAAAAAATTACGAGTTCCAGCAGACCAGTATAAATTATAGAAAAAAGAAAACAAATGTTGGGAAATTATTAGATAACTATTGCAAGAAATTCATCTAAGAATGTAGAGTCACCAGGATAAAATGTCCCATTTAATGCCCAGAACAATGATTTTTAAAAAGACCCATATCAAGGTGTATAACATCATAAAATGATAGTATGCTATGGATTAAGGTTAAGATCAGTGAAGTTTCCAAAACCAGCAATGAAATAGGAATCAAAATAGGAACGTTAGGCCAGACATGGTGGCTCATACCTGTAGTCCTAGCACTTTGGGAGGCCAAGGCAGGCAGATCACTTGAGCTCAGGAGTTCAAGACCAGCCTGGGCAACATGGTGAAACCCCATCTCTACTAAAAATACAAAAAAATTCTAGTAAATTTTTAGTTTCCAAAGCCAGCAATGAAATAGGAATCAAAATAGGAACGTTAGTCCGGGTGTGGTGGTGCATGCTTGTAGTCCCAGCTACTCGGGAGGCTGACGCACGAGAATCACTTGAACCCAGGAGGTAGACGTTGCAGTAAGCTGAGATCATGCCACTGCACTCCAGCCTGGGTGACAGATTGAGACTTTGTCTCCAAAAACAAAACAAAACAAAACAACAGGATTGTTAAAAGAAAGTCGGGAGATGAAGGGCAAAGGTTTTCAATCTAGTATTCTCTTTTTTTGAGACGGAATTTTGCTCTTGTTGCCCAGGCTGGAGTGCGATGGTGCGGTCTTGGCTCACTGCAACCTCTGCCCCTGCCGGGTGCAAGCGATTCTCCTGCCTCAGCCTCCCAAGTAGCTGGGGTTACAGGCGTGAGCCACCATGCCCAGCCTTGATCTAGAATTCTGTAGCTAAAGTATAAATCAATGTGAGAATAAAATGTAGACATGTTTCATCATGCAAGTATTGAGAAGCTTTGCCTCTTATGTACCTCTTTTTGGAAAGCCATTAGAGAATGTGATTCACCAAAATAAGTTAGTAAACCAAGAAAGTAAAAGGTAAGGGAATGCCTAAAATGACAGCCATGGGGTAAGATAATTTAGAATGAGGAATGAAAACTGAGGATCCTGTGAAGAAGGTCTCCAGGAAAAAAATGGAACCATGTCTATTAAATTTGTTATATTGGGTCATTTGAAAAATAATGCTGACAAGTTTGGCATGTGGTAGTTCATGAGAAACATTAGCGATTGCAGCATGGGGCAAGATGGAATAAATTTGGAGAGAATATATTTTGGAGAAATGTATTTATTTCTCCTGAAATGAATAGTCACTTTTAAGACCACACTCTCTTACTCTTCAATCCTCGTTTGAGGTGGAGATAGGGTTGACTCGCTGAAACTAGAATTTCTTTTCCATTGACAGTTTTACAAGAGGAAGACCCAAACTGCATCCTTCATTACCACCACCATTTGCAGCCTCTCCATCATTATCAGCCTTGTATCTACTAGACTAATATTGTTACATTTTTTATCTGTATTTTTCTGTTACCCAAGAGAGTGCCACAAGTGCCACACTCCCAGACGTCCCCTCATCTGTCACACTTTAATTCCATAGGCTCTACATGTGCCTGATTCTGCCACTTTGTCCTTTGGAATTGTTGGCATGTCATCAGAATCTGCATATCCCCAGCCTCTTTTTTGATCCTTTTCTTTGCTTTATTTGGCATAATGGACACTGCTTCTCTTGCAACTGTCGTGACTGGTGACTTTTTTTTTCTTTCACATCTCGTGTATGACTGGGCCTGGAGGTATGAGATACGTCTTTTTACTGTTTTTTTTAGACCATTCTTTCTCTTTACTCCCTGAAATATCCGGATTTTAATTTCATGTCATCACCCATAACCTCTCATTGCTGCTGTCATCTAAAAACCCTTGGGTCATTCCCCTTCATCTCTCAAAGGTTTTTTTCCCTAACTCAGTGGTAAACTGTAGAATGCTACTATTAAGTCCTAGCAATTTTAATATATGTGGATTTGATCCTTCAGACACTCTAGTCTTTGTGTTCTTTGACCTCCTTTCCAGTGTTCTTGTCATTTACACTGCTGTAGCCACTCATATGCATAGTCATATACTAGATCTTATCATTTGTAATAATTCTATTCAATTTTAAGCATTCCTCTCTGTGGCCACATCTGTTACTCCAGCTCATTCTGCTTAGTACGAAACTTCTACAATTATTCAACCACACAGTGACTTTTATTTTAATCCATTGATCCTACTACCCTTTCACTTTACCTCATCCCTTTGTGATCTCATTTAACTCCTTCCTTATTTAATGTCATAGCTAATCAGTTTAATCACTCCCTTGCATTTAGCCTTGACTCCCATATCCCACTTTTTGAATTCACTTGGCATAACTACAGTCCTGATTAAACCCGACTTCCTTCCTATCATATTTTGTTTATCCAGCTGAATATCACAGGAGAAAAACACATTCTAGCATAATGATACCAATAGGTCACATTCTCAATTCCTGACCACTTCCCTCAAGTAGACCGTTAATGTTGTCTGGAAGTCATATTGTATATTCATACCTTTCCCTCTTTTAAATGTCAAATACTTCATCCTCACTCTGAAATACTGGCATTTGCTTCCAACTTCACTGAGAAAATTGAAGCTATCAAAAGAGAACTACAGACTCCCTCTACCACATCTACTTTTCCAACAAGCACCTGTACCCATATTTCTACATTTCTGTTATCTTAGATGAACTCTCTTCCTTTAGAAAGCTAATTTCTCTACTTATACACTGAGTTCCATCCCCTCTCATGTAGCCAATGACATTGTTTCAGAAATTTGCCCTTCTTTCTGCTAACCTGTCAGTTTTTCAGTCTCTAACAATTATTCCTATATTTCAGTATGCTGCTGTTTTTCTTCCATTTTTAAAAATGAAACACGAATCCTTCTCTTTAACTTCCTTTCCTTGCCATCAGAGCTGTCCCTGAAAAACTTCTTGAAAGAATTGCTTGTAATTATGGTCTCTAATTCCTCCTGTCCCATTCTGTGTAAATTTACATGCTTTTGACTGTCAGCATTGTACCAACATTGCTCTTTTCAAGGTCATGAATAACCACTACATGACTAAATTTAGAAGTGTTTTCTCAGTTTTCATCTTGATACCTTATTGTATCAGCAGTATTTCACATGTTTAATGTTCCTTTTAACACATTTATGTACTTGGCTACCAGAAGAACACATTGTTTTCATTTTCTTCCTACTAATTACTGATTACTTTTTCTCAATCTCATTTGCTTATTTTGTTTGTTCTTCTAGGTTGGATGTACGAGGGTTTACACCATTATCTATACGTATAGTCTTAGGGCTTAAAATACCATCTATATGTTATTGATTTCCAAATTTATATTTCTAGCTCATTGTTTATTCCTGAACTTTCAGATTTGTCTGCCCTACAGACTCTGACATCTCCCACTTGAATGTCTACTTTTTCAAACATAACGCTTCCAAAACTCAACTACTGATCACTTTCTCCAAACCTTTTTTCACTGGTAGCCTTTCCTCATCTCAGTTTGGCAGTTGCATTTTTTTTTTCAGTTGCATAGGCCAAAAATCTTGGCACCATCCTCGACTCTACTTGTTTCTCATACCCAAATCCAAACTTATCAGGAAATCCTTTTGGCTTCACCTTCAAAATATATCACCAACTCCTACCACGTACTACCTCTGTTGCCTCTACCCTGGTCTCTGCCACCATCATTTCTTGCCTAGATTACTGCAGTAGTCTCTATGCTTCTAATACTACCTCTCTTCCATTTATTCTTAATACAACTGCTAGAGTGAATCCTAAGTTGGGCTGTATCACTCCCCTGCTCAAAACCTGCAGTGACTCTTCAGTCAATCTTTATAGTGGCTTTAAAGACCTTATACACGCATTTTATCTGCTACTACTCTGCCTATCCCTCCATCTCTGCTACAGCTACACTGGCTTTCTTGCTACTTCTCAAACATTTCAACCTTCTGGGTTTAAGCAATCCTTCTGCCTCAGCCTCCCAAGTAGCTGAGACCACATACAGCTAATTTTTGTAATTTTTATAGAGATGGGGTCTTGCCATGTTGCCTGGGCTGGTCTCGAACTCCTGGGCTCAAGTGTGATCCTCTCGCCTCTGCCTCCCGAAGTGTTGGGATGACAGGCATGAGCCACCATGCCAGGCTCCTTTCTCTGTTTTTTAATTGGAATGTATAATCTTGTTATATTTAATATAACTTGTGATATGGTTAAATCTACCATTTAGTATTTGTTTTTTATTTCTCTTTTTTTGTGTTTTGTTCTTTTGTTGTCTCTTTGCTGCATTATTTTAAGTTTATAAATAGTTTTTGGTGTTCCATTTTACATCTACTGTTGGCTTTTTAAGCTGTACTTTATTATTTTTAGCGATTGCTGTGGGGATAGTGATATGCAATTTTAACTTAATGTCTACTTAAAATATTGTATGGTTTTAGTAACTTTACAAAAGGATTATTCATTTTACTCAATTACTATCCTTTGTACTATTGCCACATCATTTATTCATGCATTATATACCTTAACATACAATACTTAAAAAAAAAAGCTGTCTTTTAAGGAAGTTATGAGAAGAGAAAGTAAAAGCTGGTGTTTCATATTTACCAATTTATTACCATTTCTGTTTCACTTTATTCCTTCCAGTATATATGAGTTTCTGTCTCTTATATTCCTTTGGTCTAATGAATATTCTCCAGCATTTCTTGTTTTGCAGGTTTGCTGACAATGAATACTCTCATCTTCTTGTCATATGAAAATCCTCAATTTAAGCTGGGCACAGTGGCTCACTCCTGTAATCCCAGCACTTTGGGAAGCTGAGGCAGGTGGATTGCCTGAGCTCAGGAGTTCGAGACCAGTCTGGGCAACATGGTGAAACCCTGTCTACTAAAATACAAAAAATTAGCTGGGCGTGGGAACATGTGCCTGTAGTCCCAGCTACCTGGGAGGCTGAGGCAGGAGAATTGCTTGAACCCAGGAGGCGGAGGTTGCAGTGAGCTGAGATCACCCCACTGCACTCCAGCCTGGGTGATCAAGCGAGACTCTGTCTCAAAAACAAAAACAAAAAAAATCTTCAATTTAGAAGGATAATTTGCTCTAGAATTCTGGGTGGGCAGTTTTTTCTTTCAACATTGAAAAGATATTGATATTACTACTTTGTATTCTGGCTTCCATTGTTTTGGATGTCACTCGTATTGTTCCTTCCTGAATGTTTTATGGCTTTTCTCTGGCTGCTTTCAAGATTTCCTCTTTTTCTTTGGCCTTTCCCTTTTGACCATGGAGTTTTTAGATATGTTTGTCTTTCTGTTTATCCTCTGTGGCGTTCGCTGAGCTGATTTTCATCAAATTTGGGAAATTGGCCATTATTCCTCAAAACAGATTTTCCAGCCAGTTGTGGTAGCTCACGCCTGTAATCCCAGGAATTTGGGATGCTGAGGTGAGAGGATCACTTTACCCCAGGGGTTCAAGACCAGCCTGGGCAACATAGTAAGACCCCATCTCTACCAGAAAATTTTTTAAAATTAGCCAGGCATGGCAGTGCTTGCTTGTAGTCCCAGCTACTTGGGAGGCTGAGGTGGGAGGATCGCTTGAGGCCAGGAGGTTGAGGCTGCAGTGAGCTGTGATCATGCCACTGTGCTCACTCCAGCTTGGGTGAGAGAGTGAGACCTATCTCCAAAAACAAAAAACACCCCAAGTCTCCTAGGACTTCAGTTACACGTATGTTAGACTATTTGATTTTGTCACAAGGGTCCCTGATGATTGTTCATTTTTCTTGAATTTATTCTCTCCCTCTCTTCTTCACACTGGATACTTTTTATTGATGTGTGTTGATGGTCACATACCCTTTCTTCAGACATCTCCCATTTGCTGCTAAGTCCATCCAGTGACGTTTTTCATTTCAGTTATTGTACTTTTCTAGAATTTCCTTTTTTTCTTTTAGTAGTTTCCATCTATCTGTTGAGATTTCCTGTCAGTTTGTTCACTAAGAACCTATGTTCATTTAAAGGTTTGAATAAATATACAATAGCCCATTTAAACTTTTAGCTCATTACAGCATCTAGATCATCTTGGTGTCAATTTGTATTGAGTACTTTTTTCTTTGCTGTGAGTTAGGCTTTCCTATTTCTTTGAATGCCTGATAATTTTTTATTGTGATTTGGACATTGTGGACAATACACTGTAGAAATTCTAGAAATTTTATCTTCCTCTGAAGACTTGATTGTTCTTGTAGGCATTTAAATTACTGTAAGCTTGTGTATGCTTGGTTTTATGCTTTGTTAGGGAAGATCTGTAGAAAGCCCAAGTCATTTCCCAAGCCTTTCTAAGTTGGTGGTACCCAATTTCTGAACCTTGTTTCTTAGACGATCTTGTCAAGGCTTGGTTTTATTTAGGTTTTGTTAGGACAGGCCTAAGGTACAGCTTACTCCAGGGTATAGTCCTTTAAGGGTGACCTTTCTGGTTTCTCAGGTAGATCCCAGGGAGATTAACAAAGTCTGTCTCCTCTGAAGATAGAATTCAAGCTGAGTTCTTCTAGAAATCCATGACCTCTAGTTCTTCTCTTCCAGTGTCAACTTTATAGCAACGGCAGTCTGCTAAACTTTGTGTAATCTCACCCTGTCATATATAGCCCAGACTTTGACCAAGAACTTGTGAGGAATTCACACATATTCAATATCTTCTCTTCCCTCTATCTACCCTCTGTTCCCCATTCTCATCCTACATCATTCCCTCCATTCCAGTGCCCTGCCCCGTGGATTTCAGCCACTCATGAGCCCACACCGTGATTTTTGCCTCTGCTCTACTTCGCCTCTAGCCCCCTGTTCCAGTTATCATAAAATTGTCTACAGACAGAGAGGTAGGATGATTATGATGCTCTTTAAAGGAATGTAAATTTTTGTCTGCATGTGGTTCAGTGACTGAATATAGTTGCCTCATGTATTTCTGTCTTCTTTTATAGTTTTTGGTGACAAGGGCTAGTCTGGTACCAGTCACTGTGTCCTGGCTGAAAGTGAAAGTCACCTTTGTTCCACCTTCATACATTAATTTTTTTTTTTTTTAAGAAACAGGGTCTCACTGTGTTGCCCAGGCTGGTCTCGAACTCCTGGCCTCAAGTGATCCTCCTGCCTTGGCCCCCAAAGTGTTTAGATTACAGGCATAAGCTACCACACCTGGCTCCACCTTAATATTTTTTATACCCTATTGCAGTTTTGTGTATAGTTAGAGTAGAGTAATTTTAGATTGTTTTTGAAGATACTGTTTAAGAGAGAGTGGCTACTTAAAACCTAGTATCAGATATTTTTATTAAAGAGTAAGATAGTTTATGATGGTAGTTACTTGAATGATATAAGTGAGGTTTCTCTAAAATATTTTCTTAAAGAAATAGCTTTTCATCAGGGTGCAGTGGCCCACGCCTGTAATCTGAGCACTTTGGAAGGCTGAGGCTGGTGGATCGCTTGAGTCCAGGAGTTGGAGACAAGCCTGGGCAACATGGTGAAACACCATCTCATTCATTCATTCATTCATTCATTCATTCATTCATTTTGAGATGGAGTCTTACTCTGTCACCCAGGCTGAAGTGCAATGGCATGGTCTCGGCTCACTGCAACTTCTGCCTCTTGAGTTCAAGCGATTCTCCCACCTCAGCCTCCTGAGTAGCTGGGATTACAGGTGCATGCCACCACACCTGGCTAATTTTTTTGTATTTTTAGTAGTGATGGGGTTTCACTATGTTGGCCAGGCTGGTCTTGAACTCCTGACCTTGTGATCTACCTGCCTCAGCCTCCCAAAGTGCTGGGATTACAGGTGTGAGCCACCGCACCTGGCCCCCATCTCCATTATTTAAAAAAAAAAAAAGGGAGAGAGGAAGAGAGAAGGGAAAGAAGAAAAGGAAGGGAAGGAATAGCTTTTCTTAGAATTGGACTTTTGAATTAAGATTTTGTGTGGATAAACTTGAGAGCAGATATTCACAATTCTAAATTTATATTAAAAGTAGGGAGATTTAAAAAAATATATTGATGCCTCATTCCTATTCCAGGCTAGTTAGATAAGAATCTTATATTATGGCCTGGATATAAAAAATTGTTTTTACAATCTTTTAAGAATACTGGTAAATCATCCCAGGTAGTTTGCATTATTCATAGCTTTAAAAGAACCTTTGCTGAAACTCACTTTTTTAGTTCTTCCGTAAATTCTTCTAAGAGTTTTTTTTTTCTTTTTTTTTCTTTTTTTTTTTTTTTTTGAGACAGAGTCTTGCTTTGTCGCCCAGGCTGGAGTGCAGTGGTGCGATCTTGGCTTACTGCAACCTCCACTTCCTGGGTTCAAGCTATTCTCCTGCCTCAGCCTCCCAAGTAGCTGGGATCACAGGCGCCCACCACCACGTTCGGCTAATTTTTGTATTTTTAGTAGAGACAGTTTCACCATATTGGCCAGGCTGGTCTCAAACTCCTGACCTCAGGTGATCCACCCACCTCGGCCTCCCAAAGTGCTGGGGTTATAGGAGTGAGCCACCATGCCCGACCCTAAAAATTCTTTCAGATGCAATCCAAGTAGTTGAAGAATCTGAATACATTTTTTGTAGAAGTGATAAGTAAATACATATCTACTGTCAGTCCTCTTAGGGAGCTAGATTCAGAGCTATGGCAACAAATAAAGATTTCCTATCCAAGCATAATTTTTTCATGGGGTACACTTATTGTCAGACAAAATGGTTTGTTTATTGAACTTCACTCAACAAATGAGTATTCATTGATCTCATTTGTTCGGTAGATATTCAAGTACTCATCGTATACCAGGTACCTTGCTAGGTGATAGCTATACAATAATGAAAAAATGTGCTCTGTCCTTGCTATCTTGGAGTTGTGTAGTCTGTATGAGACTGATACTGAGTATTTGGTTCCGTAATAGTTCATCCCTTGAGTATTCTTTAAAATTTGAATTAATTCATTTGGGTATTGCTGAAACATAGCCTCATTAATTTTCATATTATAGTTTCTGATCCTATTAGGATATCAAACTATCTGAAGAGCCCATAGGTTCAATGAGTCAGTTACCCAGCAGAATCATTGCTTATGGCTAGAAGGAGAATAATTCCATATGGCTAAGAGTTAACTTGAAAGAGAAGAATATCAGGAGAGAAGACTTGAGGAAGAAACACATTCAGAGTCGTTAGTTTCACAGATAAAAGTTACCCATTTGGCAAAGAGGGCAGATGGGTTGAGAAGTATCCCATGTGAAAATTTTATTAAATGGCAAAATTATTGCAAAGAATAAAACCAATTGGTCATTTTCCTTTGCAAAAATGCAGCTTTACCTCTGATTATTTACAGCTCATCTGTTATCTCTCTGTGCATGCCTAGTTCCTATCTTTGAAATAATTGTACGTTGTCATCACGTCTTCAAGAGTTCCCTTCTGTGCATGTATCCAATGTAGAATGTTTAGCCACTTAACGTCCTCTCTATCACATCACCCTATTCAAATTTTTGTTTTCTCCTTAATTAAAATGTAAGGAAAGGAAGAACAGGACCTTATTTTACCTTATTTACTGTGGTATCCCTACCCTTTGAATATTTCTTGGCAAATAGGCAAATTTAGTTCATATAAATAATGACTACATACTTTTTTATTTTTAAGGGGATGAGGTCTCACTCTGTCACCAAGGCTGGAGAGCAGTGGTGTGGTCATAGCTCACTGCAGCCTCAAACTCTTGGACTAAGGTGATCCTCTCAAGTAGCTGGAAGCACAGGCATGTGCCACCACCCCCAGTCATTTTTTAAAATGTTTTGTCCAGACAGGGTCTCGCTTTATTACCCTGGCTGGTGTTGCACTTCAGGCCGCAAGCGATCCTCCCACTTCAGCCTCCGAAATTGTTGCGGATTACGGGGTGAGCCACCATGCCTGGCCTTTGTATTTTAAGAGTCTTAAAAGTCTTTTAAGAGTCACAAGATACGTAATTTATACACAGAAGTATACCTAAAGAAACTGTGTAAAGAATAACAAAGATGTCTTTAAAAATGTGCGTTGTGATTGTGTCTTTCAATCAGTAATCTCCTCACATATTCCATGTGTTGCATTCTTTGTTGGTCCTTCTTCTGGAATTCCAGTTAGATGTATGTTAGACTCCCCTCAATCCATTCTCCATTTCTCTTAATGTTTGTATTCCCCCCCTTTTTTTACATTGAAAATGCAAAACAGGGAGACACTTTTCTCTGAACAATCTCAGTTCACAAATACTCTCTTTATGTCTAAACTGCCATTAAAACCCATCCATTATAATTTAAATATTTTAAATCAGCCAGCTCCTCCCCCTTTTAAAAACTTTATTTTTAGATAGCAAAAAAAGTTCAAAGAGGTCTTTTGTATACTTCATCTAAAATTTTAAATAGTTGCCTGAACATTTTAGCTGTGTTTTATTCTTTAAATAGAGTACATGTATTTATTTTGCCTCTGTTAGTGAGTCAGTTCTTCCTGTTATTTCTGTTGATTCTTGCTTAGGGTGCTGTTTTTCCTTATATATGTAGTCTTTTAAAACTATGAACTTTCCTCTTTCCTTGAAAAATTATGCAATTTTTTTTTTTTTGGTCTAAAATTAAGATACTTTCTTTCCACAATAAAGGATTGAATTTCCTGTTGCTATTGCCTAGAAGCACTACCAGTTTCCGACAGTTAAATTTCCGGAATGAAGTTTTGAACCACCAAGATGATGTGCACTTGGTCTGAAAATTCACATGTGAAGTGTTTTGTGGATACAACTTCTGAGGGTCTCCCCCCTCCTCTTCCACAGAATCATTGTTATTGTCATTCAGTCTTTTTGAGGTGATAGAGGGGCAGGTTACTCTTAGTATACCCTTATGTTAAGGTCATAACACTTTTGGATCTCTGCTTTGTAGTGGTATAGGTTTTAGATCTCTGCTTTGTGGTGACGGACTGTGAATCCATCATCACAGTCAAAATAGTGAACATCTTTATCACTCCTAGTAGTTTCACCTTCATGTTAACTTTTCTGGATAAATAATTCAAGGCTGAAAGTTTTCTTTAAGTAGTTTAAAGATGTTGCTCCACTCTCATTGTTTCCATCAAGAAATCTGTTTTATTTTTGTTCATTTGTATACAGTGTATCTTTTTTCTCTTCTGGTTGCTTTTAATATTTTCTCTTTATCACTGGTTTTAAACAGTTTGGAAATTATATACCTTAGTGTAGTCTTCTGAATGTTTCTTGTGCTTGGGGGATGTTGAGCTTCTTAGAGCTATAGATCATCAAATTTGAAAAACTTTTATCCGTAACTACTATTTCTAATATTTTTTCTCTTCCTCTGTTTTTCTCCTTTGGGGATGCCAATTATACATGTATTAATGTACTAATGACTTTTCACTGCTCACTGTTTTTTTTTTGATGGAGGGCTTCATTTTGGGTAGGATTAACAGAGATTAGATTTTTTTTTTTTTTTTTTTTTTTTTTTTGATACAGAGTCTCTCTCTGTCGCCCAGGCTGGAGTGCCGTGGCGCAATCTTGGCTCACTGCAATCTCCACCTCCCAAGTTCAAGTTCTCCTGCCTCAGCCTCCTGAGTAGCTGGGATTACAGGCATGCACCACCACACCCAGCTAATTTTTGTATTTTTAGTAGAGACGGGGTTTCACCATGTTGGTCAGGCTGGTCTCAAACTCATGACCTCGTGATCTGCCCACCTCGGCCTCCCAAAATGCTGGGATTACAGGCGTGAGCCACTGTGCCCAGCCAGAAGATTAGATATTACAGGAGAAAAGATAAATGATTTTGAAGACAGCAATAGAAAGTGACATCCTGTTCTAATGAAGTCTTAGGTAATTGAAATATCAGGTGATGTCACTGTGATTTTTGAGATTTAATTAGAGTTAGCTTTTGCTCCCTGTTCTATTTATGTGAGGATTTTAATGTCTTTCTCATACTTTATAGAAATTTCTACCCTTTCAGATTTTCCTCACAGTTGCTCACATTTCCTACTCTCTGTCCCTTTCCTGAACTCTTATGGTTGTTATCATCTCCCCTTCATATAGAGCTTTAAATAAGGAACAATATACATTTGCAACAAGATAAATTCTAACAGTATAAATCCTTTAAAATTACTGCTAAGAATAACAGTGATAGCAAGCATTAAATCCTTAGTATGCCTTAAGTGCTTTGCTTTGTGTGTTTTGACCAGTTTAATTCTTAGGACAGTCCTGTGCATGTATATATGATGATTGTTCTGTATTTTACTGGAGAAGAAGTGAGACACAGAGGGTTGTCAAAGTCATCTAGCTTTTAACTATGAAAATAGTAGTAGTATCTAAGTCATTAAGTTTTTCTAAAGGTTAAATGAGAGAATGCATGTTAAGATACTTAGCCCAGTGCCTGAAAATGTAGTAAGTTATCAGAATAGGCTATTGCCATCTATAGATTGAGAAATGTTTAGATAAAGTATGATGTTTGGAGTTTTCTTCACAGTAGTCTAAGGGATGGAGTGAGTGGGTGTATAGATAAAATCAGCTATGAATGGATACTTCTTGAAAATGGGTGATCGATTCAGTGGAATTAGACTTCTAATACATGTTTGAAATTTAATGTAATTTAAAAAAATGGAATAACTGAAGAAAAATGAAACTGGGTTTTATTAAAAAGGTTCTCTTATTCAGTTTGGATATAAAGCACTATGATGCATTTTTCCCTAGATGTGCCAAAATCAAAACTTAATATATACAGTGACAATTACTAAGAATAGTACTGTATCACTTGGCAAGTAGAGTAGTAGGGCACAGGACTTAGTAAGACCATAATGTACATTCAGAAGTTTGAAGTTATTAGCTAAGTGATTCTCAGCCTTTTAAAAAACACCCATCCATGTATATTTGTATGCATGTTGCCCAGACTGGCCTTGACCTGGGCTCAAGTGGTCCTGTTACATCAGCCTCTTCAGCCTCCCGAATACCTGGGACTTACAGGTGTGGGCCACTGTGCCCAGCAAAAAACACCCTTTTATTATTTATCTCCTACCCTTTACTCATGAGCACCATATTTTCATAAACTTCTTACAAAACTGTATTAAATATAATTTATATCTCAATAATTTAAAAAAGCTAAGCATGCTGATTAATTCTGATCAAAACCAGATAATTTTACCAGGTTTATATAATTCTAGCCAGAAGCACAAAAAGTTTTACTTAGTCTGTCCTAACTAAATCCTGGGCATACATCATTTTTACTTTATTTTACCTATTTTGAAATATGGAGAATAGTTCATTGTGACTAAGAAAGCCCACAAGAATTACTACTTTAGACTGGGTGCGGTGGCTCACGCCTATAATCCCAGCACTTTGGGAGGCCGAGGTGGGTGGATCATGAGGTCAAGAGACTGAGACCATCCTGGCCAACATGGTGACGCCCCATCTCTACTAAAAATACAAAAATTAGCTGGGTGTCGTGACTCATGCCTGTAGTCCTATGTACTCGGGAGGCTGAGGCAGGAGAATCGCTTGCACCCAGGAGGTACAAGTTGCAGTGAGCCGAAATCGTGCCACTGTACTCCAGCCTGGCAACAGAGCGAGACTCCGTCTCTAAATAAATAAATAAATACTACTTTAAAATGCAAGATTAAAATCTAAGAAATTACTTTGAAGTATTTATGTATTAATCAAAACTACATTTAGTTCATTTGTTGGTTATTCTTTCCCCACATTTCAGCTGTAATTTTGATTAAAGAAAATTCAGTTTACCTAGGTATATCATATTTAGGAAAATAGTGTGTGTTTGCTTGTTTCTTGTTCACATGAATGTAACAAGATATATTTAGAAACAGGACTTTGAAAAATATTTATTTTGGGATAAGGGGAATTTGTACATGGTTAAATTTTATGAATTAGAATTTTGTGAATTTTGATACTAGTTAACCTTTCTATCAAATGCGTATATGTTGACATCATCAAATTCTTCAAAAAGATTGTTTTTCATCACAATGTAAATAAAGCTAAGTCAAAAGGGTTAACATGGAATCCTCATATTTCTGCTTTATTTGTTCAGATTTAACATAGTAATAGTTTTTATTGGATGTAGAGAAATCATAGTATGTGGGATAAATCAAATGTTGCTCTTTCACGAAGGAACAAACTTCGGGTCCCCTATCTAACAGTAAAGCCTCTTTAAAAGCCTCTTGCCAGGAGTGGTGGCTCACGCCTGTAATCCCAGCACTTTGGGAGGTCGAGGTGGGCGGATCATCTGAGGTCAGGAGTTTGAGATCAGCCCGGCCAACATGGCAAAACCCCATCTCTACTAAACATACAAAAATTAGCCAGGCATGGTGGTGTATGTCTGTAGTCCCAGCTACTCGGGAGGCTGAGGAGGAGAACTGCTTGAACCTGGGAGGTGGAGGTTGCAGTGAGCTGAGATTGCGCCACTGCACTCCAGCCTGGACGACAGAGCGAGACTCCGTCTCAAAAACAAACAAAAAAACTCTCTGAAAATATTCACGTGCTTTTTTGTGCTATTAGTATCTTTTTTTTTTTTTTTTTTTTTTTTGAGACAGAGTCTCACTCTGTCACCAGGCTGGAGTGCAGTAGTGTGATCTTGGCTCACTGCAATCTTCGCCTCCCCAGTTCAAGCAATTCCCCTGCCTCCGCATCTCAACTAGCTGGGACTACAGGTGCACACCACCATGCCGGGCTAATTTTTTTGTATTTTAGTAGAGACAGGGTTTCACCATGTTGTCCAGGATGGTCTCGATCTCCTGACCTCGTTATCCACCTGCCTCGGCCTTCCAAAGTGCTGGGATTACAGGTGTGAGCCACCACGCCTGGCCTGTGCTATTAATATCTTATACAAGTTATAATGTTGCTCAACATTGTAGACAGTTGAGCTTTAAAAATGTTCTCCTTAAAAATGGTTAAATTGGGCTGGATGTGGTGGCTCGTGTCTGTAATCCTAGCATTTTGGCCGAGGCAGGAGAATCACTTGAGACCAGGAGTTCAAGACCAGCTTGGGCAACATGGCAAGACTTCATCTCTACAAAAAAGTAAAAAAAAAAAAAAAAAAAAAAAAAAAAGCGGGTGTCTATAGTCCCAGCTACTCGGGAGAATGATGCAGGAGGATTGCTTGGGCTTATGAGTTTGAGGCTGCAGTGAGCCGTGATGGTTCCAGTGCATTCCAGCTTGGGTGATAGAGTGAGACCCTGACTCAAAAAAAAGTTCAGACGGATAAATTTTACTACGTATATTTTACCACAATAAAGTCAGTGCACCAGCAGTTTTCTATAACAGAAATTCCCATATTGATCTACATTTTCTCTCCTACTGTCCTCCATTCTTCTTGTACCTCTTGTATCCCACTACTAAGTAAACTTCCCTTTATCTTAACAAACTTTCCTTTATGTTAACAATTTCATAGTCTTTCCTCTTGTCTGCCTTAGCTGAGACTTTCATTGAAGAAACAATGGACATTTAGATGCTCATAGTATTATTACTTTTGTGATTTTAGTGCCCATATAGACAATTACACAGTAATTGTGAACTCATTTCCAATGATTTGTTTCTTGACTGTGCCTTAGCTAGGCATTTAGTTTTCAGGTTGTACCATGGACCTTGCCATAACTGACACATAACCTCTCAAATCTGCTGATCTCACTGATAAAGTCAGTTCCAGCTTGTTTGTTTGGCTGTACCAACCAGTACTGTACCCTGATCTCTGATATGAGTTACTGTCTTAGAGTTTTAGCTGGTCTTTCCCTTCTATTCCCTTCTTTGGGTCTTTTATATTTCTGTTTGATGATTTTCCTAGAATGTAAATGTGATTATTACATTCTGGTTAGAATTCTTCAGAGGTTTTCCATTACTTAGAGAATTAAATGCACAAATAGTGTGCTATACTTGGCCCTTCACAGTTTGCCTCTGGATTTTATCAGTTATTGTCTCATATTCTGACTTTTGTATATTTTTCTTTGGCCATATTGAAGTATTTATGTGTGGATTTTATCAGTTGTTGTCTCATATTCTGACTTTTGTATATTTTTATTTGGCCATATTGAAGTATTTACATGTCTCAAACATGCCTCTGTACCTAGCATAAGATGCTGTTCTTCTCTGCTGTGCTTTTCTTGGTATTGAGGCCGATTTAGGCAGTGGTTTCTTGTAAATTATATATACGTGAATTATATCTCTTGTCACAGTATGGTATCATTTTGTATTTGTGACTATTTGTTAGTAGTACAAACAATAATGGATTCTTTAGTCCATGTAAAAAGGACATAGAAAAAAACTAAATAATATTTGTTGACTTAATAACTTAAAAACCTAATAAATAATTTACAAAAAGGAAATAAAAGTAGCAAAGAAAACTATTATTCTAGCTTCCTAGTAGCCAAAGAAATGTTATTAGAGTCTATATTTGCACTATTATGATTAGAAAATTTTAACATATAGCATTCATGCTGACAAAGTAAAACTGGTGTTGATGTGATGTTTTTTATTGATTTAACCCTTGTGGAAAGTTTGACAGTACATGGCATCCAGAACTGAAAAATTATTTTAAGTGTAATTATAAAGACAAGATAAAGAATAAAAGTCAGATGTAAATTTGCATGTTCATTATTATTATAATTGCATTTAAAAATGCATAGTTAGGCCACATGCAGTGGCCCACTCCTGTAATCCTAGCACTTTGAGAGGCCAAGGCAGGAGGATTGCTTGAGACCAAGAGTTTGAGACCAGCCTGGGTAACATAGACCTTGTCTTTATTAAAAAATAAGTAAATAAGTACATGTATAATTAAAAGATTAAGGAACTATATATTACAGTGGTAGCAGTAATTTTGTGATGTTGGAACTATGGGTGATTTCCCTTCCTTTTATAGTATTTTCTATAATGTGGTTACGCTTTATGATTTAAAATGTATACAACTTATGCCAATATTTGAATTTTTAAAAAGATGTAATCCTGAATCAACACTCTAATATAAGAGCACTCAACCATTATCTGAGTAATTTTTTTCTTTCATAATGGCCTTTCAGGGTCAGAGTTGGAGGGAGATGGGTGATTGCCAGTTAAAAGTTGCTGTTGAGATAAGGTATGAGTGGCCAGCATAGAGTTGATCACTTAATTAAGGTTTCAAGATTGACTCATTTAGCTGTTCTTTATTTCCAAAATCTTAATCATAAATGTTTTGTTTTAAATGTAGTTTTGTTTTGGTTTTAAGGTATCAGTTTTTGGAAGAAGCTTTTCAAAATCAGAAGGGTGCAATTGAGAATCTACTGGCGAAACTTCTTGAGAAGAAGAATTATGTTCATTTTGCAGCTACTCAGGTGCAGAATAGGTAAGTTTGTTGCCTTAAAACCATAATTTTAAGAATTACTAAAAAGAAGTGGGTCCAGTTTAAATCTGTTTTTCTGCTATATTAAGCATATAAAGAAAACATTTTTTTGAGGGGGAAATGGTATGAATTTGGGATTATAATATTTGTCAATTAAACAAAATTTAATTGACCAAACTCTTGTATACCCTTTTAGGACACATCTTTGTCTATTTTAATAAGACTGTGGTCTGTGTTAAACCTTAAATGTGGAAACAAATAAATTAATATGGAGAGAGTTGACTTATAAAATTTAAAGTGGAGATTGTGTGGAAGATACAGTATAGAGAAGAGAGTATCACGGGTGGACCAATTATTTCCCCATTTGTAAAACAAGCATTGAAAACAGTGCTTATCTTAATGAGTAGCATTATAAGATGAATACATGATATAGTTTCTGGTACATAGTAAGCAGTTAGATTTTAGCTGTTGCTATTGTATTTATAATTATCATCACCATTTATTATTTAAAAAGTATTCTACTTTGGTATATTTCTAAGTAAATTTATTGATAAGTGAGAGTAGGTTCCATAAGAGAGCAGATTAACAAAGTTATGACTCTTACACCAGAAAGACAAACACTTTGAGCTGGCATAATTAAAACTAAAATTCTTCGGGGTATGAATAAGGTTAATATGTGTTTATAGACTCAAAAATATTAGGACTTCTAATGAATATTAAAGTTCATTAATTTATGATTAAAATGACACATAGTAGATGCTCAAAAGTATTAAATAATTGAATGAATGAATGAATGAAAATAGTACTTTACACATGGTAGAACTTTTTTTTTTTGAGACGGAGTCTCGGTCTGTCGCCCAGGCTGGAGTGCAGTGGCACAATCTCTGCTCACTGCAAGCTCCACCTTCTGGGTTCACGCCATTCTCCTGCCTCAGCCTCCCGAGTAGCTGGGGCTACAGGCGCCCACCACCATGCTCGGCTAATTTTTTGTATTTTTAGTAGAGACGGGGTTTCACCGTGTTAGCCAGGATGGTCTTGATCTCCTGACCTCGTGATCCGCCTGCCTCAGCCTCCCAAAGTGCTGGGATTATAGGCCTGAGCCACTGTGCCCGGCCAGAACTTTTTATCTTAAGTAACACCAAAAGAAAATAAAAGGCTCCTTAGAGCTTGTAGATTGTACACACACACACACTCCATTGGTGGGTTTTTGTTTTTGGAAATGTTCAGTTGTTTTAGGTTAAACTGGTGATACAGTTGATTTGGAGAAGACTGTTTCTCAGAAATGATAGATGGATGTCTCTTTCAAAGGAAATGTAGTGAGTTGATTCATATGGCAGTCCCATATTTTTATACAGATGTTTTGTGTGTACATTGTATAAGTATTTTTTAAATATATTTTGTACACGTGTTCCAGAATCTGTATACAAAAGTAGGGCAAGAGGTTTACCTGTTACAAGATTGCACGGGGTTGAGGAGATTGATTTCATCTGTAGAAAGTTTTTAAAAAAACAGTATTAAAATCTCTGATAACTTCCCCTTTTAGACACATTTTTCACTGACCTATCTCCATTATTTTTTAATGTACATTTTTTTCTTTCTTCAAAACTGAACATACAGTAGACTTAATTAAATCCAATAGGAGTCTGACTGAGACTAACTACTCTCTAACTACTCTCTGTTTTCAGCATGCTTAGTGATTTCTATCTTCAGCCCAATCATTTTATATTTGAAACCTATATTTCTTATCACTAGTTATTAGTACCTTTATATATTAAAAATATCTTCCACTCACCTTAGTAAGATAAGGACAAAACTCAAAATTTTCAAGTAAGTGCCAAACGATGTACAGAGAAGGAAAAAAACTACATTATTTCTTGGAGTGTATTAAAGTTAACTAAATTCGAACTTGGCAAATGAAAGGCAGTTTAGGAGCTGAAAGCATGGGTTATAGTTTTTACAGAAGTAGAATGTATAAAAATTGAAGCTATGTCTTATGGTTGGTCGTTGACATTTTATATATTTATAGTGGTGGGATTATCCACTTCCTGTTTTGTAAATACCAAAGTATCAGCCACTTCATATTTGCACCTAAAACTTCCATAACTGCTTTGAGTGCTTACACCTACTTATAAAACATCTAAAGCTATTCTTAAAAATGGATTGAAAATGTTTTATGCCCTTTACTGTATACAAAGGGAAACCATATTAAGAGTAATTTTGAAGGGAGTGTATCAGAACCCATGTTTGAAGTGGCTAAGTTATAAATGAAAATAAATGCTTCTATGTTTAACTATTATCCTTTCAAAAGATAATTATTGCTTGTGACATTGTCCTTTTGCACATTGTTCTTGGAAAACGTCAAGGTTAAACAGAACCAATGTGCCACATTTGACACTATCCAGAAGTCACTGGTGTTTGTGCATCACATTCATGTCATAGTTACTTAAGTAGATTGCCATCCAGCTTAATAAACTGTCCTTTATGAGCATAATTTAAAATTACTAAATATTAGTTTCATTATTTGTCTATGTACATAACTTGTTTGGACCAAATTGGTCAGGTCTGCTGAAACATGAGTTGTACATTTTGACAAAGTTTTCATTTTAATTACTCGGTTAAGTGCCCAGTTGGATGAATTTCTGTAACAGTTGATGATTCAGAGACCTAGGATAAGTTGATAACCTAATGATGCATTTCTCTTATTCAGGATAAAAGAAGTAAATGAGACTAACAAACGAGTAGAACAGGAAATTAAAGTGGCCATTTTCACCCTTATCAATGAAATTAATAAGAAAGGAAAATCTCTCTTACAACAGCTAGAGGTATGGTTCAAAGCCAAAATAAAACAAAAACTGCTTCTCTTGCTCTTTAGCTGTTTTTAATGTTTATTGAAAACTATTTTAGATGGATTGGGGGGTATGGAAATAAAGGAAAACGTAAAATAAGGTTTTTAAAATTTACTTTTGGAAGAGACCTTTTCTAGTTAGTTACTTTGCGGCCCAATTTAATAACACTGACTTTAGCTGTATACCTTAGGAAATAGTGATGTCCTCTTAGAAATCAAATAATTGTTACTAAGACTGGGTATGGTGACTCACACCTGTAATCCCAACACTTTGGGAGCCCAAGGCAGACAGATCGCTTGAGCCCCGGGATCCAGCCCAGCCCAGGCAACATGGCGAAACCTGCCTCTACAAAAAATACAAAAATTAGCCAGGGTGGTGGCATGCACCAGTAGTCACAGCTACTCAGGAAACTGAGGTGGGAGGATCGACTGAGCCCGGGAGGTCAAGGCTGCAATGAGCTGTGATTGTGTCCTGCACTCCAGCCTGGGCAACAGAGTGAGACCCTGTCTCCAAAATGAAAAACAGAAAAAGAAAAAAGAAATGTTACTAAAATGTGATGTACGTAAAGGCAAAGTAGTCCCACCACATTTCTTCCCCACCCCCTTAAGATGGGGCCTCAATTTAATTTTACCATATAGATTCATGTTGGGCTTCTGCTTGAGTCATTTGTGTATTTTACCTTATTTTAAAAATATTTCCATAGTTTTGCAGAAAATGCTGCTCTTTTTGAAATTTATAAACCTTAAACTTAGTGAAAATTTTGTGATATTAGGTATTTATATTGCATATTTTGAAGTTTATTTGTAGGTGTAAGTTTCTAGATGAAAATCTAGTCAGTTCATGAAATCTAAATTTTTAATCAAAGTCTCCACTGCCGATTTGATTTATTTTTAGCAAATTTCAAATAGGAGTTTTCTGGGAAATTGAAGTTTCAGAAAGAGAAATGTTTCCTGATTGAAAATTTCATGCTCTGGAAAGTTGAAATTTTGGAAAGAGAAATATTTTCTGATTGAAGATTTCATGCTCTTAACTAGGTTCAGATGATATGGGGATTATTTTTTCTGCACCATTGAATAGTAATAATGAAATGATTTATTTGATTATTTCCATTAACCTCAAATTGTCAATAGTTTTTTTTTTTTTCTGTCCCATCTCTTCATAGAATCCTTTAAAAATATTAGGTGAATAATTACATAAAAATGAAATGATGTCAGTAGAATGTTATCTCTGAATGGAATACATCTTTCCAGTGAAACACAATTTGTGAGATTAAAAGTACTCTTGGCCGGGTGCGGTGGCTCACGCCTGTAATCCCAGCACTTTGGGAGGCTGAGGTGGGTGGATCACAAGGTCAGGAGTTCGAGACCAGCTTGGCCAACATGGTGAAACCCCATCTCTACTAAAAAAAAAAAACAAAAATTAGCCAGGCGTGGTGGTGTATGCCTGTAATCCCAGCTACTCAGGAGGCTGAGGCAGGAGAATTGCTTGAACCCGGGAGGTGGAGGTTGCGGTGAGGCAAGATTGCGCCTCCGCACTCCAGCCTGGGCGACAGAGCGAGACTCCGTCTCAAAAAAAAAAAAAAAGTACTCTTGTGCAGATTGTTAAAGTTGTGGGTCCCTTTTCCTACTGTACACCAGTCTGTTGCATTTAACCCTAATAGGTTTTTCCCCCCAAAAGGACCCATGTGAATAGAGAGCACTTAGTAACTATTTTTGATACACTTAAACTTACTGTAATACATTTGAGCTGTACGTCTAAAATAGTATTTGTAAAACCATTTCAAGAGTTTCTGAATTAAAAGATGCTTCTTAAGATCCCTTGAGCCTGGGAAGTGGAGTTTGCAGTGAACCAGGATTGCACCACTGCACTCCAGCCTGGGGGACAGAGTGAGACTCTGTTAAAAAAAAAAAAGCCTCTTAAGGCTAAAGTGTATACAAATACCTAATGGTAAATACGCCACATACTACTAACATGATGATAAATTTAAAATAGATGTTTTCTAGTGTAATATGTTCTTATACTTTGTAGAAGAAACGTTTTTCTAAGCTTTATAAAAGAAATGTAGTAAACCATACTTCTCTCAGTTGAATACTCTTATCCATTGATTTACATTATAAAATGAACAGCTTCTTTCCTTAGGAAAAATATTGTCCAGAAAAACCAACTTGAGTCATTTTTGGGAGAAAGTTCTTAAGAAAGTAGTAGATGAGTTGTTCAGCATGCTGAATGTCAAAAGTATGTAGGACATTACCCATCCCTCCTGGGGTGATTTTAGTTCCCATAAAGCAGTTTATTTTTCCTTTGCAGTGTTTCTCTGAAATTGGTTTTTGCAGTTTGGTCAGTCCTTACTTCTTTGTTCTCTGTGAACTTCTGTGATATCAAAAGTTTCCCTAATTCTACTCTTAGAACTCTGGAAGTTATCTTTTTCATTTTGTCTTATATATTTAAGAGAGATTTTAACTTCATTCTCATGCCATACCAGGAGGTGGCACTGGTGACACAAAATTTTTTTGGCCTTTAAAGTATATTAAGATTACATAAATTTATTTCTAAAGTTAGCTCCTTATGCTATAAATACCATATATTAGATTAATCTAATAGGAAGACACTATTTTTAACAGACATGTTGATAGAAAAGTGACATTAACTAACATTCATTTCTATATGTGGAATATCCTTTTTAGCTTAGAGAACTGACTTTTAGTCCCACTTTTGTTAGTGGCTTTTCCTCTGATGATAGGCTTGCTAAATAATCATGGAGCTTATTCACTTAGCCCATTTTTAAAGGAAGTATAGGTATTGTGCCCATTTGCATTAGAAATGTGGGGTTGATTTTTTTTCATATGGAATTCTACAGCGAAGCTCTTGTTCTGTTTCAGAATGTTACAAAGGAAAGACAGATGAAGTTACTACAGCAGCAGAATGACATCACAGGCCTTTCCCGGCAGGTGAAGCATGTTATGAACTTCACAAATTGGGCAATTGCAAGTGGCAGCAGCACAGCACTACTATACAGCAAGCGACTGGTGAGACACATACTGTTTTTATTTTTCTTTAATGGACTTTATTAAGATATATATTCAGTGAATTGCACCTGTTTAAAGTATACATTTTAATTTTGGCAAATGTAACCACCACCACATCAAGATACAGAAAACTTCCACCACCCCCCAAAGTTTCCTCATTCCACTAGGCAGCCACTAATCTGATTTCTGTCATTTTTTAGAATTTCATATAAGTGGAATTATATAGTATGTACTCTTTTGAAGATACCTAGTATCTTAATGCACTTTATTACCCAAAATGGCAGAAATTCAAGTATGTATATTTGATTTGATTGCTAATTTAAATGTTGATGCTGCCTAATCTGAGGCTGACACTGTGGGAATATATGTGCTTTTTTTTCTTAATGTCTTTATCTTATGATTTCCCAATTGATATTTAATTTTGAGACTAATGTGGATTTTTTTCCCTTTAAGATTACTTTCCAGTTGCGTCATATTTTGAAAGCACGGTGTGATCCTGTCCCTGCTGCTAATGGAGCAATACGTTTCCATTGTGATCCCACCTTCTGGGCAAAGAATGTAGTCAATTTAGGTGAGAAATAATGAGTTTTATGAATATAACTTGGAACACTGAATTAGAAGGAGAAAATACTTAAAGCAAATTTAGATAAAATTTTTAACTTTATAAAACTAATGTTTTACATTTTATGTAAAAATATGTTGTTATTCATTGGAAACTCACTTTAGCTGTGGTTTTGTGTGGCTGTTATTACATCTTAAGAAAGTTGAGCGTCTACTCTGTATATTGTTTTTTAATGTGTGCTGTTTCTAGTCCCCCGACCCTCCATCTTTTAAATTTATATTGACTGTTTCATATAGAAATCTTAGCAAATGATTCATTGTCTGGAATAATTTCATAGATTTTTAGTTGTTTAATTAAGCCAAATTGTGCATTAGCAACAGACTTTTAGGATGCTAATGTGTCCAGTAGTTAGGTCCTGAGGAATGTTTGAAAGATAAGAGTAGCTCTTTTCACATGGAAGAGAAATGGATTTTCCTTTTGTTACAGCGTAGTATGGACCTAAAGACCATAGATGAAAGTTACAGAGAGCTCAGTTAAAACACATGCACACAAACTTCCTAGCAATTAGAGAGCTATTTACAGATTGAGTAAACTCACTTTCAGAACAGTTAAGTCCTAAACAGTGGGAATTGTAAAAGCAGAGGCTGGTTGCCCTTTTTTTTTAAAAAAAAAAAAAAAGTAATCTTTGCATATAATAAAAAAAAATTATATTCAAATTTAGCTATAGCCTTAGTTCTGACATCAGCCAGCTGTTTTTGTGTGACGTAGTAGCTAAGAATGGTTTTTACATTTTCAACTGGTTGTAAAAGCAAACAAAAACCAAGGACTGTGAGACAGATCTTATGTGGCCTGCCAAGCATGAAATATTTACTCTATAGCCCATTACAGGGAAAGCCTGTCAACCTGTGCCTTAAATCACATCTTCCTAAAATTTGGCTTCTATCCCTAGAAGGCAATGGCTCCATAAAAAGCAAGGAAAACCATCACGTCTAAGGATATAAGTTGTTTAAAGCATTCAGTATTTCCACAGAAGACGATTTTGTGACATTGTAATGCTCTGCCTTGCATATTTTGGCAATTCAAAGGCAGATGGAATCAGTATTGGCAATCTTGAGTATCCTTGAGTAAGTCTTGTCATGGGAGAATTGATTTAGATTGATTAGATAGGCCTCTTCTAATAGATAATCTCTTTTACTGTCTTAATTTTCTGTATGTCTAAGTAAAAAAGAATAAGGACAGAGAGTATATTTTTCTGAATAACCAAACGTCATTTATTCAGCTTTGGAATGTATTAAGTTTCTGATCATCATCATCATCTTTAAACTGACTCCATTCCCTGCTGTACTGTTGGAGCTTTGAGGTGCTGATAGTTGTCAGAGGAAAGAGGAAAACATGGTGATTACTCAACAAAGTAGATGATTTAGTTGATTATATGCAAATTCTCATTTTTTAAATTTTTCAGGTAATCTAGTAATAGAGAGTAAACCAGCTCCTGGTTATACTCCTAATGTTGTAGTTGGGCAAGTTCCTCCAGGGACAAACCACATTAGTAAAACCCCTGGACAGATTAACTTAGCACAGCTTCGACTCCAGCACATGCAACAACAAGTATATGCACAGAAACATCAGCAGTTGCAACAGATGAGGATGCAGCAACCACCAGCACCTGTACCAACTACAACAACAACAACACAACAGCATCCTAGACAAGCAGCCCCTCAGATGTTACAACAACAGGTAAGTATCGTGTTACTACATTATTGATAGAAATTATGAAGCCCTCAACACTACACTTTTTCCTATATAATTAAGTTACACATTTCAAAGTTACTAGCAAGACTGAGCAGAGTTCAAAAGTCAGAGTTTAAATATTTGCTATGGTTATGATGGTGATGTAAGGGAGCTGTGAAGAAAGGCAGTAAGTAAATTGTCTTGGGAAACAAAATTAATTCACTAATACTCTGAAAGGATGTAAGTTCTCATCCTTTCACATCAAATCTTTTTTGTTTTCCACGTATAATTTTGTGGACCAAAGGACCAGACTGTTTCTGCCTAGGATCTGATATGTTCCTTAGGCATTTGTTCAGATCTTTCCTATACCTGTGTGTCTTTTGCTCTCTCCACTGCCATCCCAATCAAAACTATTACTCCAGGATGGGATACGTTAATGTTGATACGCTTTAAACACACATATAGAGAAAAAGAGGGGGAACAGGTAAGAGAGAGAGAGAGAGACAAGGGAAATTAGGGAGTGATATACAAACTAGTCATTACCAGTCCTCTGGGGATTGGGGCTAGCGATAAGAATTATTTATACTTTTTACTTTATACCCTTTTATCTTGACTGAATTATTTTTATGATTACATTTTATAATTGAGATAAATTTATTTTAAAATTATTACATAAATTGCAATTTCTACTTTTTGTAGCCTCCTCGATTGATCAGTGTGCAAACAATGCAAAGAGGCAACATGAACTGTGGAGCTTTTCAAGCCCATCAGATGAGACTGGCTCAGAATGCTGCCAGAATACCAGGGATACCCAGGCACAGCGGCCCTCAATATTCCATGATGCAGCCACACCTCCAAAGACAAGTATGCCTAGAGTTACATTTGTAAGAATCCTACAATTTTAAAATTAAAAGACGTCATTTTCTTAATCACTTTTTGGGAGCAGGTCATTGATGTGTTTGAGAATTTGATTAATGCTGTATATCCTCTTGTCCCAGAAAAATAAACATACACATGAGATTTTGTATTTAATTTTAAGAGCTTTTAAAAAATGCTTTAAGTGCATCATATACTGTGGGTTAAGAAACCCTGATGTAGTTAACCCATTCAATTTGCAGAAGTGAAAAAAATCTAATGAGCTGGTGATTTTACCCACAATCACAAAAAGCAATGATAAAATAGCAAGAACATTAGTTTCCTGAAAATGCTGCTCTGCTCTTTTAATGTGGCTTTTTGATCCTAATATATAAAAAGGGCTTTGAGAGTAACAGAGCTAACTATATGTATTATTATTATTATTTTTTTTTACCTTTTCTCTACTCAAATATTCTTCCTTTTAGGATGTAGATACGCTTTAATAAGTGTGTTTAGAGACATGTTTTATAATCTTTGCCTGGTTATGTTTATATGGGAGATATGAGTATACAGTGAGGCCACTTTTTCATAGGATTTCTAGTTATAATAGAGTTTATTTTTTAACTCTTAGAATGATGTTTCTCAAAACATGTTTTAAAGACCATCAGAATCACCAGTCAGCTTTGGTGGAGTGGGCAACCTTGTCAGAATGGATTCCTAGCCATAACCACTGAATCAGAATTTCTAGGTGGGGAGTACTCAGTAATATTTAAATTTGTATTAAGTCTCTCAGGTCAATCTGCGTACTAAAGTTGGAGAAACACTGTCCTAGAACAGTGGTCCTTCAACTTTTTGGTCCATGTACGCCCAGAAAGAGCTTTTTAAAATAATGCGCTTCTTGGCTGGGAGTGGTGGCTCACGCCTGTAATCCCAGCATTTTGGGAGGCCGAGGCAGGAGGATTGCTTGAGCCCAGGAGTTTGTGACCAGCCTGGGCAACATAGCAAGACCCCGTTTCTATTTAACAAAAAAAAAAGAAAGAAAAAATATATACTCGCTCACATTTGAAGGCTTTCATTTAAAATTTCCATTATAGGTTTAAGTTTAAATAGTTTCAAAAGCTGTACTTTATAGCATATTGTAAATATTGATGCTATAAAGTTAAAAAAACCTTTGCATTATTTTAAATGAATCCGCTGGAATTCCAGATACCCTAGCAAGCTCTCCTTGGACTTGAATTACACTTCTACTTCTTCAACAGAGTTTTATCTTACTGTAAGATAGCTTTATTTGATAGATATAGATTAGCCTATTGTAAATTTCTGCAGGAAAAAAATTTTTTTATAATAAATTGTTAAATTTCCAGTGACAATAGGGTTATTATTAAGATTTGAAACTTTTTCTGTGGACCAAATTATCGTTATATCTCCACAATTGTTGAAACAAAATGGGTGTGTTTACATGGTTTAAGACTATTAGAAGATACAAAACTCTTTTGGATATACATTTCTTTGAGCTAGATGGAGACTTTTTACCTCCTGCTTCTGGTTATGTATGTTTGTATGCTGTTACTTATTTTTAAAATAAGTCAGAATTCAACATTGGTTTTTATTACTAGTTTTTTGGGATTTGTTTTTATGTAATGCTTAGGAAACGTTTACAAAATTTACAAATTACAAAAATACATAATTTACAAAATTATGTATTTGGGAATTAAAAGAATTTTATTATAGTAATATCCCTCAATTCTTTGAATTTTTTCTAGGTTATAGGCTGAGAAAACGATCTATCAAAACTATTTAAAAACTTTTTGTCAGTGACAACTTCATTTTTGTTAATCATCAAATATTCGAACCCATTTGAAGGTTTGTTACCCAGGTTTTGGAGTCAGACACCCAACATCGTTATTTCCAATTGTACCTTTGATTATTTCTACAGGTTTTTTTTTTTTTCCTTCCTGGTGCAGTGTGCCTAGAATAAGATTTAGGAATGGTCAAAGGTGTAGTGTTCTTTTGTCAAGGATGGAGGAAGGGCAGTTGCGAAAGTGGTGGAAAAGGAGATCCAGCAGAGCATGGCACATTCTCAGGCAAATCAGATTTTTTTTTTCTTTTTAAAGAGCACATACAAAAGATTGATGGTCTGAACATTTATTTCCTTCACACTTTTCACATAATCATGTACCCCTTAGTTCATGGAAGGCCTTCAAGTATTTCTAGGGGCCAAGTACACCTTGTCAGAGCGCAGAAGCTACACAGTCAGACTAATGAATCATCTCAGAACATTTTCCTTAGACTTTGGGTATACCTCTACAGAAATCACTGGATGTTATTAAGCCTTTTTAGTTTTTAAATATTTCAAATGATTTATTTATATGTGTAGAATTCGTTTTCTTAAGATTTTCTTCTATATTGTCTTAAATGATCCTCATAACAGCCCTCACAATGAAACAAGTGAGGTATTGTTATCCACATTTCTAAATGACTGAGATTATGTGATTTGTCTAAGGTCACACAGTATTAGAGTCAGGACTTGCTGCCATTTTTCTTTTCTGTAAATTCATTGTTCTTTCTGCCACTTCAAGCTGCATTATATATCATTTTTATTGGAAAAATGACTAAAGGTCGAAGAGGAATAATGACCGAATGGTAGTTCTCTTACCCCGGTGTTTGAAAATTTGGAGGTTTACAGATCCTCTATTACATACTTCCTTCTTCTGAAATAAGATCATATCACCAGGCTGATGTGTTGGGAAATTATTGGCAAGTCTGCCTTTCCCTAGATACTATACAAAAATGAATAGAAAAATGAAAAGGCTGAGTTTGAACTGTTCTTCTCCTGAATAAGTTTGAAAGGGCCCACTTCTTTGTTTCTTCTGTTTCCTTCCTAAACTAAAAATTATAAAGGTATAGTTTATATTCAGCGATTCTGGCAGATCAAGTAATGATAATGTCTTCTTTCTTATTAGCACTCAAACCCAGGGCATGCTGGACCCTTTCCCGTAGTATCGGTACACAACACCACAATCAACCCAACGAGCCCTACTACAGCAACTATGGCAAATGCAAACCGAGGTCCCACCAGCCCATCTGTTACAGCAATAGAGCTAATCCCCTCAGTTACCAATCCAGAAAACCTTCCATCGCTGCCAGATATTCCACCCATACAGGTTTGTATTTGAGTTGAATGAGGCTTCATTAAACTTAATGTTAATTACAGAGTTAGAGTATTTATTTCAGAGTTTTTTTTTTTTAATTCAGGATCAACATTTCCTTGAAATTTCTGAAGAGTAAAGTCTAAATCACTAAAAGTCTCCTTCCAGTCTAAGTGAAACTTTCATCAACATCCTCTCTTTCCGCATTCCCCGCCTACCCTCTCCTCTAGCCTCCAGTTAACCATCTTTCTATCCTCTGTTTCTATGAGATGGACATTTTTAGATTCCACATGTAAGTGAGATTAGTCAGCATTTGTCTTTCGGTGCCTGGCTGATTATACATAGCATAATGTCCTTTGGTTCCATTCATGTTGTTGCAAGATGACAGAATTTCCTTCTTTTTAGAGGCTGTATAGTATATTCCATTGTATATGTCTACCACATTAAAAAAAATCCATTCATCCATTGATGGACATTTAGATTGCTTACATATCTTGGCTATTGTGGATAATGCTGAAATGAACATGGGAGTGCAGATAATTTCTCTGATGTAACAATTTCAGTTCTTTTGGATATAAATTTTAGTGATCTCTTGCATTGCATGGTGACAACAGTTGATTGATAGTGTATTATATATTTCAGAATTCCAAAAATGGATTTTTAATGTTCTCACCACAAAAAAATGATGAGTTAGTGGAGTTAGATATGTTCATTAGCTTGATTCAGTCTTTCTATAACATAGATCAGAGCATTACATTGTATACCACAAGTACACACAATTGTTATTTGCCAGTTAAACAAAAAAGAGTTAAGTATAAATATTTGAGTCTTGAAAAGTTATTTAGCTAAAACCAGCATTCCTCAATATTTTAAAGTTCTGGGGAATTGAAGGTCGTATGAATAGCAAATTATGGGAATATCTAAACAGAAGTACAATAATGGTGGATTAATATCACTTTTGCTAAAAGGCTAGTTACTCCCTTTCTACACCTGCCACAGGCAAACGTTGTTCCGATGATGCACTCCTGGTATGAGTTTGGAGCCAGAGAGAAGACCCAGGACCAAAATGTGGTTAGATCTTTGTTGTTCTTCTGTTAGATCCAAAGGGGTAGTCAGTTGGGCTGAGAAAAGGATGGGGTTAGAAGGCCAAGATAGTAGACACTTTGAGGCTTATACTGAGAGGGGGAAATGATGGAGAACAGGAGTAGATGGAATGTGAAGGACCTTTGAGTGAGGCCTTTTGCCCCTTTCAACCGAAGAAAAGTATCCTTTGGATCCTTCTGAAATTTCACCAATTTGTTTCAGTTAAAAGCATTTTCTTTTAAAACGTAAATATAATCTGCCAGCGTTATACTGAATTTAGTTTTATGCATTGTATGCGTTACTTTCATATCTTGGAGTCCGGGGTCACCATAGGAACAAGGAGCAATGAAACTGTTGTAACAGTAGCACCCTTGATTCTTTCTGTGGCTGCAGTTTAATATTTTGTTTTAGTGGGTTTTAATGGGCTTATGTAAAAGTTTTAAAAGATATTTCTATAGCTTCAAACTTTTTAAAATTTTATTTAAAGTAAGTGTGTATATTTAAGGTAACAACATGATGTTAAACATATACATAGTAAACTGGTTACTATGGTGAAACAAATTAACATATCCCTCATCTCACATAATTACCCATCCCCCTGCTCCTGTAAGAGCAGCTGTAATTTACTCATTTAACGAAAACTTTGAATACAATGCACTGTTAACAAAATTGTTCAGAAATCACTAACATATTGTGAATTCTCTTAACCTGATTGCTTCCCTAATACTAGGAGAAGTCTTTTTTGGCTGAGGGAATGGTAGTTTTATTGGTGATGAGAGGACTGGACCATACAGAATGGAAACTTTTTAAATATAAATTAAAAAGTAACATTTCTAAGTTAACAGCTTATAGTTTGTGAAGCGCTTTCACAGGCAATATATAAGTTTAATGCTTAAAATCACCTGATATGTAATATCCCTGTTTTATGGATAAGAGTAAGAGAGGTTCGTATAACCGCCTGACGGGTTATCTGCCCACCACACAAACAAAATCAATTCACGGAGACCATGGCACTGCAGTAAAGAGTTTAATGACGCGAGGCCACTCACGCCACGCAGGAGGTGGAGTTATTACTCAAATCAGTCTCTTTGCAGGCTTGTAGTTTAGGAGTTTTTCTTTTTCTTTTTCTTTTTCATTCTTTCTTTCTTTTTTTTTTTTTTTTTTTTTGAGATGGTGTCTAGCTCTGTTGCCCAGGCTGGAGTACAGTGGCGCAATCTCGACTCACTGCAGCCTCTGCCTCTGAGGCTCAAGCTGTTCTCCTTCCTCAGCCTCCCAAGTAGCTGGAAGCACACGCCCCCAGGCCTGGCTAATTTTTGTGTTTTAGTAGAGATGGAGTTTCATCATGTTGACCAGGCTGGTCTTGAACTCCTGACCTCTGCCTTGGCCTCCCAAGGTACTAGGATTACAGGTGTGAGCCACTGCGCCTGGCAGCTTAGGGGTTTTTCAAAGGTAGTTTGGAGGAAGGGGTGGGGGCAGTAAGGCAATGGGTGCTTGCTGCTGATTGGTTGGGGAATGCAGTCATAGGGGTGTGGGAAAATCCCCCTTAATTGCTGAATCGCTTCTGGGTGGGGCCACAGGAGGGCTTGTTGGAGGGCTTGTTGGGTCCAGGTGGAGCCATTGTCAGTGTCAGACATGCGAGAAACCTCAAAAGATATCTAAAAAGGCCAATCTTAAGTTCAGCAATAGTGATGTTATCTGCAGGAGTAATTAAGGAAGTTGTCTATATTATGACCTCCAGAGTAATGGCTGGCAGTCCTTTATGTCAACACCTTAGCAGAATTCAGGCTCCTTTCCTCCTCCTAGCCTGGTGGTCTCTTTTTAACTTTACAAAGGCAGTTGAGTTTTGGGGAAGGGCTATTATGTAAACCATAAACTAAATGTCTCCCAAAGTCAGCTTGTCTCAAGCCCAGGAATAATTAATATCAGCATGAAGGTTAAAGGCAAAGAAGAGGGAGGTTGACTAGATCAGATCCTCCCCGACTCTTTCACTGATAGAATTTTTGCAAAGGCAGTGATACAGTTTGGCTCTGTGTCCTCACCCAAATCTCACCTCGAATTGTAATCCCTACTGGTCGAGGGAAGGACCTGTTAGGAAGTGATTGGATCATGGCGGTGGTTTCCCTCATGCTGTTCTCACAAGATCTGATGGTTTTTAAAGTGGCAGTTTCCTCTGCACTCACTCTCTCTCCTACTGCCTTGTGAAGGTGCCTGCTTCCCCTTTGCCTTCTGCCATGATTGTAGGTTTCCTGGGGCCTCCCCAGCCATGCAGAACTGTGAGTCAATTTAAACCGCTTTTGTTTATAAATTACCCAGTCTCAGGTAGTATCTTTATAGCAGTGTGAAAACGAACTGATGCAGTTTCATTGGTGACTTTCCTAGAGTCACATGATAGATAGAAAAGTTGGAATTTTAGGCTGGGTGCAGTGGCTCACGCCTGTAATCCCAGCACTTTGGGAGGCTGAGGCAGGCAGATCACCTGAGGTCAGGAGTTTGAGACCAGCCTGACCAACATGGAGAAACCCCATCTACTAAAAATACAAAATTAGCCGGGCATGGTGGTGCATGCCTGTAATCCCAGCTATTTGGGAGGCTGAGGCAGGAGAATTGCTTGAACCTGGGAGGTGGAGGTTCCAGTGAGCCGAGATCGCGCCATTGCACTCCAGCCTGGGTAACAAGAGTGAAACTCTATCTCAAGAAAAATAAATAAATAAATAAATAATAAGAAAAGTTGGAGTTTTAAGTCCAGACTACTAATTATAAATCCAGTTCTTTCTCCACACTACCTGTAACAATACCAGGGAGGCAGTGTGGGATTGTAGGCCTGGAAACACATGGTATTGACAGCTTTGGGCAGCCAGAGGTATGTACAGTATAACAATGTCATTCAGTTTTTACTAAGCACTTACTGTATGCTAAAGTCCTCAAGCATTGAGGATAAGATAAACAAGACTTGGTTCTAGTTCTTAAGAAACTTAGAAAGGGAGAGGCAAGTATCATCTACTTTTTTATTGAAATACAATTCATATACCATGAGATCCACTCTAAAAATGTACAGTTCAGTGGCTTTTAATGCATTCACAAGATTGTACAACCATTACCACTAATTCAAGAATATTTTCATCACCTCAAAAGAAATGGTACTCATTAGCAGTCACTCATATCCTTCTCTTCCAGCCCCTGGAAACCACTAATCTACTTTGTCTCTGTGGACATTCCACATGTGAATGGAATTATATTTGGCCTTTGATGTCTGGCTTCTTTTACTTAGCATAATGTTTTCCAGGTCTATCCATGTTTTAGCATGTATTAGGATTTCATTTTTTATGGCTGAATAATATTTCATTGTATACATATATCATTTGTTCATCATTGAACATTTGCTTTTCTTCTCTGGCTGTCAGGAATAATGCTGCTGTGAGCTTTCATTTACAAGTTCATACAAGTATGAACGTAGTGTACCAGGCTGTTGTTGCATTGCTGTTTATAAAGAAAAGAGGTTTAATTGTGTAACTGTTCTGCAGGTTTACAGGAAGCATATTCAGGCACATTTATGGATTATTTTTAACTCTTTTTCTACTGAATTTGGCTAGATTAAGAATTCACATGGAGAAAACCTAGCATTAGCATTAGTTTAAGCTGGTGAAATAGCCAAGACAGCTAAGTTTAAGACTCAAATGTAGAGGTGAAGTCTCAATTTTCTTTTGCCTAATCAAGAAAAACTTCCTCAAGGACTGAATTATACTTTAGTGTGTAGATATGAGATATATTTGTTGGTCAAGATAGAGTATGGTATATGCAATGGCTTGAGGGAGTGAGAAGGCACAACTGGAGTAATACAGAAGTGAGTTGTTATACAAAATAGAATAGATGAGGAATTATTTGTATAGCTTTTGATTATACTAAGTCAGATGTATTAATGGTGATATAGTTAGGTAACTAGAAGAAATATATTAAAATGAAGAATTTTAGCATTTACATTTTATTTATGCAAGAAGGTAATAGGAGATAGTAAATGGAAAACAGGGAATGTTTTGTAGTATATTTAGTGTTTCACTTATGGTACAGTACATGTATCTCATTAATCAGTTTTAGAACATTTCTGTTTGTTGGTAAAATGTAATATTTTCCTGATAATCAGTAGAACAGCACCTAAATATGGAATCCTTTTATTAGGTTCAAGGCCAAGTCTTCAATACTGCATAACACTAGAACATTTCTGGAAACTTGGATCACTATTAATGCACTTGTATATTTTCTTTAACAAATATCTGAGAACTTACCATGTATTAAGACCCTAAGTACTGATTATAGAAGGATCAAACGGAAATGGTCCTTGACCTCAAGGAGTTTCTTATATAATAGGGAGACAGTTTTCTTTTGTTCTTTTTTATTGCTGTTGTGCTTTTTTTTTTTTTTTTTTTAGATGGAGTCTTTGTTGCTCAGGCTGGAGTGTAGTGGTGCAGTCTTGGCTCATTGCAGCCTCTGCCTCCTGGGCTCAAGCAATTCTTATGCCTCAGCCTCCAGAGTAGCTGGGACTATGGGCGTGCACCACCCCGCCCGGCTAATTTTTTGGATTTTTAGTAGAGACAGGGTTTCACCATGTTGGCCAGGCTGGTCTCGAACTCCTGACCACAGGTGACCTGCCCACCTCAGCCTCCCAAAGTGCTGGGATTACAGGCGTGAGCCACTGCACCTGGCCGGGTGACAGTTTTCTAAACAGGGTCAAAACAGTGAGCTTATTGGTACAAATGGATGTGTATAGATGACAGTGAAAGAATAGAGGCAGAAGATCCTACATCTGCCTGTGGAAGTCAGAGAATAAACTTTATATGAGATAATCTTAAATTTGGACTTGAAAGATAAGTAGGCAAGTGTTAGCTAGTCAAGGTTAGTTAGAAGGCAGATATTCCAGATAGGAATTATGTATGCTGAAGCAACAAAGGGCATGAAAGGAGTGTGAGATTCAAAGCAGTTAGGTATACTGTAGATGATAATTTCAAATCGGAGGTCAGATTTTGTGATTTTTCTTTTTTATGCTGACTTTGTCACTGTTTTATTTTAAGCTCTCTTAAACCTGGGTGCAGTGGCTCTGCCTGTAGTCCCAGCACTTTGAGGAGGCCAAGATAGGAAGAGCACTTGAGGCCAGGAGTTCGAGACTAGCTTGGGCAACATAGCAAGACCCAGTCTCTACAAAAACAATTAAAAATGAGCCGGGCATCTTGGCATGGACCTGTATTCCTGGCTGCTTGGGAAGCTGAGGCAGGAGGATCCCTTTAGCCCAGGGGATCAAGGTTGCAGTGAGCCGTGATCGTGCCACTGCACTCCAGCCTGGGCAACAGAGTGAGACCCTGTCTCAAAAAAAAAAAAAAAAAAAAAAATAGAATCTACCTCATGGATATGTTGGTAAGATTAAGTTTGGTGCCTGACATATAAGTATTTAATAAATGTTAGTTGTTATGATTATTTTTCTCTTCCTTTTCTTTTTCACCAGCCCTCATTATTAAAAAGTAAGCTTTGGGAGGAAGGACCACTATTACGCTTTTGTATTATGCTTAATAGGAAAATTATAAGCATTCATCCAAGTGTGTTGAGTACTTTGTACTTGTCTTGAGGAACAGTAGGGATAAGAGAGACCTGCTGTCATAGAGTTTACAGGCCAGGAGAATGCAGACATTTATAGATTTTTTAAAACCCTACCTATAATAAATTGTATAGCATTACTCAAAGGGGAAATTGTAAGGCATCAACCTAAGGTGAGTATATACCAGGAGAACCCAATAAAACTTAGTGGATTGTTAAAGCCTCTTTGAAACCTGGAAGCGGGGTAAGAGTTAGTAGGGAGATGTCATCAGTAAATTTTATTAGGAAAAAGGGCAGAATTTCAAATCCCACAAGGTCTGAAGGAACTGGGCACTTTTGAAGAACAGAAAAAAGGCCAGTGAAGAACAGGAAAGAGAGAAGGGCCTAGTTCTGTAGAGGAAAATGGAAACTAGATCAGGTAGGGCCTTTGTAAGCTGCATAAAGGATTTTGGATTTTATCCTAAACTCAGTGAGAAAGCATTTTTGAAGGGTTTTGGTGGGGTAGGATCAGTGTACATGACCTATCAGATTTGCCTACTTTTTAAAGGCTTTTATGAGCCATATAAAACCATTGTAGCTTTTAAAAAAGAAAAAGGAAAAAAACAAAAATAGTTGTCTACCCCATTCTTTCACCTGACTAAATCCCAGCACTATAACCAATTGGTGTACATCCTTTCAGATTTTTCCCTAGGAATATGCAAACACGAATTTAAAAACGTGTGTGTGTGTGTGTGTGTGTGTGTGTGTGTGTGTGTGTGTGCCTGTGATTTATTTTGGTTTATTTTGTTTTGTTTTGAGACAGGGTCTCACTCTTTTGCCGAGGCTGGAGTGCAGTGGTGCTCAAGGGATCCTTCTGTCCCAGTATCCCCAGTAACTGGGACTACGGGCACATGCTACCATGCCTGGCTAATTTTTAAATTTTTCTTTTGTAGAGATGGGGTCTTGCTACTAATAGTTGACTAGACTGGTTTTGAACTCCTAGTCTCAAGTGATCCTCTTACCTTGGTATCCGAAAGTGTTGTGATTACAGATATGAGCCAACCTGGCCATCCTGTAATTTTTTTAAGTAACAGAAAATGAGATTATACCACATGTACACACCTAGTGCTATAAATACTGTGTTGCAAGTTTTACCTTTTTTTTTTTTTTTTTTTTTTTTACAGTTTTGCTTTTGGACTTTTTCTTTTCAGAAAAAGTCTTTTTCTTTTCTTTTCTTTTTTTTTTTTTTTGAGATGGAGTTTCATTCTTGTTGCCCAGGCTGATGTGCAATAGCACGATCTTGACTCACCTTAACCTCTGCCTCCCAGGTTCAAATGATTCTCCTGTCTCAACCTCTCGAGTAGCTGGGATTACAGGCATGCACCACCATGCACAGCTAATTTTGTATTTTTAATAGAGACGGGGTTTCTTCATGTTGGTCAGGCTGGTCTCCAACTCCCAACCTCAGGTGATCTGCTCACCTCGGCCTCCTAAAGTGCTGGGATTACAGGCGTGAGCCACTGCGCCCAGCTACTTTTGGACTTTTTCATGTCAGTTCTTAGAGCTTTCTTGTGTTTTAATCCATATGGTATTCCATTTCATTGGATGTTTTTTTAGCCCTCTGTTGGTGAACTTTTGGTTTATCTCTCACATGTTACTATTAAAAACAAAGCTGCATTTGTGAAAAGATGTTAAGATCATTAGTTATTAGGAAAATGCAAGTTAAAACCACAGTGAGATGTACCACGACATACTTATTAGGATGGCTAAAATTAAATAGACTTAACATTAACCATAGCAAGTATTGGTGAGAATGTGGAGGAACTAGAACCTTCAAACACTGTTGGGATTGTAAAATGGTACAATCACTTTGAAAAAAGTTCAGCGGTTTCTTTAAAAGTTAAACGTGTATCTGTCATAATGATTCAGCCATTCTGCTTTTATTTGCCAAAAGAAAACAGGAAATATTTCTATACAAAGATTCGTACTCAAATGTTTATAGCAGCTTTGTTTGTAATAAGACAAAAACTGGAAACAACCCAAATATCCACCTGCAAATAAATGGATAAACAAATTGTGTGTTCATATAATAGAATAGTAACTAACAGTGAAAAGGAATGAACTGGATCCAACAGCAAGGATAAATCTCAGTTTTACCAAGTGAAAAAAATAGATGAAAAAAGCGTACAGTATATAATTCAAATTATATAAAACTCTGGAAAAAAAAACTAAAGCTGAAGGAAGCAGATGAGTGGTTGGTTGAGGACAGGTTGTTTGAGAGAGGGATTGATTACCATGGGGCATGAGGAATCTTGGGGGTGATAGATATGATCTGTTCACTATTCTTGATTTGGGTTTCCCAGTTGTAGACTATGTGAAAATGTGTTAAACTTTCACATCAGGTACTACACTTTGAATATATTTAGTTTATTGTACATCATTTATACCTTAATGTCATTTGTAAAAAGCTGCATTGAGGCACAATGACTGTATAGTTTTAAACACATATTTCTGTAAGCGAAGTTGGTAGAAGTGTAATTACTGGGCCAAAAGTAATTACACATTTAAATTTCACATAGGTATTGGCAAATTGCTCTACAAAAAATATTGTGCCAGCTTATATATTTGAAAATGCCCATTTTTGCATTGTCTTCCCAATACTAGGTAAATTAATCATTCTTCCATCTTTTCCAGTGATGGATTAAAATGACATTATTGTTAACTTTATTTTCATTTCTTTGATTGGTGAAATTGGTTTTCTTATGTTCGTTGATTATTTTTATTTCTTCTGTAAATTATCTTTGTCTTTTGTGAAATATCTTTGCTCATTTTCCTATTGGACTGTGTTTTTACTTTTAAATCATGAAAATTATTTATATAATAATTATATTTCCATGTACTTATTCAGGGATGCTCAAAAAACATTGCTTTAATGAATAAATGAATTAATGTCTTTCCAGTTAGACTTCTAACTTTATTTATGGTGACTATCCATGTCTAGTGAAACCCACAGGTGAATGCTTCAGTTAGCACCTATCTGTTGGAGGTTATAATGACATCAGGGATGTCCTTTAATGTATTTCCTGTTTGCCTCTTCCTGACCTGTCCATCCTCTACCCTTAGAGTTATCTTTCTAGCAAAAGATACAAATTGCAGGTGAGGAGTATAAAAAGGAGTGGAAATAGGTAACATGGGATTTTCATGTCAGTTTTGAATCATCTTCCCCCTTCTGTTTTTAGGTGGGATGCATCCCCATTTTCATCTCTGGCCCATATTAGGTACTCCCCCCTCATAACAAATCTTCCTGTTGACTTGAGTTGCAGCTAGGGATTCACCTGTAGTCACAGCTTTGCAAGTGCATCCTTGGCCAACAGCTATGACCACAGGGTAACACAACTGCTATTGTCCTTTGATTATCCCTCCAACTAACCTACTGCCTACTCCTACCTTCAGCCCTTCATGTCTCTGGCATGGGTTTTGTTTTGTTTGTAATCCCAGTACTTTGGGAGACTAAGGTGTGCAGATTGCTTGAGCTCAGGAGTTGGAGACCAATCTGGGCAATGTAGCAAAATCCCATCTCTATAAAAAAAAAACACAAAAATTAGCCAGGCGTTGTGGCGCATGCCTGTAGTCCTAGCTATTCAGGAGGCTGAAATGGAGGGCATGGCTTGAGCCTGGGAGGTGGAGGTTGCAGTGAGTCAAGATGATGCCACTGCTCTTCAGTCTGGACAGCAGAGCCAGACCCTGTCTCAAAAATAAATAAAAGAAGAATATGACCATTTCTTTTATGAAATAGTATAAGATTTAAGGTAATATTCATACTTAAATAATTTTTTTTACTCTTTCTTACACATTTTGTCATTTAATCATCGGAGTTCTGCAATATAGGTGGCATGTTTTAAGGATAGGAAACTGACGTTCAGGTTGAGAACCAGCCCAGAATCATAGTTATGGGTCTTCTGGCTTTATCGTACTGCCTCTAAGTAAGGGAAGGGCTCATATGTACTGTTAACTGTGCCCTTTTTTTTTTGTAGTAAGGGGCCTTGTGTGTCAAGCTAAGGGCTTTCTGTGGGCTATAAGAATTTTTCAGAGTTTCAGAGCTGGGTACTAACATAATTACATTTCTATTTAAGTGAATGATTGTGGACACTGAAATGGAGGGATACTGGGGACAAGAATACTGATAAATAGGTCCTGCAGCAATTTTGAGAAACAGCAGAAGTGTCAGAGCATGTCAGCTATTTTCATAATAGAACATATAGGATTTGTTTTGCTCTGAGCACCTAGTTGTTTGCTGAATAATACAGTTTTATCTAAATAAACTTTATACTGTGTGGGCCCTCAGTGGACCCTAAGGAAGCAATAATAAGGCTCAGCTTGATATTGGATAATCTGTTAGTTTATTAATAAACTGAGTATAAGCAGTGACATAAAATTAATAACTTCTCTGCTTTAATCAAAGCAAATTTGTCTTTATCTTCTTTCTCTTCAGTTGGAAGATGCTGGCTCAAGTAGTTTAGATAATCTACTAAGTAGATACATCTCAGGCAGTCACCTACCCCCACAGCCTACAAGCACCATGAATCCTTCTCCAGGTCCCTCTGCCCTTTCTCCGGGATCATCAGGTAAAGCAAACGGGTATTACCTTATTTTTTAACACCTTAAAAAAACAGTGTCAGTATCTGTCTTAGTCAGAATTCTCCAGAAAAACAGAATAAGTAGGAGGTCTACTTGAAGAGAGAAAGGGAGATTGAGAGAGATTTATTTTAAGGAATTGGCTCATGTGATTGTGGGTGTTGGCAGGGAGGTGAGGCAGGCTGGAGACCCAGGTAAGAGTATTGTTACAGTCTTGAGACAAAATTTCTTCTTTGGGGCATGAGGAGGTAGGGGAGAGAACAGGGCTCCGTCTTCTCTTCTCTCTTAAAAGGGCTTTACCTGATTATATGAGGCCCACTTGCATTATGGAATATAATCTACTTTTCTCAAAGTCAACTTGTTGAAATGTTAATTAATCCCATCTAAAAAAATACCTTCACAGTACCATCTATACTGATGTTTGGCCAAACTGCTGGGTGTCATATCCTAGCCAAGTTGACACAATAACATATTTTTTTCTTGATTGTTCTTTGTAATTATTTTTGTTCAAATACTATTGGTACTCTTTCAGTAACTGAAGCCATATTAATATATATCTGTAGTCTACACTATTTGGAACTCCAAATTACTCAACCCTTAGTATATTCACAGTCTTTCATGGGTTTAATCTTATATTTTACAATACAGAGTCAGTTGAAGAGTTCTTTGGTTCCAAGTCAACTTTAAAACACTTAGTAAAATAATGAAACATTGAAAAATTATTTAAAAAGTAAGAGCTAAAGAAGGGCAGGTTAATTTTCAAACTGTAATTTTAAAATAAACATTTTGCTGAAAACTATTAAAATAGCCATGATATGTAGCTCTCTTCCAAAATCCCAGCGGTTTTATTAACCCTATTACTCAGTGATTCAATTGGGACTCTTGAATACATGATTGAAGCAACTCCAAACAGGTTAACAGTCTAGAAGTGTTATTGAATGTATTTTTCTAACGTAAATTAAATGTTATTTTTTTCTTACTGAAACACACCACCTACTTCTTTCTAGAGGAAGAACAATTCACATGTAAATATGGATTTTCCATGAGATGCAACATTAACATATTTTTAAATCACATAATTTTTAAGGTTTAATAAGAATTATTTCAGGACTTCTGAAAATAATTAATGGGAACCTAAGTAGAATATTTTATCAAATAACTTGTTGAGGGATGGCAGATAACGTTTTCTTGGTCTGTTTTGTTGACTGGATAGTGGTGCCCTGAGGAGGATTCTGAGGTGATGTCTGGACACAGCTGAGAGAAACTGGTTGATGTCTGCTAATGGTTACACATGCGTCCCTGACTTTGTGACTAGGTCTGATTTCCAATAATTTTTTAGCTGGGTTATAATAATCTTGAGTTCTGTGACCGGTAGGTAGAATTCCAAATATTCTTATATGCATTGATATTCATTTTGACTTACTACTTTTTAGGTTTATCCAATTCTCACACACCTGTGAGACCCCCAAGTACTTCTAGTACTGGCAGTCGAGGCAGGTGAGTATATTGATAATTATTTTTTTCCTTTTTGTTAAGAAAAATAGCAAATATGTATAATAAAAGTAGAATATTACAGTGAACCCCTTTATACTTAACACTCAGCTTTAACAGTGATCAAATAATGGCCAATCTTGTTTCTTCTATACTTCTGCCAATTCCTTTCTGGTCTGAATTATTTTGAAACAAATCTCAGTCATTTCACTCGTGACTGTTTCAGTATATATCACTTAATGAAAGGAACTTTAAAAATTTATAACCACAGAACCATGATCACACCTAAAAAAATTTAACAACTCATTCTTTAATATCAGTAGAGATCCAGTTAATGTTTAGTGTTCCCAATTTTTGCAACAAATGCCTTTGAAAAAAAAACCAGATGATTTCTTTGAATCAGATGCAAATAAGCTCTATACATTGCCATCAGTTTATTTGTTTACATCACTATCAGTTAATTTGTTGTAAAAATGTAGTTTCTCCTACAGTGTTTTCCCGATTTCTCCATCTTGTCATTTAAGTACATTGCCTCCTGTTTTTCTGTCTATTTTGGTATTTAGGTCAAGAGGGTTGATCAGATTTAGGTTTGATTTGGGGGAAGGGAGAGCAAGAAGACTTGGTAGTGTAGTGGTGGCATATACTTCCTTTGGGGCGAATTATGCCTGGTTGGGGGTTTTTGTGATGGCAACCGTTAATAATCATTGTTTAGCTCTATTATTTTTCTGCTGGTTGAAATATTACATTTTAATTATTGTATCATTCTTTATTTCTTTAGAATATTTCTGTAAAGAGAAGCTTTCTGTCATCAACTATTGGGTTATAGGAAAGATAGGATAAATTCTTTCTGTTTATTTCCCTGCTTTTGTGGTAATGAATTGATTTCCAACACCCTCCAACAGTGACAGTTTTATTGTTATTACCTTTATGGACTGAGATATTTAAACATACTTTATATATTTTAATCCATTATATATGTTACGTCTGTATGTATGTATATTGAACACTGAACATTATTCCATCTTTGTCCTGTCAAAGCTTTCTCAGGCTTGCTCCTTAGTCCTTTTGCTATAATCACAGCAGTCTTTTTTAAGCTTCCATGTTTCCTGTGAAACAGCATTTCGGGTTCATTTTGTACATTTCATGCTTCAGACCTGGAATCAGCCACTTTCCCAGGAAGTTCTGGTAGTGTTAGCAGGAAAGCAGGAAAATAGTGTTTGAGGATAATATTCTAGTACTAATAGCACTCATTGCTACTGAATTGTTCATTGTTTCTTAGGCCTTTTCAGTGGACAGAGCTAAGAAATAGGAGTGTGTGTGTGTGCGTGTGTGTGTGTGAAGAAAGTGCTTCAAACCATAAAATGTGTTTTTAGGGTCTTCTGAAAGTTGCTGCATAATTTTAAAGAGTTTTAAGCTAGGCTTTATACCACATTCCCCTTAACTACATTATGAGGTATCCTTATCTTCTGTAAAGTTAATTGTCTATTGTCTTCACTTTAGTGAACATTACTTTTCATATAATTGTTTTTATTTATACCATATAGTCAAACGTATGTGATCTTTATTTGTTGTTTCTTATTAGCTGTGGGTCATCAGGAAGAACTGCTGAGAAGACAAGTCTTAGTTTCAAATCTGATCAGGTGAAGGTCAAGCAAGAACCTGGGACTGAAGATGAAATATGTAGCTTTTCAGGAGGTGTAAAACAAGAAAAAACAGAGGATGGCAGGAGGAGTGCTTGCATGGTAAGCTCCCACTGGAGTCTGACAGGGACTTAAGGACATCACTTCATTGATTCTTTCAGCTCTGAGTATATTAAGACTAAGTAGTGGGTCTAGAAACATTTATTTTTGAAATTTCATGCCTGGCACAAGCCAGATATCTCTTTTTCTAACTCAACTTTTTTGTCTAAGAGTCAGCTGTAATTAATCAGAAAAGACTTAATTGTATTAAGTACTCATTTGAAATTATCTTTGAATTTGTATTTAGTCAATATTCTTCCCATGATGCTAAATCAGATTGTATCTTGTCCTGAAATTATTATTTCAGTAGTCACATTGAATCTCAGGCCACAAAAGATCTTTGGGATTCTCCTGGACCTGTGAGCTCAGCATTAAGATTGCTGACATGAAAGAAATTTATTGATCAGAGTTTTGTGATAGGAAGTTTGTCTTTTGGCTTACGTATTACTAATCATTCTGGAGTTCCTTGAGTGGAACATTTATAAAATTTCTAATACAGAATGAAGGAAGGCCAAGCCCCTCTTGGTTTAAATATTTTGATTTTTGTTTTCTCTTTCTGACCGGGCTTCTTTTTCCTTTTTTATATGGTTGGCACATGGGAATTCATCTCAAGGTATTGGTATATTTAACACAGTATATATAGATTCAGAGAGCAAGAGATTCAGCCTTGGTTTTGGAGTATTGTTACGTCTTCATCCAGAACTTGGTTTAGAAAGTACCCCCATAAAAAAAATGGGTGCCAAGGTTGGTGAACAATTTCTTTTATGTTGTTGCAGCCTTCCTACAATATAGTAGAATGATAGGTGAGCAGAAGAATATTATAGAATGCTTCTAAAATGCTATGCAAAAGATTCTGGGTGTGAAAAGGGGTGTGCCATAATTAGCTCTCTCAAGGAAAAGTATAACCCTATGCTCACTTCCCAATCAATAGCTTAACAGTTTAATTAATTTACTTATTATTTGAGTGAGACATTATCAGAGGAGCAGACCCCTTAAAATCATATGTTAGCGTGCCTGAATAATTTTGGGGTTATTGTCATTTCTTTATGGCACTATTGTGATCTATAAAATAAATTTGTTACGTCAGTATATCTATATGCATATTCACATAACTGTTAAATACACATATGGCATACAATAAAGATTAAATGATTCTTCAAGAATTTGTCATCGTTTTGTTTTAGTTGAGCAGTCCTGAGAGTAGCTTGACACCACCTCTCTCAACCAACCTGCATCTAGAAAGTGAATTGGATGCATTGGCAAGCCTGGAAAACCATGTGAAAATTGAACCTGCAGATATGAATGAAAGCTGCAAACAGTCAGGGCTCAGCAGCCTTGTTAATGGAAAGTCCCCAATTCGAAGCCTCATGCACAGGTCGGCAAGGATTGGAGGAGATGGCAACAATAAAGATGATGACCCAAATGAAGACTGGTGTGCTGTCTGCCAAAACGGAGGAGATCTCTTGTGCTGCGAAAAATGTCCAAAGGTCTTTCATCTAACTTGTCATGTTCCAACACTACTTAGCTTTCCAAGGTACCAGTGAAATAATTGATTTTTGGTGTTGATTTTCATAAGCTAAAAATAAATAACAGAAGAATGTTCAGGGCAGATGGCCTTCTAACCAGTGCATAGTATTTCTATAAAACAGGGAGCCTGTTATTCTTTTGGTATTAGCTTCCAGAGAAACTAACAATAAAATATCTAAGATCTAAGTAGTACATTAATGTTAAAGAGTAGATTTCATCTCCTGGCCTTTAGTTTATATTCAGTATAAGGAAAATAGATAAAACTCTAAATTAATAGGGGGCTAAGGTTACAAAACCTGCAGTCTGGTTCTAATTCTGTAGTAAGCTTGAGCAATTCACTAATTATCAGGGATCAGTTTTTGCATCTACAAGTGGTAGGTTTTGGTTTAGCAGAGCTGTAGTTCTTCCCTTCCATTTATTATTTTATGTTCATGCAACCTCTTGTCTCTTGATTTCAGAGACCATAAAATAGTAGAGTCATACTTGTTTTTTTCAGTCTTCTCCTTCCTCTCTTGTCCCCCAATTTCTTTTTGGTGAAAGTAAGTCAGTATTCTTGGGGTAAACCCAGCTTTTTTCTTGCTATAAATTGAAAAAAAAAAAAAAAAAAGATATATCTTCTCAAATTCCTGAGAAGCAGTAACTTTAATTGAATAATAGTGCCCTCTTTGAAAGTGTTAACCTTTTGGATTAGAAAACTAGTAGATATTTAAACAGTGCCAGAATATTTTTCTGAAGAATTGTAATTTCTTACCTAAGTCTTTGGAGATAGAGTTATTTGCTAGAGATGTAATAAGGGCCTTCTTTTTCTTTACTCTTATTTAGAAAAGAAAAGCATTGGCACTTTGATCTTGAAATTAAGAATTTTCTTTTCTTTGGGTAGTAATATTTACTGGAATGTCAGAATTTTGCCACTGAATGCCTTCTTTCAATAGCAAATGCTTTGAAAGGGTTGTAAAATGTTGGCGTAAATTAGCCAGGTGTGGTAGCTCACACCTGTAATCCCAGCACTTTGGGAGGCTGAGGCAGGCGGAGCACTTGAGGTCAGGAGTTTGAGACCAGCCTGGCCAACATGGCAAAACCCCATCTCTACTAAAAATACAAAAAAAAAAAGAACTTAGCCAGGCATGGTGGCACACACCTTGTAGTCCCAGTTACTCGGAGAGCTGAGCCAGGAGAATTGCTTGAACCTGGGAAGCAGAGGTTGCCATGAGCCGAGATTGTACCACTGCACTCTAGCCTGGGTGACAGAGCAGGACTCCGTCTCTAAAAAAGAAAAACAAATAGATTGGTTAGTACAATCCCTAGATTTAGGATCTATGTATATATCTCTCTATATATCTCCATGTATCTGTTTATATAGAGAGAGGGAGTGAATCATTTTAGAATTCATAGTTTGATAAGAAATCCTGATAAAAACAAAGTATATACTTGGCAGGGTTAAAAGATAGGAGGTAGCCGGGCATAGTGGCTTACACCTGTAATCCCAGCACTTTGGGAGGCCAAGGCAGGTGGATCACTTGAGGCTAGGAGTTTGAGACCAGCCTGGCCACCATGGTGAAAAAACCCAATCTCTACTAAAAATACAAAAATTGGCCAGGCATGGTGGCGGGTGCCTGTGATCTCAGCACTTTGGGAGGCCAAGGTAGGCAGATCACCTGAGGTCAGGAGTTGCCTGGTCAACATGGTGAAACCCCATACAAATATTACAAAAATTAGCTGGGCATGGTAGCAGGCCCCTGTGATCCCAGCTACGTAGGAGGCTGAGGCATGAGAATTGCTTGAACCCGGGAGGCAGAGGTTGGAGTGAGCCAGGATCGTGCCACTGTGTACTCCAGCCTGGAGGACCCAGTGAAACTGTGTCTCAAAAAAAATAGAAAAATCTGCCGGTCATGATGGTGCACGCCTGTAATCCCAGCTCCTAGGGAGGCTGAGGTACAAGAATCGCTTGAACCCGAGAGGCGGAGGTTGCAGTGAACCAAGATTATGCCACTGCCCTCCAGCCTGGGCAAGGGGGAGATTCTGTCTCCAAAAAAAAGGAGGTATATATACATGTGCTTGTGCCTGCAGGTATGTGTTTGTGTGTTCTAGGTTTTGACCACGAAAAAAGAACTGATTTACTTGTGGCATTTTAATACATGCCAAAACAGTACAAGATACCTGAGAAACTCTGCAACCTGTGCTCTTCTTCTTCATAAATAACTGAGTCCACATAATGGTGATACTGGGATCTGAGAGAATTGGTCTTAGGCCTTATGCTGCAAGTACTGCTCATCACTACTAAGAGACCCCCTTTTAATGCGGAGGTGCCATTTTTATAATGCATTCCAGAAAGTAATCAATTGATGCGTGACTAGGAAAATTTAGAGGAGTTTTTAATCACATGACTTCACCTGACGAGATTTCACAACTATAAAACCTCCCTTTTTTCAAAAAATTATTAAGAAAATAAACCAGGCCCCAGTCCAGGGAAGTAGCTTCTCTAGAGCAGGCTTTCTTATAATTACGTGGACTAATTGCCTATTTCCCTGTCTAGTGGGGACTGGATATGCACATTTTGTAGAGATATTGGAAAGCCAGAAGTTGAATATGATTGTGATAATTTGCAACATAGTAAGAAGGGGAAAACTGCGCAGGGGTTAAGCCCCGTGGACCAAAGGGTAAGTGTCAAATAAGTTGATTTGTCACTGGGATTCAGTAGTTGTCTGCCTATATATACACCTTTTTTTTTCCTGTGTAGCATACACAAAACCTGATAACATTTAATTTTTAATCCTGTCATCTGATGGTATATTGATGATTTCTGAAGTCTTTTTTTCCTCTAACCCTGAACTACAGACCCTTCTATCCAGATTCCTCAAACTTAACATGTCCCAACTAAAATCTTAATTTCTAATCCTCTCCCTCCAAGCACAAAACCAAGCAAATAACGACATAAAAAACTGTATTCCTCCCCCAGTATTCCCCTTAATTGAATGATACCACCATTCATTTCTGTTGCTCAGGTTAGAAACCTATTAGAAATGAAATAATAATAACTATAATATGATTTTCTTACCTTACATCATAATTTCTCATCTGGACTATTGTAGTGATCTCT